>NC_000016.10:71532197-71835227 GCF_000001405.40 Homo sapiens | reverse complement strand
CCGTGCCTGGCTAATTTTTTTTTTTTTTGAGACGGAGTCTCACTCTGTTGCCCAGGCTGGAGTCCAGTGGCGCCATCTCGGCTCACTGCAAGCTCTGCCACCTGGGTTCATGCCATTCTCCCGCCTCAGCCTCCCGAGTAGCTGGGACTACAGGTGCCCGCCACCGTGCCCAGCTAATTTTGTTTTTGTATTTTTAGTAGACACAGGGTTTCACCGTGTTCGCCAGGATGGTCTCAATCTCCTGACCTTGTGATCCACCTGCCTCAGCCTCCCAAATCCCTCAGTGGGATTACAGGCGTGAGCCACTGCGCCCGACCTAATTTTTGTATTTTTAGTGGAGACGAGGTTTCACCATGTTGGCCAGGCTGGTCTTGAACTCCTGACCTCAAGTGACCCACTCGCCTCGACCTCCCAAAGGGCTGGGATTACAGGTGTGAGCCACTGCACCCGGCCTTTATTTCAATTCTTTAATACTTTACTTAAATATTTTAATCAGTAACTTGCTAGTCTCCATGGTATTCAGGCGAGAAAGAACATCTCCCCAACGCCAGTTCTCAAAACTCTAAAAGAGGGATTCAAAGGCATAGCCATTTCTTTTCTGAGCATGAACTTCTTCAATAGAACAGAAGACAATGCTTGGTGTGGTCAACACCAGTAGCACGGATTCCACAGATTAGCTGTGTATCAGTCAGCCCGAGAATGCTCAGAGGTACTCCAGATGTCCTTTGAACACTGGCATTTTAGAAGAGATCTTGATCTAGTTATATTTTCTTCAAACCCTTCAGGGAGTAATTAACCTGCAGGCTGTTGACTCCAGTTGCTGAAGTTTCCTTACAGCACCCCAGGGCACTTGACTGAATGGAGGTAGTCTCCACAATGAATTCTGCACATTCTCCTTTAAGCTACCTTGTATTAGAGTTCTCTCAGAGGGGCAGAACTAATAGTTTTTATATATGGGAGTTTATTAAGTATTAACTTACATGATCACAAGGTCCCACAACAGGCTGTCTGCAAGCTGAGGAGCAAGGAGAGCCAGTCCGAGTCCCAAAACTGAAGAACTTGGAGTCTGATGTTTGAAGGCAGGAAGCATCTTGCTCGGGAGAAAGATGTAGGCTGGGATGCTAGGCCCATCTCTCCTTTTCACGTTTTTCTACCTGCTTTATATTCGCTGGCAGCTAATTAAACTGTGCCCACCAGATCAAGGGTGGGTCTGCCTTCCCCAGCCCACTGACTCAGATGTTAATCTCTTTTGGCAACACCCTCACAGACACACCCAGCATCAATACTTTGTATCCTTCAATCAAGTTGATTCTCAGTATTAATCATCCCATGCCTTCTAAGCATTTTTTTTTCCCGGAAGTTGTGCAAGTAAGCCAAAACTCAAGGATATCAAACAGACTGTAACAAATTGGGCATATGAGATCTTTCAGCACCTCCATCACATACTTTGTCCCCTGCCAACAGATGTATTCAGCAGGGTTACCATCTCCCAGGGCAAAGCAATCACATTTATCTCCAGATCTAGACAAAAGAATTGTGGTGTCTCTCCTTTCAGTCCCTATGTATGTAACTATATGTAACATACACAAGTGTGTAGACACAGGTATATTAATGTATAGGTTTATGTTTCAATTTTAGTTTTTAAAACTGATTTAACATTATATTGTGAGCATTGTCCATGGACTACTCTTGAAGCAAGGAAAAGAGGGAAACATAAGGCCCTGAATTTCATAATATCATGCTTTCCTTAGGGAACTAGATTCTTGTCTGGCTGAATCTATATCTATACTAATCTGGGCAGTTGTCAATTGCACGTAGAGTTGCCTCAGTTGAACTGAGTTTGACCAGTTCTAACTCTCTGCACCATAATTGTTTTTTGTTTGTTTTTAGGCAGGGTCTCACTCTGTCACCCAGGCTGGAGTGCAGTTGTGCGATCTCGGCTCACTGCAACCTCCGCCTCCCAGGCTCAAGTGATCCTCCCACCTCAGCCTCCCAAGTAGCTAGAACCACAGGTGCACGCCAACACGCCCTGCCAAATTTTGTATTTTTTGTAGAGACAGGGTTTTGCCATGTTGCCCAGGCTGGTCTCAAACTCCTGAGCTCAAGCGATCTGCCCACCTTGGCCTCCCAAAGAGTTGGGATTACAGGCGTGAGCCACCGTGCCTGGTGTGTCTGTGCTGTAATTGTATATGAGGGTATTCCTAGTGTTACTTGTTTGGAATTGTAGGATTATTTGGGGAATCCTTTTTTCTGTTAAGGGATAACCAAAAAGTATTTCCTTTTATTAGTCTTTTTAAAAAGTGAAACATAAATACTTTATTATGGCAATGGTATAAAAACTAAATAAGCTTTAACTAAAAACAAAACAAAACTTAAAAAGTGAGTTTGTTTAGAATTAAAGGTTTTTTTTTTTTGTTTTCTGTTTTTTGTTTTTGACAAGCCTTGCTCTGTTGCCCAGGCTGGAGTGCAGTGGCATGATCTCGAGTCACTGCAACTTCCACCTCCTGGGTTCAAGCGATCCTCCCATCTCAGCCTCCAAAGTAGCCAGGACTACAGGCACACACCACCACACTGGGCTAATTTTTTGTATTTTTTTGTAAAGATGGGGTTTTGCCATGTTGCCCAGGCTGGTCTTGAACTCCTGGGCTCAAGTGATCCACCCACCTCAGCCTCCCAAAATTCTGGGATTATAGGTGTGAGCCACCGCACCTGGCCCCAGTTGTTCTTCGTCTAAAACAAATTCATCATAACTGATGAATCTTGCCTTTCTTTCTTTCTTGGTGATGATTTGCTGCAGGTATCTAATCAGCTGTGTGCTAAATACAGCCAAGAATATAATCAATGAGATTGGAATTGTCAGCTCTCAAGTAGTACCATTTCTGGAGACACTTATTTTTTCTTTTCTCTTTTTCTTTCTTTCTTTCTTCTTCTTCTTCTTCTTCTTCTTCTTCTACTTCTTCTTCTTCTTCTTCTTCTTCTTCTTCTTCTTCTTCTTCTTCTTCTTCTTCTTCCTCTTCTTCCTCTTCTTCTTCTTTTCTTCTTTTCTTTTCTTTTTTTTTTTTTTTTGAGACAGAGTCTCACTCTTTTGCCCAGGCTGGAGTGCAATGGCACGATCTCATCTCACTGCAACCTCTGCCTCCTGGGTTCAAGTGATTCTCCTGCCTCAGCCTCCAGAGTAGCTGGGATTACAGGCACTCGGTACCACACCTGGCAAATTTTTTTGTATTTTTAGTAGAGACGGGGTTTTACCATGTTGGCTATGCTGGTCTCAAACTCCTGACCTCAAGTGACCCACCTGCCTTAGCCTCCCAAAGTGCTGGGATTGCAAGAGTGAACCACCACCCCAGTGACACATACTTTTTCTAAATGAAGAAGTCTCAGAAAAGCTGAGCAACTCAGAACACATAATTTGGTGCAGACGGAAAAATGTATAGAAATAAGTTTTGCATTGGAGGCAAAGCAACTTGGATAAAGGTCTCAAACTAGAGAATTGAACTTTATAAAAAAGCTAATGCCACCAGGCATGGTGGCTCACGCCTGTAATCCCAGCACTTTAGGAGGCTGAGGTGGGAGGATCACTTGAGGTCAGGAGTTCAAGACCAGCCTGGCCAACATGATGAAACCCCATCTCTATTAAAAATACAAAAAATTGGGCCGGGCGCAGTGGCTCACACCTGTAATCCCAGCACTTTGGGAGGCCGAGGCAGGTGGATCACGAGGTGAGGAGATCGAGACCATCCTGGCGAACATGGTGAAACCCCATCTCTACTAAAAATACAAAAAAATTAGCCAGGCGTGGTGGCGGGTGCCTGTAGTCTCAGCTACTCGGGAGGCTGAGGCAGGAGAATGGCATGAACCTGGGAGGCGGAGCTTGCAGTGAGGGGAGATCGTGCCACTGCACTCCAGCCTGGGCAACAGAGCGAGACTCCGGCTCAAAAATAAATAAATACGTAAATAAATAAAATAAAAATACAAAAAATTAGCTGGACGTGGTGGCAGGCGCCTGTAATCCCAGCTACTCAGGAGGCTGAGGCAGGAGAATCGCTTGAACCCGGGAGGTGCAGGTTGCAGTGAGCCGAGATTGTGCCATTGCACTCCAGCCTGGGCAACAGAGTGAGACTCTGTCTCAAAAAAAAAAAAAAAAAAAAAAAAAAAAGCTAAAGCCAAGAAAACTGAGCTGATTTCTTTTTTAAGAAAGTACACATTGGCCGGGTGCAGTGGCTCACGCCTGTAATCCCAGCACTTTGGGAGGCTGAGGCAGGTGGATCACGAGGTCAAGAGATAGAGACCATCCTGGCCAACATGGTGAAACCCCGTCTCTACTAAAACTACAAAAATTAGCCAGGCGTGGTGGTGCATGCCTGTAATCCTAGCTACTCAGAAGGCCGAGGCAGGAGAATCGCTTGAACCTGGAAGGTGGAGGTTGCAGTGAGCTGAGATCATACCACTGCACTCCAGCCTGGAGGACAGAGCGAGATTCCATCTCAGGAAAAAAAAAAAAGAAAAAAAAGAAAGTACATATTTGACTAAATGTAACTGGCTTAGTAATATAAAGGAAGCTAATGAAATTTAGAAGTTTCGACTTTTGAACATCTGACATCATGACCACATTTACATAATTCAAAACTGACATTCAATGGAACACAGAGACCTGGCCACAGCAGTTGCTTCAGGCTGGTGGACATTTTTTGTCATTCAGGGTGTCCATTCTGATTGGTTAGTGCCATGTAGTACTGGTTCTTGAATATATTTACTGTCACCCTTGACATAATTCAAATACTTATCACAAAATCAGAACTGTTGATTCAAAGTTTGGATTTTTTTTGAGACAGAGTCTTGCTCTGTAGCCCAGGCTGGAGTGCAGTGGTGCGATCTCAGCTCACTGCTGTATTTTTAGTAGAAACAGGGTCTCGCCATGTTGGCCAGACTGGTCTTGAAATCCTAGCCTTAGGTGATCCACCCACCTCGGCCTCCCAAAGTGCCGAGATTACAGGCGTGAGCCACCACGCCCGGCCTTTTCTTATGTTCACTTTCTTCCTCATATTCTGCTTGGTTTGAAGTTCTCTAACTCTGGAATAGGGCTGTCTTATACATTCACAAGCAAGGCCCCTTTTTGTTGCTAAATTATACATCATCTAAAAAAAATATACAGTAGTCCCTGCTTATCCGTGGGGAACACTACCAAAACCCCCATTGGATGCCTGAAACTGCAGATAATACCAAACCTGAGTAAGTTTCTGTACATGTTTCCCACCCCCAAAATTAAGGCTTTTTCCATCCTCACTAAGCATTTATCACGCTCTACGACCAAAAGTTTTGCAGTTTGTTTGAGCTGCGACAGGCAAACTAGCATGAATTTCTTTTTCCTTCTTCACAATTTCACAAATAGAAGATTTGTTCTTGGCTGAGCATGGTAGCTGACACCTGTAACCCTAGCATTTTGGGAGGCCAGGCAGGTGGATCGCTTGAGCCCAGGAGTTAGAGACCAGCCTGGGCAACATGGTGAAACCTAAACCCTGTCTCTACCAAAAATTAATTTTTAAAATATTAGCCAGCTGTGGTGGCACGTGCCTGTAGTCTCAGCTACTCAGGAGGCTGAGGTGGGAGGATACCTTAAGCCTGGGAGGCAGAGGTTGCAGAAAGCCGAGGTCCTGCCACTGAACTTCAGCCTGGGTGACAGCGAGACCCTGTCTCAAAAAAAAAGAAAAAAAAAAAAAAGATTCATGCTACCCATAGATCTTTGCTCTTTGCAACCTTACCGTATGATTTTTTTTCTATCCTTACACTTTTTTTTTTTTTTTTTTTTTGAGACGGAATTTTGCTCTTGTCCCCCAGGCTGGAGTGCAATGGCATGATCTTGGCTCACTGCAACCTCCACCTCCCGGGTTCAAGTGATTCTCCTGCCTCAGCCTCCCGAGTAGCTGGGATTACAGGCGTGCACCACCATGCCCAGCTAATATTTGTATTTTTAGTAGAGATGAGGTTTCACCATATTGGCCAGGATGGTCTTGATCCCCTGACCTTGTGATCCACCCTCCTTGGCCTCCCAAAGTGCTGGGATTACAGGTGTGAGCCACCATGTCCGGCCCATGGTAAGTACTTTTAAGATGGGAAAATTGACTTAAAGCTGAGGTTTTTATTGTGCACTGAAAGATTTTTTTCTACTTAGTCATGTGGCTTCTAGAGTAGCTCTGGAAGAATTGTAAAGCAGGTAAAATTTGTACTTTTTCTCTGCCCACATACTATTCCTAACAGACCCTTATAAGTGGTTAACAATAGAGTAGAAAACAAAAAAACGAAGGTACCTAAAAGTGTTATATCCAGAAGTGTGTGAAACATTTTTAGTTCTTTTCTCCCCCATCCTCTAATAAAAATACAAAAAAAAAAAAATTAGCTGGGCATGGTGGCGCATGCCTGTAATTCCGGCTACTTGGGAGGCTGAGGCAGGAGAATCGCTTGAACCCAGGAGGCAGAGGTTATGGTGAGCTGAGATCACACCATTGCACTCCAGCCTGGGCAACAAGAGCGGAACTCCTTCTAAAAAAAAAAAAAAGAAAAAAGAAAGAAGAGTATGGGTTCAGGAGTGAAACGATACATATTCAAATCCTTGCTCCACCATATATTAACTGTGAGACCTCAGGCCAAGTGTCAACAACTCAGTTTTCTGGGTTGGGGATAATAATATTTCCTAACTCATAAGTTTGTTGAGATGACTCAATTAGCTAATACACATAAGGAACTTAAATGCAATGCCTGGAACATAACAAATGTAATCAAATTTTGCTTTTGCTTTTTTTTCATTGTAATCATTATCATGGGGGTGAATTAAGCTTCCAGAAGATGGTCATGAACTGTCTTAGGACAAGAGAGATTTTCCCCTAATGCATCTCACATCATTCCATGTAGGGAGCTACTTGTTTTAGTGATTGATTAAGCTGTCTCTGGTGACTTCTTTATAAAGGATGGCTTCATACTTGGGTGCCAAACTTCTGCTTAGTGCAGGCATGAAGCAAAAAGTCTGTTCCATCTCCTGTGTTCCCACTGCTCTGCTTTCAGATTGCTGGATGTATCATGTTGGATTCCAGAGAATGGGGCACATTTATCTTTGCTGATGATGGTTTCCTGATAGGGATTCTTTTACTCTTGTTCTCTTCCAAAGAATTATATAGCTTTTTGAAAAATGACACATTGTATACATTTAAACAATACAGAAAGGGACTTTAAAGCAGTAAAAGACATATGAAATGCCACTAGAGATGTGCTCAAGGGCTTAGTCTTTGGACCTCTTCCCAACTCTTGAGCTGACTTCATCCAACCACATGTTTTTCAATACCTTCTTTATGGTGGGGGCTTCTACATGTATAGCATTACCTAAGGCTTCTCAGTTTATATGAGCTCCAGGTTCATATATCCTCCTGCCTTCTTGACATCTTCACTTGAGTGTTTCATAGACATCACCAACTTAACACGTCCCAAAGTGCTCTCACCCCTTCCAAAATATCTACCTATTCTACCGTTAATGGTAATTCTATGCTACGACAAAAATACTCATATCTTCCTTGATTCTTCCCTTTCTCTCAACCCCTACCCATCCAGGCTGGAGTGCAGTGGTGCAATCTTGGCTCACTGCAACCTTTGCCTCCTGGGTTCAAGTGATTCTCGTGCCTCAGCCTCCCAAATAGCAGGAATTACAGGCACACGCCACCTCGCCCAGCTGATTTTTTTATTTTTAGTAAAGACAGGGTTTCACCATGTTGGCCAGGCGGTCTTCAACTCCTGACCTCAAGTGATCCACCTGTCTCGGCCTCCCAAAGTGCTGGGGTTACAGACATGAGCCACTGCACCTGGCCTCCAGTGCCTTTTCATTTCTTTTTTTTTTTCTTTGAGATAGAGTCTCACTCTGTCACCCACACTGGAGTGCAGTGGCTCAATTTCAGCTCACTGCAACCTCTGCCTCCTGGGTTCAAGCAATTCTCCTGCCTCAGCCTCCTGAGTAGCTGGGATTACAGGCGACTGCCACCACACCCAGCTAATTTTTTATATTTTTGGTAGAGATGGGGTTTCACCATGTTGGCCAGGCTGGTCTCGAACTCCTGACCTCAAGTGATCCACCCATCTCCACCTCCCAAAGTGCTGGCATTACAGACGTGAGCCACCACACTTGGCCATATTTCACTTAGAATAATAGGCAAAGTCTTTCCCACAACCCATACCTTCCCTCCCCATCACTCTGACTTCATTCCCCCCAACCTTCCTCCTTGTTTACTCTGCCTTAGCCACACTGGCCACTTTATGCTTCTTCAAATGCCCAAGAACATTCCAACGTCAGGGCCTTTGTATCTCCTTCCGGTATTCTGTGTTCTCTAGATATCTGCCTCGTTCCTCCCTTACTTCCTGGAAGTCTATACTTAAATGTTCTCTTCTCTGTGAGGCCCTCCCTGGCTATCTTCTCTAAAATGTCAACCTCCTCCCTCTTCTCTGCTATTTTTTTTTTCCTCTGTAGCACTTATCTCTAGCTCACATCTTGCATAGTTCACTTAGTGATCGTGTTGATTATTCGTCTCCCCCACTAGAATGTCAGCTCCATGAGGGCAGGGACTTTTGTCACAGTTGCATCCCCAGCCCTGTTCCTGTCTGTTCATTTTGTCAAATGAATGAATAAATCTGGAGTTTACCACTGCTAAAGTTTAATAAACTTTCTTGTAGACCTATCTATTCGTATTTACAGTTAGCTCTTAACTGTTTGTGTGCTAGTGTCTAACCTCATAGGTACTGAAAACATAGGCATGGAAAGAGAGAGAAGGAAGAAGCCTGTGGACTGGAAGGCCCAAAGTTTGCTTTTAATTCTCATTGACTAGACTATAAGCTTCATGAGGGCAGGAACCATGTCTCTTTGCTCACCATTTCTTCCCCAGGGAGTCCAGGAATGTTTGGCATGTAGTAAGCGTGCAATAAACCAATGTGTAAAAGATAGAGAACCTGGCCAGGTGCAGTGGCTCACACCTGTAATCCCAGCACTTTGGGAGGCCGAGGTGGGTGGATCACCTGAGGTCGGGAGTTCGAGACCAACCTAACCAACATGGAGAAACCCCGTCTCTACTAAAAATACAAAATTAGCCAGGCGTGGTGGTGCATGCCTGTAATCCCAGCTACTTCGGAGGCTGAGGCAGGAGAATTGCTTGAACTTGGGAGGCAGAGGTTGTGGTGAGCCAAGATCATGGCATTGCATTCCAGCCTGGGCAACAAGAGCAAAACTCTGTCTGAAAAAAAAAAAAATATTGAGAACCTAGTGGAATTCTTTCTCTCTTGTAAGGCTGAAGCCCCAGCAGACCTGGTCAATATTGGATTTACTGATGATGTCAAGAAAGATGGCCGTGGCAGAGGAGGTGGTACTGAAGTAGGAACTGGTGATCAACTTAGGGTATCAACACTATGTGCACCAGGACCCTTACATGTCATCTCCAGCCCTTTGTTGCTCTGTCCTTCCTCCTAAAAGATCAGTATGGATAGGGAAACAAAATCTGGAAGGATACTTGGGTAGTGCCAAAATACGTTTTTTTTTTTGGTTGTTGTTGTTTTGAGATTGAGTCTTGCTCTGTTGCCTAGGCTGGAGTGCAGTGGTGTGATCTCAGCTCACTACAACCTTTGCCTCCCGGGTTCAAGTGATCCTCCCACCTCAGCCACCCAAGTAGCTGGATTACAGGTGCACTCCATCACGCCCAGCTGATTTTCGTATTTTTTGTAGAGATGGGGTTTCACCATCTTGGTCAGGCTGGTCTTGAACTCCTGACCTCAAGTGATCTGTCCGCCTCAGCCTCCCAAAGTTCTGGGATTTACAGGCATGAGCCACTGCGCCCAGCCACATTTTTTTTTTTTTTTGAGACAGGGTCTCACTCTGTTGCCCAGGCTGGGGTTCAGTTGCGTGTTCTTGGCTCACTGTAACCTCTGCCTTTCAGACTCAAGCAATCCTCTCATCTCAGTCTCCTGAGTAACTTGGACCACAGATGCACACTACCGTGCCCAGCTAATTTTAAAAATTTTTTATAGAGATAAGGTCTCATTATGTTTCCCAGGCTGGTCTCTGAACTCCTGAGCTCAAGTGATTCTCCCTCCTTGGCCTCTCAAAGTGCTGGGATTACAAGTGTGAGCCACTGCACCCAGCCAAAAATACATTTCTTTTTCTTCTTTTTTTTTTTTTTTTTGAGATGGAGTCTCACTCTGTCACCTAGGCTAGAGTGCAGTGGCGCGATCTTTGCTCACTGCGACCTCTGCCTTCTGGGTTCAACAAATTCTCCTGCCTCAGCCTCCCGAGCAGCTGAGACTACAGGCATGCGCCAGCACGCCCAGCTAATTTTTGTATTTTCAGTAGAGACATGGTTTCACCATATTGGCCAGGCTGATCTTGAACTCCTGACATCATGATCCGCCTGCCTCGGCCTCCTGAAGTGCTGGGATTATAGGCATGAGGCACTGTACCCGGTCTGATCTTTGCAATGTTTTTAAGGATGGAGGGATATTTGCAATCATTTAGCTGATATGTGATATATTTTTACACTTAAATCATAAGAAAACAAGGCTATAGTCTCTCATCAACCTCTTAACAATAAAACAGTACAGACTGCAGAGAACATTTTTATGAGCTGGACAAATTTGAAAGTCTTTAATGTACAGTGATTTAGACTCATGTTTTAGATTAGATATATTCAATTCATATAATATGGAAAACAATTTACTTTTATGTTGAAAATAGTATTAAGTCCAGGTGCAGTGACTCACGCCTGTAATCCCAGCACTTTGGGAGGTGGAGGCGGGTGGATCACCTGAGGTCAGGAGTTCAAGACCAGCCTGGTCAACATGGTGAAACCCATCTCTACTAAAAATACAAAATTAGCCTGGCATGGTGGCACATACCTGTAATCCTAGCTACTCGGGAGGCTGAGGCAGGAGAATCATTTGAATCCAGGAGGCGGAGGTTGCATTGAGCCGAGAGCGCATCATTGCACTCCAACCTGGGCAACAAGAGTGAAACTCTGTCTCAAAAAAAAAAAGAAAAAGAAAAAAGAAAGAAAATAGTATTAAAACTTTGGGTGGGTATGGGGGCTCACACCTATAATCTCAGCATTTTGCGATGCCAAGGCAAGAGAATCATTTGAGCCCAAGAGTTTGAGACCAGCCTTGGCGACATGGGGAAACTTCATTTCTACAAAATATAAAAATAAATTAGCTGGACGTGATGGTGTGTTCCTGTGGTCCCAGCTATTCTGGGGTCTGAGGTGGGAGGATCTTGAACCCAAGGGGTCAAGGTTGCAGTGAGCCACGATCGCATCACTGCACTCCAGCCCTCGTGACAGAGCAAGACCTTTTCTCAATAAAAAAGAAAACCTCACAAAATATGTATACATAAATCTGAAGAGGTCAAATAAATAAAAACTAAAGAGCTGTAGGCACTAATTTTCTTCACTTTTTCTTCCTTCAGCATAAAGAGAACTTCTTTGATTACTTTGCTAGGCTTTTTTTGTTTGTTTGTTTGTTTTTACTTCAAAATTTTCCTCATTACTTGCTAGGCATTTCTGAGCCTGAAGCTCTTTTTCTGAGACTTTATATTTCAGACATAATCCAAGTCTGATTTTCTTGTTGAAATTATTTGTCTCAACCACACCTTGTATATTGCTCAGCTTCTATTCTCGAAAGTCGAGTCCTCTGATTTAAAAATAAAACAAAGAAAACTTTATTAAGGAAAATTTTAGATACTGCCTTTATAAAATTAGTATTACATATGAACTCCCATGTACCTATCATTCAGTTTCAATAGTTATCAATATTCTGCTGCTCTTATTTCATCTATCTCTTCTCAACTTTTCTTTTCTTTTCCTTTTTTTTTCTTGAGTTGGAGTTTCGCCCTGTCACCCAGGCTGGAGTGCAGTGGTGCCATCTCGGTTCACTGCAAGCTCCACCTCCCGGGTTCACACTATTCTCCTGCCTCAGCCTCCCGAGTAGCTAGGACTACAGGCACCTACCACCACGCCTGGCTAATTTTTGTATTTTTAGTAGAGACAGGGTTTCACTGTGTTAACCAGGATGATCTCGATCTCCTGACCTCGTGATCCACCCGCCTTAGCCTCCCAAAGTGCTGGGATTACATGCGTGAGCCACCGCGCCCGGACTCTTCTTAACTTTTCTGGGGGAGAAAGCAGAGGAAGAATTTAAGCAAATGTGAGAAATTATATAATTGCAACTGTAAATACTTCATTACATATCTCTAACACATATCCTTTGTTTAACATAAAACAATGTCATTATTCTCATTATAATGAAAATAAGTCCTGGCCAGGCACGGTGGCTCACACCTGTAATCCCAGCACTTTGGGAGGCTGAGGCGGGTGGATCATGAAGTCAGGAGTTCAAGACCAACCTGTCCAACATGGTGGAACCCTGTTTCTACTAAAAATACAGAAATTAGCTGGGCGTGGTGGTGCGCGCCTGTAATCCCAGCTACTCAGGAGGCTGAGGCAGGAGAATTGCTTGAACCCGGAAGGCGGAGGTAGCAGTGAGCCGAGATCACACCATTGCATCCCAGCCTGGGTGACAAGAGTGAGACTCCATCTCAAAATAAATAAATAAATAAAATAAAATATAAATAAAAGAAGTCCTTAATATCATATAATATTCATCTATATATTAAATTTATCCAACTGTCAAAAATGAATTTTGCAGTTATTTTGTGAAATCAAGATCCAAAAAGATCCACATATTGTATTTGGTTGATATGTATCTGAAGTCTTTTAATCTTCAACACTTCCTTTTTTTCCCATTACTCCTTTTCCCCTCTCTGTTTATTTATTGGAGAAGGTGCCTTCTGATTTTTTTTTTTTTTTTTTTTTGAGATGGAGTTTTGCTCTTGTTGCCCAGGCTGGAGTGCAATGGCGCAATCTCGGCTCACTGCAACCTCTGCCTCCTGGGTTCAAGCGATTCTCCTGCCTCAGCGTCTCGAGTAGCTGGGATTACAGGCATGTGCCACCATGCCCGGCTAATTTTGTATTTTTAGTAGAGACGGGGTTTCTCCATGTTGGTCAGACTGGTCTTGAACTCCCGACCTCAGGTGATCCGCCTGCCTCAGCCTCCCAAAGTGCTAGGATTACAGGTGTGAGCCACTGCGCCCGGCCGCCTCCTCTGATTTTATTAAACAAACATCTTTCACAAATAGCATCTCCAGGTTCAAAGACAAAACATTTCCTGGGTTCTTATATGAGGCCATACATGACAGAAGCAGCAAGACCTATGGTCACTCTAAGGCTAATTGTTAGAAAGCACTAAAAAAAAAACTTCACCCCAAACAGGCCAGGCGCGGTGGCTCACGCCTGTAATCCCAGCACTTTGGGAGGCTGAGGCGGGCGGATCTCGAGGACAGGAGATTGAGACCATCCTGGCTAACACAGTGAAACCCCGTCTCTACTAAAAATACAAAAACAAAATTAGCCGGGCATGGTGGCGGGTGCCTGTAGTCCCAGCTACTCGGGAGGCTGAGGCAGGAGAATGGCATGAACCTGGGAGGCGGAGCTTGCAGTGAGCCAAGGTGGCAGCACTGCACTCCAGCCTGGGGACAGAGGCAGACTCCATCTCAAAAAAAAAACAAAAAACAAAAAAACTTCACCCCAAACAGGAAGGAAGCTCGACTGTGATAATGGGTAACTAAATTTCTATTCATTTTAAGAGATATTTATTGAAGGCCTACTATGTGCGAAATATGCATTTGTAACACAAACCAATTACTTCCCAGTGATCTTTTTTCTTTTCTTTTCTTTTTTTTTTTTTGAGGCAGGGTCTTGCTCTGTTGCCCAGGCTGGAGTGCAGTGGCACAGTCTTGGCTTACTGCAACCTCTGCCTCCCGAGTAGCTGGGATTACAGGTGCGCGACACCATGCCCAGTTAATTTTTGTATTTTTAGTGGAGACGGGGTTTCACCATGTTGGCCAGGCTGGTCTGGAACTCCTGACTTCAGATATCTGCCCTCCTCTACTTCCCACCAGTGATCTTTTTTCTTTCAGAATGATGACTGGAAGAATGATTTCCTTCCTTCATTGGTTCCTGGTAATTATAGAGAATGCTGGTAGAAGTTGGAGTTGTTTAGTATTCACTGAAGATATATATATATATATATATATATATATATATATATATATATATTTTTTTTTTTTTTTTTTTTTTTTTTTTTTTGAGATGGAGTCTTGCTCTGTTGCCCAGGCTGGAGTGCAGTGGCGTGATCTCAGCTCACTGCAACATCCACCTCCCAGGTTCAAGCGATTCTCCTACCTCAGCCTCCCAAGTAGCTGGGATTACAGTTGTGTGCCACAACCCCCGGGTATTTTTTGTATTTTTAGTAGAAACGTGGTTTCGCCATGTTGGCCAGGCTGGTCTGAACTCTTGGCTTCAAGTGACCCTCCCACATTGGCTTCTCAAATTGCTGGGATTACAGGTGTGAGCCACCACACCTGGCCTCATTGAAGATATTTGAGTTGTTATAAGACTATTTATTTTGTCCAAGTACTGTTTCTCACGCCTATAATCCCAGCACTTTGGGAGGTCAAGGAGAGATAATTGCTTGAGTCCAGGAGTTCATGACCAGCCTGGGCAACATGGTGAGACCCCATCTCTATAAAAGAATTAAAAAACAAAAATAGCTGGGCATGGTGGTGCACGCCTGTATTCCTAGCTACTTCGGAGGCTAACGTGGGAGGATGGCTTGATCCCAGGAGGTTGAAGCTGCAGTGAGCCATGATTATGACATTGCATTCCCGTCTGGGCAATGAAGTGAAACTCCCTTTCAAGAAAAAAAGAAAAGAAAAAATAAATAATATATATAAATTTCTTT
Organism: Homo sapiens; assembly: GCF_000001405.40. Taxonomy (NCBI): domain Eukaryota; kingdom Metazoa; phylum Chordata; class Mammalia; order Primates; family Hominidae; genus Homo; species Homo sapiens. The sequence goes on along the minus strand of NC_000016.10, from coordinate 71,820,359 downwards.
AGCACTTAGTATGTGCGCAACAAATATTAGTTTCCATTATTTCTTATCTTCTAGTGGACTAAATGTTAGTGATTCTGTGAGACTGGAGAGGCTAGAAAAGAAGGCCAAAATATTATTATTTTTTGGTTTCTTGCGTAACTAGCTTTTGTTTGTTTTTATTTTTTATTTTTTGAGACAGGGTCTTACTCTGTCGCCCAGGCTGGAGTACAGTGGCTTGATCACTGCTCACTGCAGTCTTTACCTCCCCCAGCTCAGGTGATCCTCCCATCTCAGCCTCCTGAGTAGCTGGGACTACAGGCAGGCATCAACACACCTGGTTAATTTCCTCCCTCCCTCCCTTCCTTCCTTCTTTCCTTCCTTCCTCTCTCTCTCTCTCTCTCTCTCTCTCTCTCTCTCTCTCTGTCTTTCTTTCTTCCTTTCGAGATGGAATCTCGCTCTGTCGCCCAGGCTGGAGTGCAGTGGCACTATCTCGGCTCACTGCAACTTCTGACTCCCAGATTCAGGAGATTCTCCTGCCTCAGCCTCCCAAGTAGCTGGGACTACAGGTGCATGCCAACACGCCTGGCTAATTTTTTGTATTTTTAGTAGAGACGGGGTTTCACCGTGTTAGCCAGGATGGTCTCAATCTTCTGACCTCGTGATCTGCCCTCCTCAGCCTCCCAAAGTGATGGATTACAGGCGTGAGCCACTGCATCTGGACTTTTTTTTTTTTTTTTTTGAGACGGAGTTTCACTCTTGTTGCCCAGGCTGGAGTGTAATGGCACGATCTCTGCTCACTGCAGCCTCTGCCTCCCGAGTTCAACCGATTCTCCTGCCTCAGCCTCCCGAGTAACTGGGATTACAGGCATGCACCACCACGCCTGGCTAATTTTTGTATTTTTAGTAGAGACAGGGTTTCACCATGTTGGCCAGGCTGGTCTCGAACTCCTGACCTCAGGTGATCTGCCCACCTCAGCCTCCCAAAGTGCTGGGATTACAGGCATAAGCCACCACGCCTGGCTTCTTTAGTATTTTTTGTAGAGACAGGGTTTCGCCATGTTGCCCAGGCTGGTCTTGAACTCCTGGACTCAAGCAATCCTCCCACCTCAGCCTCCCGAAGTGTTAGGATTATTGGCATGAGCCACCACACCTGGCCCATTTTTCCTTTTTCTTTTTCTTTTTTTTTTTGAGACGGAGTCTCCCTCTGTACCCCAGGCTGGAGTGCAATGGTGCGCGATCTCCGCTCACTGCAAGTTCCGCCTCCCGGGTTCACACCATTCTCCTGCCTCAGCCTCCCGAGTAGCTGGGACTACAGGCACCCGCCACCACGCCCGGCTAATTTTTTTTTTGCATTTTTAGTGGAGACGGGGTTTCACCGTGTTAGCCAGGATGGTGTTGATCTCCTGACCTTGTGATCCACCCGCCTTGGCCTCCCAAAGTGCTGGGATTAGGGGTATGAGCCACCGCGCCCGGCCCCATTTTTCTTTTCAATATACTTTATTTTTAAGTTTCGTTTTAGGCTCATACCCAAAAGCCAAATTAATTTTTAGATGTAATTATTGGTTATGCAAAATTTTTGGTTCAGAATTCTCTTTTACATATCCGGGGGAGTTTACATTCCTCCTTTTGCATATGAGAAGGTGATACCTATAAACCAATGACTCTTTAAAAACCCGGTTTGGGGCCGGGCGCGGTGGCTCACGCCTGTAATCCCAGCATTTTGGGAGGCCATGGCGGGCGGATCAGGAGGACAGGAGTTGGAGACCAGCCTGACCAACATGGTGAAACCCTGTCTCTACTAAAAATACAAAAAAATTAGCCAGGCGTGGTGGCACGCGCCTGTAATCCCAGCTACTCAGGAGGCTGAGACAGGAGAATAGCTTGAACCCGGGAGGCAGAGGTTGCAGTGAGCCGAGATTGCAACACTGCACTCCAGCCTGTGTGCCAGAGCGAGACTCCATCTCAAAAAAAAAAAAAAAAAAAAAAAAAAATCAGTTTCATTTTGAATGCTTCATTCTAAGATTTTCCACTCCTCATAAAAGACAAGTTTATTTAAAGAATATGGAGTTAGAGAGAAGATCTTTAGGTCCAGGGCCAGCGACCCGCTTGCATAGCAAACTGCTTGCCTCTCCTTAGAAGTAAGACACCTCACTCTTGGCACATACTTGGGTCCTAGACCATCAGCTGGCATGTGTGGACGGCTTGGCGAAGGAGTTTGTTGTTCCCTGAGTTGGCCTCCAGGGACTGGCTGCCCCAGTTACTGCAGATGTCTTAACACTTCTTGGACGTCCCAGGCTAATTTTAAAGCAACTCATAGAACTGATTTTGGAAGAACAAGTATGAGACTTTGCAATGAAAGGAAAACAAAACAATTTACTATAGATTTTTCTAGACAAATGACGGTGCCCACATTTATACATATTTTCGAGATGAGGTTTCACTATGCTGTCCTAGCTGGTCTCAAACTCCTGGGCTCAAGGGTTTTTCCTGCCTCATCCTCCTGAGTAGCTGGTACTACATGTATGAGCCACTGCTCCTGGCTTAATGGTGTCCATATTAAGGAAATAAAATTACTTGAGTAGAAAACAATGGGTCAGAAATCCTGCTTTGTTTCTAGATGGTGCATTCTCTTCTAGTGACCTTAATTTTGTCATTCCTAACAGGAGAATGGCACCATTTCCTCAATTTGGAATTTAAGTTGATTGCAGTCTCATACCTGGTAAAGTTTTTCCCTCCAAAAGTGCCAAAATAATACAGAATAATTTACAAGTCAAGAAAAACTACTCTAAGAAAAAGAAAATATTGTAACATAAAGCATCTCAGGTGGCACTTTGGGCTGCCTCTTTTTTTTTTTTTTTTTTTTTTTGAGATGGAGTCTCACTCTATTGCCCAGGCTGGAGTGCAGTGGTACAGTCTCGGCTCACTGCAACCTCCACCTCCCGGTTTCAGGTGATTATCCTGGCTCAGCCTCCCAAGTAGCTGGGATTACCGGTGCCTGCAACCACGCCTGGCTAATTTTTGTATTTTTAGAAGAGACAGGGTTTCGCCATGTGGGCCAGGCTGGTCTTGAACTCCTGACCTCAGGTGATCCACCTGCCTTGGCTTCCCAAAGTGCTGGATTACAGACACGAGCCACCGCGCCCGGCCTAGGGCTGCCTCTTTAAAAAAAAAAAATTCTGAAACAAAGAAGAAGGTTGGCAGAAGCTAATGTCCTCCGGGCTTTGGTCTTTACTCTTCTACATATAGCAGAATTCCTAATGCTCTTGGTAAGAGGTCAAAGAGTGTATGGAGTTGGCTGTTGGAATTTTAATTTTTACATCCTTTCTGGCTTTTGTCATAAGTTAAAGATGAATTCCTAAACTCTTGTCTCAGGCCAGCATACATCGTGATTAGGGACTGTGCTTTAAAAGAATTGTGAAAATGCTTTTTGTGAAAACATTACAGAAACAGCAGACAGACTAATTTCTCTCTGTCTTTCAGTCTTATTTATAGATTCGTGTGACTCAAAGGATAACAAAACAGGCCAGTGGAGCCGCCTCTTTGACTCACGTCATTGTATTTCTTACACGGCTGTGCCCCTCTTCACTCTCCTTTCTCGGCTGAGATCTCTGGCACGTGGAGAGGCAGGAAGGGTTCTTTGTGAAAGATGCTAACTGCATTTCTTCAGAGAGAGCTTTCCCCATCTGCTCTAAAGGTCACATGGGCTTCAGCTGCTGATACTGACCGAATCATTTAAGAAACTCACTGTGCCGGATGAGGTGGCTCAAGTCTGTAATCCTAGCACTTTGGGAGGCTGAGGTGGGAGGATCACGAGGTCAGGAGTTCGAGACCAGCCTGGCCAACATGATGAAACCCCATCTCTACTAAAAATACAAAAATTAGCTGGGTGCAGTGGCATACCCCTGTAGTCCTAGCTACTCAGGAGGCTGAGGCAGGAGAATCACTTGAATCCAGGAGGTGGAGGTTGCAGTCAGCCGAGATTGTGTCACTGCACTCCAGCCTGGGCAACATAGCGAGACCCTTTTTTTTTTGTCTCCAAAAAAAAAAAAAAAAAAAAAGAAAGAAAGAAACTCACTGCATCCTAAGCCCAAACAAGACAGTTCCCCTCTAGTACCCCAGATTCCACCAGATACTATGTATTCCAAAAGCCATCTTTCACTGCTCTAGCTCCCAGCAACCTCTCCTTCTTCTGCTCCTTCTGAACTAGAACTTCAGCGACCTCTCCGTTTTCTTCTCTTTCTGAACTAGGACTTATCTGCTGAATGATATCACTGGCTTATTTTATATTTTTGGATTTTTAAAAAATCTCGTTTTCCTCAATGAGATTGTAATTATCTGAAGGATAGGGGCAGTCTCTTTTGTTATGTCTATTACAGATTCTGGTGCACCCAGGACAGTGTGGCATAGGGGAAATAATCAGGTAGCCTGTTTGAATGATTACTATATGGGCTAGAAGACAAATCCAGAGATGGAAGGACTACATTTGAGTCTGGCCTCTACTGTATGAAAGTGTGACCGATCATTTAATCTCTCTGAGCCTCTCCTCCCCTCCCCTCCTCCTTTTGTTTCTCTCTCTCTCTCACTCTTTCTTTTTTTAATATATTTTTTGAGACAGAGTCCTATTCTGCCACTCAGACTGGAGTGCAGTGGTGCAATCATTGCTCACTGCAGCCTTACCTTTCTGGTGTCAAAAAATCCTGCCTTAGCCTTCTGAGTAGCTGGGACTACAGGCACATGCCATGATGTCCAACTAATTAATTTTTTTTTTTTTGAGACAGCATCTCACTTTGTCACCTAGGATGGAATGCAGTGGCGCGATCTTGGCTCACTGCAACCTCTGTCTCATGGGTTCAAGCAATTCTCCTGCCTCAGCCTCCTGAGTAGCTGGGATTACTGGTGCGTGCCACCATGCCCGGCTAATTTTTGTGTTTTTAGTAGAGACAAGGTTTCACCATGTTGGCCAGGCTGGTCTCGAACTCCTGACCTCAAGTGATCCACCCACCTTGGCCTCCCAAAGTGCTGGGATTACAGGCATGAGCCACTGCGCCCAGCCTGAAAATACTTTTGTAAATGTAAGACACACTGTACTACTGTTACTTATAAAGGGCAGTCAGTAAATGCTTTAGTTGAATGATGAGGCGGCACAAAAATTTCAGTATTTACATTCTTATGATGCTTCAGGCTTTTCAAAGTGCTTTCATGTAGCTGATCCCTTTTGCATAACAAGCCACTCTAAATCCATTTTGGAACAGGCAAGACAAATAAATATTGGAAAGCTGAGTAAACAGGCTCAGAGATGTTTAACACCTTGCTCTGGGCAAAAAATGAATTAAACCTAGCCAAGACTGGCATCTAAGTGGTCTGTCTGCTAGCCAATGTTTCTTCAGTTTTATTTTTTGTTGTTGTTCTTTGTTAAATTGTTGTTATTATTATTATTTACTTATTTATTTTCGAGATGGAGTCTTGCTCTATCGCCCAGGCTGGAGTGCAGTGGCGCGATCTTGGCTAACTGCGACTTCTGTGATTTTCAAGTGATTTTCCTGCCTCAGCCTCCCGAGTAGCTGGGATTACAGGTGTACGCCACCATGCCTGGCTAATTTTTGTATTTTTAGTAGAGATGGGGTTTTGCCATGTTGGGAAGGCTGGTTTTGAACTCCTGACCTCAGGTGATCTGCCTGCCTCAGCCTCCCAAAGTAATCATGTTGGGATTACAGGTGTGAGCCACCGTGCCCGGCCTATTCATTGTTAAATTGAAGCAGTCCTCGGTAGTAAACAAAACCATAAAAATAATAATCTTTGGCCAAGCACAGTGGCTCATGCCTGTAATTCCAGCACTTGGGGAGGGTGAGGTGGGAGGATCACTTGAGCCCAAGAATTCCAGACCAGCTTGGCTAACATAGCAAAACCCCGTCTCTACAAAAAAAAAAAAAAAATTAGCTGGGTATGGTGGTATGCACCTGTAGTCCCGGCTGAGGTGGGAGGATCACTTGAGCTCGGGAAGTCGAGGCTGCAGTGAGCTGTGATTGTGCCACTGCACCCCAGCCTGGGCAACAGAGCAACACCTTGTCTCAAAAAAAAAAAAACCAAAATTTTTTTCCTAGTTATTATCTCTTACTAAGTTTGTTTAACACTTTCAGGATATTGTTGTTTTAAAAACAAAAATTGGCCAGGCACGGTAATACCAGCACTTTAGGAGGTGAAGGTGGGCAGATCACCTGAGGTCAGGAGTTCCAGACCAGCCTGGCCAACATGGTGAAACCCCATCTCTACTAAAAATACACAAATTAGCTGAGTGTGGTGGCAGGCACCTGTAATCCCAGCTACTCGAGAGGCTGAGGCATGACAATCTCTTGAACCTGGCAGGCAGAGGTTGCAGTGAGCTGAGATCACGCCACTGTACTCCAGCCTGGGCAACAGAGCAAGACTCTGTCTCAAAATAATAAATAAATAAAATAAAAACAAAAATCCATAAAACTGCATTTTCTTATAAGAATTTTCTTTTTAACTAAAAGAATGGTGTGCTCGTTGCAAAAACAAAATATAATATAATATAATAAAGTAAAAATTATCTGTAATCCCATCATCCAAAAAAGCCATTTTTTTGTTGTTGTTTGTTTTGTTTAAGACGGAGTCTCGCTCTGTCCCCCAGGCTGGAGTGCAGTGGTGCAATCTCTGCTCACTGCAAGCTCCGCCTCCTGGGTTCACACCATTCTCGTGCCTCAGCCTCCCGAGTAGCTGGGACTACAGGCGCCCACCACCACACCCGGCTAATTTTTTGTATTTTTAGTAGAGACGGGGTTGCACCATGTTAGCCAGGATGGTCTTGATCTCCTGACCTCATGATCTGCCTGCCTTGGCCTCCCAAAGTGCTGGGATTACAGGTGTGAGCCACTGCGCCCGGCCCAAAAAAGCCATTTTTAAATTTTAGTTTTGTCCTTCAATTTTTTTCTATGCATGTAAGTTATCAGTAGTAAACAAACCCATAAAAATAATAATCTTTGGCCAATGGCAGTGCCTCACGCCTGTAATTCCAGCACTTTGGGAGGGCAAAGTGGGAGGATCGCATGAGCCCATGAGTTCCAGACCAGCTTGGGTAACATGGCAAAACCGTGTCTCTACAAAAAATTTTTAAAAAAATTAGGCGGGCATGGTGGTATGCACCTGTAGTCCCAGCTACTCAGGAGCCTGAGGTGGCTCAATATACACTTTGCAAGCTCATTTTATAACATTGTTTTATAATATTTCCTTTTAAAGTCTGCCATACTATAATAATAAGGTTTTCATTTTATTGGTAGCATAGTATTACCTTTTATAGATGTGCTGTAATTTATTTATCTGGAATTAGGGATTATGTTTGAGAAGATGGGGAGTAAGCCTTTCTAAACTTAAATCACTAGCCATGGAAACCAAAGATTCCAAGATAATGTGACTATGCTACATATTGGGGCAATTGCTTTTATTTATTTATTTTATTCATTTATTTAAAAGATGAGGAGGCCGGGCATGGTGGCTCATGCCTGTAATCTCAGCCCTTTGGGAGGCCGAGGCAGGTGGATCACCTGAAGCCAGGAGTTCGAGACCAGCCTGGCCAACATGGAGAAACCCTGTCTCTACTAAAATATACAAAATTAGCTGGGCGTGGTGGCGCATGCCTGTAATCCCAGCTACTCAGGAGGCTGAGGCAGGAGAATTGCTTGAACCCGGGAGGTGGAGGCTGCAGTGAGCCGAGATTGTGCCATTGCACTCCAGCCTGGGCAACAAGAGTGAAACTCCGTGAAAGAAAGAAAGAAAGAAAGAGGGGCGGGGAGGGGGGAGGAAGGGAGGAAGGAAGGAAGGAAGAAAGATAGGGTCTCACTATGTTACCTGGGCTGTTCTCAAACTCCTTGGATCAAGTGATCCTCCCACCTTGGCCCCCCGAAGTGCTAGGATTACAGGTGTGAGCCACTGTGCCCAGCTGGGGCAACTGCTTTTAATTTTAGTTGCATGGAAGAAGGGTTTGGTAATTATAAATAAAGATAAATGGCCTGGGCGCGGTGGCTCACGTCTGTAATCCCAGCACTTTGGGAGGCTGAGGCGGGCAGATCATAAGGTCAAGAGATCAAGACCAGCCTGGCCAACATGATGAAACCCCGTCTGTACTAAAAATACAAAAATTAGCCGGATGTAGTGGCACGTGCCTGTAGTCCCAGCTACTCGGGAGGCTGAGGCAGGAGAACCACTTGAACTCGGGAGGTGGAGGTTGCAGCAAGCTGAGATCATGCCACTGCACTCCGGCCTGGCGACAGAGACTCTGTCTCAAAAACAAAAACAAAATAAAGAGAAATGTAAGTTAAAAAGTACTGAGAAAGGGTTTAGTTTTTAATGTTTAAAACTCTTTAACGCTCTGCACTCGATATGGTAGGAAAAAAGATCTTTCCGGGGCCGGGAGCGGTGGCTCACGCCTGTAATCCCAGTACTTTGGGAGGCCAAGGCGGGCGGATCACGAGGTCAGGAGATCAAGACCATCCTGGCTAACATGTGAAACCTCGTCTCTACTAAAAACACAAAAAACTAGCCAGGTGTGGTGGCGGGCGCCTGTAGTCCCAGCTGCTCTGGAGGCTGAGGCAGCAGAATGGCGTGAACTCAGGAGGCGGAGTTTGCAGTGAGTTGAGATCGTGCCACTGCACTCCAGCCTGGGGACAGAGTGAGACTCCGTCTCAAAAAAAAAAAAAGCTCTCTCCTCCTTAGGTAGCTGGCTTAATTTTTCTTTTGTGGTTCACAATGATACACATTTAAATTTGACCTCTAAGCATTTTTTTGTGGTGTTCCAAACGGAATACTTTAGCTAACTCTGCTTTGCAACCTGCAAACTTCTTACTTATGTGGAAACCCCAAACTAAGTTTGGCCTGTGTTCCCTGCATAGCTATACCTCAGAGGAAATTGTGTTTTGGCTTCATTCCACTATTTACTAGCCTTGTAGTCCATGGTTGCACTGTACAGTAGCAGCATGGCAGAGGATCTGAATTCTGTAAACATTCTGTTCTCTAAACCACTTGTTGGGGGTTGACTCCATCCACCCTGAGAGTGTAGGTATGTGTGTAGGTAGGTAGGTAGGTAGGTGGGTGGGTAGGTAGGGGTGGTGGAAGATTGTGGTACCCTATGCTAATTTATAAAATGGCACTCTGGCCTGGCATGGTGGCTCATGCCTGTAATCCCAGCACTTTGGGAGGCCGAGGTGGGTGAATCACCTGAGGTCAGGAGTTCGAGACCAGCTTGGGTAACATGGTGAAACCCCGTTTCTACTAAAAATACAAAAAATTAGCTGGGCGTGGTGGCATGCGCCTGTAGTCCCAGCTACTTGGGAGACTGAGGCAGGACAATCACTTGAACCTGGGAGGCGGAGGCTGCAGTGAGCCAAGATCACGCCATTGCACTCCAGCTCGGGCAACAAGAGTGAAACTCTGTCTCAAAAAAAAAGGCACTCTATAGCTCTGTAGCAGAACCCCAGTGGAGGAGGGGAGAGGATGTGTCTTTTAGCCAAGTTAGTTTCTTGGAGCCTCTTTTTCCTTATTTGTAAAACTAAGTTACTTATGCTTGCCTAGCCTGACTCAGGAGGTTGTCCAGAGGGTCAGATTAGATTATACACATGAAAGTGCCTTATGAACAATGTGATATCAATATTTAATAATACAAATGATAATTATTATCGCACCCATGGCCTCCTTTCTTTCCAGCCACTTGGCATGCCCCAGTAGTTCAGGGACAAAATTGTACAGATGGGCCTACTTGGTTCAATTTTTTTTTGTTTTTGTGAGACAGGGTCTCACTCTGTCGCCCAGACTCGGCTATCTGCAACCTCTGCCTCCCAGGTTCAAGCGATTCTCCTGTCTCAGCCTTCCGAGTAGCTGGGATTACAGGTGCCCACCACCATGCCCGGCTAATTTTGTATTTTTAGTGGAGATGGAGTTTCACCATGTTGGCCAGTCTGGTCTCGAACTCCTGACCTCAGGTGATCCGCCCACCCCGGCCTCCTAAAGTACTGGGATTACATGCGTCAGCCACTGTGCCCGGCCTACTTAGAGCAATTTTTGTTAAGTGTTTTGAAATCCCTGCATGAAAATGACTAAGGAAAAAAGTGCAACCTTCTCTCTATGACACCCAAATCCTAAACTCAAGATTTGTGGTTAGTTCTGGCCAGGCCGGTGGCTCACACCTGTCATCTCCACACTTTGGGAGGCCGACGCAGGCAGATCACCTGAGGTCAGGAGTTCAAGACCAGCCTGGCCAACATGGCGAAACCCTCTCTCTACTAAAAATGCAAATATTAGACGGCCGTGGTGGCGGGAGCCTGTAATCCCAGCTACTTGCGAGGCTGAAGCACGAGAAATTGCTTGACCCCGGGAGGCAAGGTTGTAGTGAGCCGGGATCCCGCCACTGCACTCCAGCCTGGGCAACAGAGCGAGACTTTGTCTCAAAAAAAAAAAAAAAATTTTTTTTGTGTGGTTGGTTCTGTTCTCTTTGGCACCCAGCCTGCTGCTGTGTTGTATTGTACTTTGTTGCCAATCTAGCAGAAGGATTTTAGTCTAGGTAGGTCACCTTTCCTTTAAACAGGCCAAGATATCAGGCCCTCTTTACATTCACATGGAAAAGACTCACGTCATATGTTAGTAATTATTTATCAGGTTAGGAACTGTCTGGTTAGACTTTCTTTGGCCCTGGTTATTAATTCATGGAGTCATAGACCGAAAGCCCATTCTGTAAGGGTTTCAGCTAACATGAGTCCAAGTCTTCTTTCTACATATGAGGAAATTGAATCCCTGGAGAGTTTAAGTGACTTGAGCAGTGCAAGCACCGCGGTACCGGGCGTGGAATCCATTCTTTTCAGTCATCCTCTTAACTCTTCATAAAATATGTTGCAAAGACACCATAAAACCATAGAATACCACCTGGAGCATGCTCCTTAAGTTATAAAGAAAGCAAAAATCTTAAAGGAGACAGCAAAGAGTTCGGGATTCCCGTGGACGAAGACCTTTTCAGCCCTGCTGTCTTCTCCGCCCCCACCTGTCTCGCTTGCTCTCACTTCCTGGGCTACCTGACTTAGCTCCGCCCCCTCCAGGTGGCTCCACCGCTTCCTGGTAGCCCAGCTCCACCCCCCCTACCCCCCCACCCCCCTACCCCCCACCCCCCTACCCCCTCACCAAGCGGAACCAATGTCCGTCCGCTACGGGGTAGGCCGGATCTTTCTCGCTCAGACTCATCGCAGCGGTGACTCGGCAGCAGCGTCTCGCGTCATCAGTGACAGCCCCGATCCTTGCTACGTTTGCGTCGCTCTGCCAGGAGCAGTCGCCTCCTCCTTGGCAAATAGTCCTCGGCAGGGTCCGAGTTCTTGGATAATTCGAGAGAAAAGGCACGATAAGTTGCAGTACGAGGACACGGAAACGACCAGGAGAGGAGGACAGGGAGCGAAGTTTCCTCAATAGTGTGTGAAGTTAGTTAAAAACTCCCTCCTTCCTCAGGATCCCTCCGCCTGCGGTAGCGGTGGTGAGGCCGAGGGAGCCGCCATTTTGGATGTTCGGTTCCTGCTGCCACTGCTGCCGCCGCCCCCGGAGCTGCTGGTTTCATTCGAGGTTTCGGGCCGGTGAGTGTCACTCCCGGCGCTGAGAGCATATTGCTGCTTTTGCCCCGCCGCTGCCGCGGGCGCTCGACCGGAAGCTTCCTTTCAGTTTCAGGGGTCCAGTCCCAGGCTGTGGGTGTTGAGAAGAGAAGACAGAGAAGCTGGGCCAGGAGAGGCCGGGAGCCCCAGGGGCTGCTCCGACTTCTGGAGGGCCGACCCCGAGGCCTCGGACCGGGAGGTTCCGCGCGCCGCGGCGTTCCGTGTTGTGGCGTTGCCCCGCCGGTACGGGCCTCCTTGAACCCTTGACTTTCTCAGGCTGCGATCTTTGAGGGCTCATTCAGGGAGCCTGGGGTTTAGCGGGGCGGGCCCCACCCCCGCGTGTCTTCTCTGAGCCACGTATCAGCGTTCTTGTGTCTTGTACCCGTGTCAGGTCTGTCAGATAACTCCCAGCATATCCAAATGCCCAGTTAATCGCTGCCTGCCCCTGCAGTGCCGTCCTCTCGGAACCGGACATCGGCCTCGCCTCTCTCTAACCTTCCGACCAACTTCTTTCCCAATTTTTCGTGTGTGTGTGTATATGTTGTTGTTTTGTTTTTTTCAACCTACCTGCGAGTATACTGTTTACCCTTTTCTCAGCTCCTGGCCCTGCGGACGTCAGCGTCTAATAATTCTCCCGGTCTTCCTGATTGCCTGAAAGAGTCGGGACGGTTCGGTTGATTGTGTTTCCCGGTTAGGACTCGGTGTAGGAGATCCATCGAACCACTCGCTCAGGGTAATGTTTATGAAGCAGATTATGTTTATGAAGCAGATTAAATGGCTTTTGGGAGGCAAGAGCTGTCAAATGTTTTCTCATATGTGGATTCCCTCCCTGTGCTGAATACTTAGCTTTTTGGTGCTTACTGACACTTGTGTGGTATTTTTTTTTCTCCCCTATTATATATCCCTGAGCACGGAAATCTGTCCATGGAGAAAAATATTAATCTGAGGTAGGTAGAAAGGAGAGTTGGGCTGCTTTACAGTGATTAGTTAACAGAAGGGAGGAGTTAGTGCTTTCTTAGTGACCTTAACTTTGAAGTGTTTGTACAGTAATGATCTTTGCTGACTGATTCTAAAAAATACTTGTAATGATTTCATGTATTGGGTTTTTCTGGGGATAGCTGAATTTTAAATATTCACTTCCACCGTTCCCTAGAATACTTGTCAAATACCTAACTTGTCACACACCCTAACTTTCACGTTTGAAAAATATGAACCCTCTAAGTACTCGTAATCTCGTCACTTTTATTCTAAAGGCATGTTTGCAGTCTAGCATGCTTGAATAAAAAGTATGTCTTTATTTTTATTTATTTATTTTTTGAGACGAAGTCTCCCTCTGTCTCCAGGCTGGAGTGCAGTGGCACGGTCTCGGCTCACTGCAACCTACGCCTCCCGGGTTCAAGCAGTTCTCCTGCCTCAGCCTCCCAAGTAGCTGGGACTACAGGCACACGCCGCCACGCCCGGCTAATTTTTTGTTGTTGTATTTTAGTAGAGATGGGGTTTCATCATGTTGCCCAGGCAGATCTCGAACTCCTGAGCTCAGGTAATCCGCCCGCCTCGGCCTCCCAAAGTGCTAGGATTACAGGCGTGAGCCACCGTGCCTGGCAAAAAGTATTTCACAGTTATTCACTGATACATTTCCTACGTTTCAAGTTAGGCGAGTGTGATTGAATCACCCTTATTTCATCTCAGCCTGGGTTTTCACATCTGCAAAAGAGAAATTAACTTATTTGAGATCACAGTCTAGTGGTTGAAGTTTAAATTTATAACTTGAATTGAGTCAAGCTTTTTAATATTGCTAAGCCACTTATAGATGCATTATTATTATCAGGTTATTGAAATGAGATTGTAGATAAATTCCTCTATAGGTCATATGATGTCTCAGAAGAAAACAATATTTTCAGTTTAAATACTCAGTGATCTTGTTATTTAAGCAGATTTTTCAAAAATATATTAGTTACTATTAGATACGTGAGTTCTGTATTACCCTGAAGCAATGGAATTTTCTCTTTTGGTTTAAAGGAACTGTCAAACACTGAACACCTATGTAATGCTCACTCATTTAGTAAGTATGCCCTCGCAGTTACTACTGAAATGTTCCATTTCTGACTTAGACTTTTCAAGTAAGGTGTTAGAAGAGCTATCACATAGATGTTAGTTAACTCAGTGTTTTTCATGCTTTAATATATTGGTATTTAAATGTCATTCAGGCGGGCGCTCAGTGGCTCATGCTTGTAATCCCAACACTTTGGGAGGTGGAAGGTGGATCCCTTGAGCCCAGGAGTTGGAGGCCAGCCTGGGCAACCTAATGAGACTCCGTCTCTACCAAAATATTTAAAAATATTAAACTTTTAAAAATTCATTCTTAGATAGTTTGCATTCACTGTAGAAAGGGTCCTTTTGCCTTAACAAATTCCTAGCAAAGTGTTGTTTAGTGCACCATTGATCAGTGCATATTTGAATGTCTGCTTTGCGTTTAGGAAACCTCCGTTTTCTTTTGGGGGCAGTTGCTTGTTCTTTGGTCTGACCTCTGTCATTGATAGCAGTTCTAGATTTGAGGGCAGATTTTAGAGTGAAACTTTAAAGTACAGAATTTGCCAGGAATGCCTTGGTGATATTTCACCCCAGTGTTTATTTAAAAAAGGAGTTTTAAAAATCAGTGGTATGCAAACAAAACCAACTTCTTTATGATTTATAAAAACTCTTTTTTTTTTTTTTTATTATTTTTATTGTTTGAGACAGGGTCTCACTCTGTTGCCCAGGCTGGAGTGCAGTGGTCTCAGCTCACTGCAGCCTGGACCTCCTGGACTCAAGCGATCCTCCTGCCTCAGCCCTCCACGTAGCTGGGACTACAGGCGTGTGCTACCACGCAGGGCTAATTTTTGTATTTTTTGTATAGATAGTGTTTTGTCATGTTGCCCAGGCTGGGCTCAAGCAATCCTCTTGCCTCGGCCTCGCAAAGTGCTGAGATTACAGGTGTGAGCCACCTCACCTGGCCAAAACTTTTAATTTATACAAATTTAAAAAGTTGAATGAGTATTTTCCAAGATATTATTTTTAATTAAAAAAATTGAATTGGCAATCTACATACCAAAACAGATTTTCCACAATGCTTAATCCCCTTATTTGCATTTGATGAGGATTTTAAAATTTTGTGTATATAGCAGGACTTAATTGCTATCAAAACTTTAAAACTCTTACTTAGAGCTTCAGAACATTTAAAAATACTGTTTTAGGTGTTTGTAATTTAGTCTGTCCTTGCTTTATGAATTGTTTTCAGTTCTTTTTTGTTTGTTTTTTGAGACAAAGTCTTACTCTGTCTCCCAGGCTGGAGTGCAGTGGCTCGATCTCGGCTCACTGTGCAACCTCCACCTCCTGGATTCCAGTGATTTCTGCTGCCTCAGCCTCCCGAGTAGCTGGGATTACAAGCGTGCGCCACCATGCCCAGCTAATTTTTGTATTTTTAGTAGAGGCGGGGTTTCACCATGTTGGCTAGGCTGGTCTCGAACTCCTGAGCTCAAGTGATCCACCCACCTTGGCCTCCCAAAGTGCTGGGATTACAGGCAGGAGGAGCCACTGCGTTCAGTCTGTTTTCGGTTCTTGATTTTGGCTTTCTTTATTCTCTGTTGCTTTTACTCAGTTTCTAATGCAGAATAATGTTGAAAGTAGCAAACAATTTTTTTTCAACTCCTCTCAGCTTATAAGTAACAAGCAATTTTATTTTTATTGATTGATTGATTGAGACAGGTTCTCACTCTTTCACCCAGGCTGGAGTGCAGTGGTGCAATCTCAGCTCACTGCAGCCTCGACCTCCTCCCAGGTTCAAGTGATCCTCCCACTTCAGCCTCCTAAGTAGCTGGGACTGTAGGCATGTGCCGCCTGATTTATTATTTTTTTGTGGAGACGGGGATTCGCCATGTTGCCCAGGCTGGTTTCAAATTCCTGGGCTCAAGAGGTCCTCCCACCTCTGTCTCCCAAAGTGCTGGTATTAAAGGTGTGTGCCACCATGCCTTGCCCACAAGCAATTTTAAACTTAAGAGAGCAGGCTGGTGCAGTGGTTCATGCCTGTAATCCCAGCACTTTGGGAGGCCGAGGCAGGCGGATCACTTGAGGTCAGGAGTTTGATACTAGCCTGGTCAACATGATGAAATCCCGTCTGTACTAAAAATACAAAAGTTAGCCGGGCATGGTGATGTGCACCTGCATTCCCAGCTACTTAGGAGGCTCAGGTGGGAGGATTGCTTGAACAGGGAGGTGGAGGTTGCAGTGAGCTGAGATCACGCCACTGCACTCCAGCCTGGGTGACAGATGGAGGCTCTGTCTCAAAAAAAAAAAAAAAAAATTAAGAGAGCATATAGAAATCTTTTGTATTTCTTGGCTTACAGGTTTTGAAATGATCTTTGTTGGCTGGGCGAGGTGGCTCATGCCTGTAATCCCAGCACTTTGGGAGGCCGAGGCGGGTGGATCACGAGGTCAGGAGATCGAGACCATCCTGGCCAACATGGTTAAACCCCATCTCTACAAAAAAATAGAAAAATTAGCTGGGCATGATGGTGCGCGCCTGTAGTCCCAGCTACTCGGGAGACTGAGGCAGGAGAATCACTTGAACCTGGGAGGTGGAGGTTGTGGTGAGCTGAGATCACGCCACTGCACTCCAGCCTGGGGACAGAGCGAGACTCTTGTCTCCAAAAAAAAAATAAATAAATAAAATATGTTTATCAAAATGTAGTAGCATTTTTACAGTTGCCTTTTTGTATAGAAAATTTTATTTCAATGAGGTCAAGAAATAGAAAAGGGAAAAGAGGTGTCTTTTTTTTTTTTTTTTTTGAGACGGAGTCCTCCTCTGTTGCCCAGGCTGGAGTGCATCGGAGCCATCTCTGCTTACTGCAACCTCCGCCCCCTGGTTCAAGCAATTCTTCTGCCTCAGCCTCCCGAGTAGCTGGGACTACAGGTGTGCGCCACCATGCCTAGCTAATTTTTGTATTTTTAGTAGAGACAGGGCTTCACCCTGTTGACCAGGCTGATCTTGAATTCCTGGGCTCAAGTGATCCACCAGCCTTGGCCTCCCAAAGTGCTGGGATTACAGGCATGAATGAGGTGTCATTTTTACTTTGAAGATACGTGTTAAGTTTTTTTCTTCACTGACCTAGTAACACAATACACTTAATATGGCATGAGTTTTGGTTGCTGGAAAAACTGGTTAAAGTTTGAAGGGTCCAGAAGTGGGAGAAAAAAAACTCACTTGCCAAATGTGTTGAGTCAGCATTAACTAACACTTTAGCATAAAAGGGCAAGGTTTAGGATGAGATGATTGAAATGAGAAATGCTTTTTTTCACTAGGTACTTGGAAATTTTACTTTAAAAAAAAGCCTACTCAGACCATTGGAGAGATTTAATTAGTAAATCATAAATGTTGGCAACAAATTAAGTAGGTTTAGAAGGAAGAAGTCATTTTTTTAAAAGATGAGGAAAAAATACATGTGACTTTTGTAATTTATAAATAAAAACATCTTATTATTTATTTATTTATTCTTTTTGAGACAGAGTCTCACTCTGTCACCCAGGCTGGAGTGCAGTGGTGCCATCTCAGCTTACTACAGCCTCTACCTCCTGGGTTCCCGCGATTCTTGTGCTCAGCCTCCCGAGTAGCTGGGACTGCAGGCGTGCACCACTGTACCTGGCTACTTTTTGTATTTTTAGTGGAGACGGGGTTTTGTCACGTTGGCCAGGCTGGTCTCGAAATCCTGACCTCAGGTGATTCACCTGCTTCAGCCTCCCAAAGTGCTGGGATTATAGGTGTGAGCCACCGAGCCTGGCTAAAATATTTTAAATCTTTCAAAGATATGTAAAGATGTTACGTGTTTTCTCAACCTAAAAATAAACTTCGCTGGCCAGACCTGGTGGCTCATGTCTGTAATCCCAGTACTTTGGGAAGCCAAGTCAGAAGGATCACTTGAGGACAGGAGTTTGAAACCAGCCTGGGAAACACAGTGGGACTCTGGCTGTACGAATTTTTTTTTTGAGACAGAGTCTTGCTCTGTCACCCAGGCTGGAGTGCAGTGGTGCGATCTCGGCTCACCTCAACCTCCGCCTCCTGGGTTCAAGCGATTCTTCTGCCTCAGCCTCCCAAGTAGCTAGAATTACAGGCGCCCGCCACCATGCCCAGTTAATTTTTGTACTTTTAGTAGAGATGGGGTTTCACCATGTTGGACAGGCTGGTCTTGACCTCCTGACCTCAGGTGATCCACCCACCTCGGCCTCCCAAAGTGCCGGGATTACAGGCATGAGCTACCGCGCCTGGCCCAAAATTTTTTAAAGTAGCTGGGTTGTGGTGTCTTTGCCAGTAGCCTTAGCTGCCTGGGAGCCTGAGGCAGGAAGATCACTTGAACCCAGGAGTTCAAGGCTGCAGTGAGCTAAGACTGTGCCACTGCACTCCAGCCTGGGTGACAGAGATAGACTGTCTCAAAAAAAAGAGGTAAGTAAAAAACGCTTCTTTTGCTTCCTTTTAAGACTGAACACTTTTTCAGTTGTTTAGTTTTGAGGTTTAGTTAAATAGGTTCACTAACTTGAGCTGTAAAAACACTAATGGAACTCCTTTTACTTTGAGTTGTACAACTGTATAATCATTTATATAAGTTAGCTCTTTCAACCAAATACACATTGAGTATCTCTTATCTGAAATGCTTGAGACCAGAAATGTTTCATATTTTGGATTTTTTCAGATTTTGGAATATTTGCGTTACACCACTTGTACATCCCTAATCCTAAAATCCAAAATCTGAAACACTTGCAGAGCATTTTTTTCTTTTCTTTTTTTTTTTTTTTTTTGGTTACGGAGTCTCGCCCTGTCGCCCAGGCTGGAGTGCAGTGGCGCAATCTCGGCTCACTGCAAGCTCCGCCTCCCGGGTTCATGCCATTCTCCTGCCTCAGTCTCCAGAGTAGCTGGGACTGCAGGCGCCCGCCACCACGCCTGGCTAATTTTTTGTATTTTCAGTAGAGACGGGCTTTCACCATGTTAGCCAGGATGGTCGTGATCTCCTGACCTTGTGATCTGCCCGCCTCAGCCTCCCCTGCTGGGATAACAGGCGTGACCCACCGCGCCCGGCCTTGAAGAGCATTTCTTCAAGCATCATGTCAACAATCAAAAAATGTCAGGTTTTGGAGAATTTCAGATTTTGGATTAGGGATGTTTACCCTATAGTGTTTACCCTGTAGTGTTACATCATCTGTTCTATGACAGTCTTAATTTTAACCCCAAATTTTAACAGATTATGAATGAATTTACGCTTCAATATTTCTCTCAATGCTTAGTTAAGTACTGTACATACTCACGTAAGTGTACATAGGAATTTTTTGTTTTTACTAAAGAGAGATCATATTATTTATATTACTCTATGACACGCTTTTTTTTTTTTTTAACATGTCATGGTCAGTAAATATAATTCTTTTTTTTTGTTTGTTTGTTTTTTTTGAGATGGAGTCTTACCCTGTCACCCAGGTGGTGGGAATCTCCGCCTCCTGGGTTCAGTGATTCTCCTGCCTCAGACTTCAGAGTAGCTGGGATTATAGGCACCTGCCACCACACCCAGATAATTTTTGTATTTTTAGTAGAGATGAGGTTTCGCCATGTTGGCCTGGCTGGTATCAAACTCCTGACCTTAAGTGATCTGCCTGCCTTGGCCTCCCAAAGTGCTGGGATTACAGGCATGAGCCACCGCGCCCAGCCAATATAATTCATTTTTGTTTTGTTTTTTTGAGACGGAGTTTTGCTTTTGCTGCCCAGGCTGGAGTGCAATGGCGTGATCTCAGCTCACCGCAACCTCCGCCTCCCAGGTTCAAGTGATTCTCCTGCCTCAGCCTCCCGAGTAGTTGGGATTACAGACATGTGCCACCATGCCCCGCTAAGTTTGTATTTTTAGTAGAGATGGGGTTTCTTTCTTTTTTTTTTTTGAGACGGAGTCTCGCTGTGTTGCCCAGGCTGGAGTGCAGTGGCGCGATCCCAGCTCACTGCAAGTTCTGCCTCCCAGGTTCACGCCATTCTCCTGCGTCAGCCTCCCGAGTAGCTGGGACTACAGGCACCCACCACCACGCCTGGCTAATGTTCTGTATTTTTAGTAGAGATGGGGTTTCACCATGTTAGCCAGGATGGTCTCCATCTCCTGACCTCGTGATCTGCCCACCTTGGCCTCCCAAAGTGCTAGGATTAAAGGCGTGAGCCCCCGCACCCGACCCGAGACGGGGGGGTTTCTCCATGTTGGTCAGGCTGGTTTTGAACTCCCGACCTCACATGATCCTCCCACCTTGGCCTCCCAAAGTGCTAGGATTACAGGTGTGAGCCACCGTGCCTGGCCAATATAATTCTTTTTTTTTTTTTTTTTGAGATGGGGAGTCTTGCTCTATCACCCAGGCTAGAGTGCAGTGGTGCGATCTCGGCTCACTGCAAGCTCCACCTCCTGGGTTCACGCCATTCTCCTGCCTCAGCCTCCCGAGTAGCTGGGACTACAGGCGCCCACCACCACACCCGGCTAATTTTTTTGTATTTTTTTTTTTAGTAGAGACAGAGTTTCACCATGTTAACCAGGATGGTCTTGATCTCCTGACCTCGTGATCCACCTGCCTCGGCCTCCCAAAGTGCTGGGATTACAGGCGTGAGCCACCGTGCCCGGCAATATAATTCTTTATTATTATTTTTTTAAAAGATGACATTTTGCTATGTTGCTCAGGCTGATCTCGAACTCCTGGGCTTGAGCAATCTGCCTGCATCGGCCTCCCAAAGTGCTGGGGTTACAGGCGTGAGCCACCGCACCCAGCCAATATAATTTTTTATTATTATTATTATTATTATTATTTTTAAGATGGAACCTCGCTCTGTCACGAAGGCTGGAGTGCAGTGGCGCAGTCTCGGCTCACTGCATGCTCTGCTTCCTGGGTTCACGCCATTCTCCTGCATCAGCCTCCCGAGTAGCTGGGACTGCAGGCACCTGTCACCACACCCCGCTAATTTTCTGTATTTTTAGTAGAATTGGGTTTCACCATGTTAGCCAGGATGGTCTTGATCTCCTGACTTCATGATCCGCCTACCTTGGCCTCCCAAAGTGCTGGGATTACAGGTGTGAGCCACCGCTCCCAGCCTATTAGTTTTTTAATAAGAGATGAGATATAGCTGTATTGCTCAGGCTGGTCTCAAACTCCTGGACTTGAGCAGTCTGCCTCCTGTGGCCTCCCAAAGTGCTGAGATTACAGGTGTGAGCCACTGCACTCAGCCCACAGTAAATATAATTCTATCTTGTTCCTTTAAACAGTCCTATTGTGTCTTATAGCGTGGATGTACCATAATTTATTATTTTCCTGTGGACATTTAGATCATTTCTAGATTTTTGCCACTTAACAAAGTGCTACAATAAATATCCTTGTACATGCCGCCTTATATGCTGATGCTTTTATTTCTGTAGTCTCCAAAGGGGGAATTCTGGGTTAACAGAGAAATATATTTTAAATATTATTATTGCTAGATTACTCTCTAAATAGGTTATCATAATTTTCATCCCAAATAGCAGTAACTTCTCCATATCATGAAACCACTGGGTATAAATACATAGTTTAATTTTTACTAGTCTGCTAGATGATAAATGGGTCATGCAGTTTGTCTTAATTTTAACTTCCCTGTTACTGGGGCTAGCCTTATTTGATACGTATAATAGCCATTGGATTTCCTTTACCGAGAATTGTCTGCTCATGTCCTTGCTTCATTTTTCTTTCTCTTTTTTTTTCCTCCTGTAGGAGCGCTTATGGAATGTTAATTCTTTGTTATATGGCACGTGTATTTTTCTTGTCTTTCATTTATCCTTTTTTTTTTTCCTGGGAGACAGAGTCTCACCCTTGTCGCCCAGGCTAGAGTGCAGTGGTGTGATCTCGGCTCACTGCAGCCTCTGCCTCCTGGGTTCAAGCAATTCTCCTGCCTCAGCTTCCTGGGTAGCTGGGATTACAGGTGCCCGCCACCATGCCCGGCTAATTTTTGTACTTTTAGTAGAGACAGAGATTCGCCATGTTGGCCAGGCTGGTCTCAAACTCCTGACCTCAGGTGATCTGCCTGCCTCTGCCTTCCAAAGTGCTGGGATTACAGGCGTGAGCCACCGCACCACGCCCGGCCTCATTTATCTTTTAATCTTATTTATGTCACAGACATTTTCAGGTAATTATATATATCCCTCTTTTCCTCTTTGGTTTCTGAAACTGTCTTAGAATCCATTCCAGCTGGGTGCAGTGGCTCATGCCTGTAATCCCAGCACTTTGGGAGGCCGAGGCTGGCGGATCACGAGGTCAGGAGACTGAGATCATCCTAGCTAACAAGGTGAAACCTTGTCTCTACTAAAAATACAAAAAAATTAGCTGAGCGTGGTGGCACGCGCCTATAGTCCTGGCTACTCGGTAGGGTAAGGCAGGAGAATTGCTTGAATCTGGGAGGCAGTGTAGAGACACAGTCTCACTGTATTGCCCAGGCTGGTTTCTAACTCATGGCCTCAAGTGATCCTCCCACCTTGGCCTCTAAAGTGTTGGGATTACTGGCGTGAGCCACCGCACCCAGCCTTAACAGTTTTTGATGATAATTTTTCCTTGCTGTAGTGTGTGTCTGTTTGTTCAAGTTTATTTTAGGTCTTTCAACAAATATTTTATAGATTTCGTAGTTTTTTTCGTATAGTTCCTATACCTTTCTTACTAAATTTATTCCTACGTATTTTATTTTGACACTATTGTCAATGGGACTGTTTACCCTCCATTTCTAACTAGTTAATATCAGATACATTAATTAAAAGTAAATATTATACCATCTTTAATTTTCTTTGGACAACTCCCCCACTCTCCTTGTATATCCAGAATTAATAGAACTTGGATTCATGAAGAATATGCTAGGGAAAATTTGTCATCTTAGTATTAAGTAACTTTTTTTTTTTGAGACTGCGTCTTGCTCTGTCGCCCAGGCTGGAGTGCAGTGGCACGATCTCAGGTCACTGCAATCCCCGCCTCCTGGGTTCAAGCGATTCTCCTGCCTCAGCCTCCTGAGTAGCTGGGGTCACAGGCGTGCACCACTGCGCCCGGCTAATTTTTGTATTTTTAGTAGAGATGGGGTTTCACTATGTTGGTCAGGCTGGTCTTGAACTCCTGACCTCATGATCTGCCTACCTCAGCCTCCCAAAGTGCTGGGATTACAGGGGTGAGCCACCGTCTCCGGCTATATTAAGTAACTTTCTAATGTTTCTGCTTGTCATCCTAGGGAAGAGTACACTTAGATAAGTTTTTCTGGAATGAATGACACCTTACTAGGTTTGAAAGTTTACAGTTGCTTTATTTATACGTTTTTGTTAATTTGTTTGCTTTTTTTCAAAGCAAGTTTTATTCCAAGTTTTACATGCTCATTACTTGAAAGATAGCAGACTATATATAGAAGTTAAAAAGGCATCCATATTTACATCAGATAACCTCCTTCAACATTAATTATACCCTTTGGGTCATGTCTTTAAGCCAAATTTTCGTTTTGAGAATTTGATGATACTTCTTGAATTGAGAGTACTTTAGTATGGTTTTGCTAATAAGATTATGGTTGGGAGAATGAAATTTTTTTTTATTTCATTAGTGTCAGATTAGATGTTTGTCTTGTTTAGCGATCATTGTTTACTTGGCCTTTATTGCTTTTCATGCTTATATACATATACATACATATATATATATATATATAATTTTTTTTTTAAGAGTCAGGGTCTTGCTGTGTTGCCTAGGCTGGTCTTGAACTCCTGGAATCAAGCATTCTGCCCTCCTCGGCCTCCCAGAGTGCTGGGATTACAGGCCTGAGCCACTGTGCCCAGTCTGCTTTTTATGCATCTCAGTGCTGTTGAATTGTTCAGTAGGCATGTTTGCATTTATAGACATCTGCTTTTTAGATCTCAGTTCTGGTGAATTTTGGTTATGGATAATTAAGCATAAAATAAGATTCCTGTAATTACTGTGACAATTTAGGGAGAATTGAACTTAAGTCCTCTTAGAGGGATGCCAGCTGGCTGCCTAGACAGGGTGGGGTGGTATCTCAATGTGATCCTACATTCCACAGCCTATTCTTTAGCCTTGAAGATCCAGAAATTCCATTTTAGTAGTTCATCTCCTAGGGGTGATTGAGACCAATCAAACACACTGATTTGTAAGTTATAATAATACTGTAGTATTGTAATTCACAAGGGGGGGATATGCTTTTCTCCTGAATTACTTGTGTCTGCATTCCACAGGACACTATTCCTTGTATGGAGGTACTTGGGAGTTGAGGCGCTTAAGGAAGTATTTAATAATCAGAAAGTTGCACTGTGAGCCTGAAACAGACCATATAAAGTTGGTCTTGAGTGTTTTGTCATTTTAAGCCATGGTGAAACCTGATCAAAGAATTATGCTTGTCTTACAATGCTGTTTGCCTCTCTAAAGACCAGAATACTTATCCCCAGATTTATTTCATTGTATTATTATTATTTTTGAGACGGTCTTACTTCACAACCCAGGCTGGAGTGCAGTGATTCGATCTCAGCTCACTGCAACCCAAGTCCCCTTGGCTCAAGTGATCCTCCCACATCAGCCTCCCGAATAGCTAGGACTACAGACGCATGCGCCACCACTCCCAACTAATTTTTGTATTTTTAGTAGAGACTGGGTGTCGCCATGTTGCTCAGGCTGGTCTTGAACTCCTGGACTTGAGCAGTCTACCTGCCTCGGCCTCCCAAAGTGCTGGGATTACAGGCGTGAGCCACCACGCCTGGCCTATCCCCAGATTTAATCTCTCCTATTCAAACAGTGAAGTTCTAACTCTGGTCTTTTCCGTTTATTCACTGTAGACCATTTCCCTTCTGTGAACACATTTCTTCATATAGGGGAAATAGGTATGCACCCCTCTACTCCCCTCAAAAGAAAGAAAACCACAAAAACACAGGCAGTGAGAAAACCAGCTAGGCTAGATCAGTGTAATGATAGCCAGAATAAGATGTATTGTAAAGTAAAAGTCTGATTGAAGCATAATACAATCAGTTGATTTGATTTAAGCTTTTCTAGTGTCACATTCTAGTCATAGTATTTTGCAGGTTGTAAATGGCGTTAAAGCAACTCAGATATACATATGAAATAAAAATCTGAAATAGGGGTTCTGTATGGCCCATAATATAAAAATATAGGCCATCTGGAGAATGCAAGAGGGAAAGCATGGTAACTTCTTTGGAGGGTTTTGCCTGATGTTAACTTACATCCCTTGAACATTCTCAGCTAGACTGACATTCTGTGACTGACACAGTAGTCAATGGTGAAGTTAATTGAAGTCTTGCTTATTTGCTTGGGTCTTTTCTCATTGTTTAGCCAGAAAGACTTCTTCAAGTACAATCTTTGTTGGATAGAAAAATAGGTGATTTTAATGTTGAAAAGTTAAGTTTTAGAATTTTGTTTTTAGATTTAGAGCTCAAATAACTTGAGGTCTGTTAGGGGAAGACTGACCACATAGTTGCAGAAGCTCCAGCTTTTTGGTTGTGTCCTTGATAGTTGGCTGTCAGTAGCTGAAAGTGCACAGTGGGCAGTGTGAGTTCTAAAGCAGGGAGAACGTTATCTGGGCAGGGTAGAAGAGAGAACTGGGTTGAGTTCTGACACCCTTTTTCCATAGCTGTTGGTGAGCAGCTGGTACACCTTTATTTTGTGTGCTTTGGAAAGGACAATTCAATTTTTTTAAAGATATTTTAGCATTTAGGATTTAATAAATATAGTATTTATCAAGTTTGTATTCTTATAGGAGGATACAAGAGTGAACAAGGCAAATGAAGATCTAGCCTTAGGGAGCTTGTATTTAGTGGGAAAAATAGGCATTTCAAAGTAAAAAAAAAAAAAAAAAAAAAAAAAAAAAGCACTTCTCATGGCCTGAGAATGGTATTGCTGTATGAGAAAAATCTTTATCCTTAAAGGGATTTGTGGAGATGTTGGAAAATAGCCATCTTCACCATTTTGGCCATAAATTTTAGGAGAATTGAAACATGCACACATTATTTTTTTCTTCTATTTACATTTTTTTCCTTTAGTTTGTTTATAATTTTGATTCTTTGGGCATATAAAGTAATCTTATTTAGTTTAAGCTCCAAAACCCAATTTTGCTTAACCATTTTGGATAGAAATTTTTCTAAAATGAATTTTATGTTTCCTTTTTTCCTCTGTTTTTATCATTATTTATCATATAACTGTTAATAAAAACTGAAACACATTAATCTATAATCCGTGTCCCTTAAGTCAGACTTTTAATATTTTTGTGTTCGCTTTCCATCCTTGTTTTAAGAGATGTTTTTATTATTTGCTTTAAAAAAACAGGACAAAGAGGGACATTTTATTTTGTTATAGTGTACAAGCCATAATGAATATAAAATATGGAACACTTAAGCATAGAGTGAAACCATCGAAATACTAAATGTAAGTGGTTATATGTAAATGGAGAAATTGACAGAAGCACAATCATAGTGGTAGACTTTAACATACCTTTCTCAGTCTTTGATGGGTCAGGTAGTTAAATTAGTAAGGGCAGATGGTATCTGAACTGTAAGATTTTTAGAAGTTGGTTATAATACAGATATAATTTTGTATTCATGTTTTTTCCCTGTGCATTGAATGTTAAATGTTAATCTTATTTTAACCACTTCTTGGAGAATCAAGGTCTTTTTATAAAACCACATTATGGTCCAGGTGCGGTTGCTCATGCCTGTAATCCCAGGGCTTTGGGAGGCCAAGGTGGGTGGATCACTTGAGCTCAGGAGTTTGAGACCAGCCTGGGCAACATGATGAAACCTCATCTCTAAAAAAAATACAAAAATCAGCCAGTCAGCCTGGTGTGGTGGCTTGCGCCTGTAGTCCCAGCTACTTGGGGAGCTGAGGTGGGAGGATCGCTTGAGCCAAGGAGGCAGAGATTGCAGTGAGCCAAGGAGGCAGAGATTGCAGTGAGCCGAGATCGCACCACTGCACTCCAGCCTGGGTGGCAGAGTGAGACCCTGTCTCAAAAAGAAAGCAAAAAACAACAACAAAAACTATATTGTGGTACTGTTTATAATTTATTGGTGCTCTTAGGACCTTAGTGGGAGTTGGCTACTTTTTGGTTACACACTAAGTAGCTCCAGACTGTTTTAAAAATGCTTGTTTCTGCTGTATATAGGTTTTTATTTATTTGTTTGTTTTTGTTGCTGCTTTTGTTTCTTCCCTTGGTGTTGGGTGACATTTTTAACTATCATAGATACCCTTTTCTAAAGCAGTTTCTATCTCCTGGGTCCACCCTCCTCCCCTCTTTCCCTTACAGTTTTCTGATTTGTAGCTTCTATTCCAGAACGGGCTGAATGAGGACTTCTATCTGGAGTAAAGTAGATGTTATAGTGTGTTGATGTGTCACTCTCTATATTGGCTGCTTGAGATAATAAAAATGTGTTTTTGGATTCTCAGCTATGTTCTGTATAGTTTCATTACTGTGTTCCGGACTTTTTAAAAAAAGGTTGGAGTTTATTATTGTTATTTGTTTTGTTTGTTTGCTTTTTCTGTTTTTTGAGACAGGATCTTGTGCCATCGCCCAGGCTGGAGTGCAGTGGCCTGATCTCAGCTCACTGCAGCCTCACTCCTAGGCTCAGGTCATCCTCCCACCTCAGCCTCCCAAGTAGCTGGGACCACAGGTGCATGCCACCATGCCTGGCTCATTTTGTTTATGTTCTGTAGAGACAGGGTTTCAGCATGTCGCCCAGGCTATTCTTGAACTCTTGGGCTCAAGCGATCTGCTCGGGTCTGTGTCCCAAAGTGCTGTGATTGCAGGTGTGAGCCACCGTGCCCAGCCTCACTTGTAATTCCTTTTTTTTTTCTTTCTTTTTGACAGAGTCTCGCTCCGTCACCCTGGCTGGAGTGCAGTGGTGCGATCTTGACTCACTGCAATCTCCACTTCCCGGGTTAAAGCGATTCTCCTGCCTCAGCCTCTGTAGGAGCTGGGATCACAGGTGTGCGCCACCACGCCTGGCTATTTTTTGTATCTTTAGTAGAGACGGGGTTTTGCCATGTTGGCCAGGCTGGTCTCGAACTCCTGACCTCAGGTGATCCACCCATCTCAATGCTCCCAAAGTGCTAGGATTACAGGTGTGAGCCACTGCACCCGGCCTCCTCACTTGTAATTCTTTAACTTCCTGTTACTTCCAATGCTTGGTTCCTGTGGTGTGCCTCCTTCCTTTCAGTGCTTTGGCCAAAATACGGACTCACATTTCTTTGTTTTTCAGGGTTGGAAAGGGCTGGGATTTTCAGAATAGACTTTCTTATATATCTAGGGTAGAAATAAGTAAAAATTCCTGAAGATTTGTCATTGCCCTTCTCCACATATGTTAAGCATTATCTTCTCTTTCAGTCTGATTTTACCAGTTTAGAATGCCAAAAGGGACATAGCTTAACTGGTGGCTTTTTTGACCTGCCTGTGTTTGGAGGGCACGGTCTTTCAACCTGCCATACTGAAACTCCTGTGTAGACATCTTGACACCTTTATGGTTCAGATTAATAGAACCTTATTTTAGCCTTCCATCCCCCATAGTTCACGTCTCTAGTTTATTGACTCCGAAAATGACTTCATTTTTGAGGTGAGACTACCTTCAGCCATCCCTTGTATAAGAGTTTAGTGTTGGCCTGGCGTGGTGGCTCACACCTGTAATCCCAGCACTTTGGGAGGCCAAGGCGGGTGGATCACCTGAGGTCAGGAGTTCGAGACCAACCTGACCAACATGGTGAAACCCTGTCTCTACTAAAAATACAAAAATTAGCCAAGCATGGTGGTGCATGCCTGTAATACCACCTACTTGGGAGGCTGAGGCAGGAGAAGTGCTTGAACCCAGGAGGTGGAGGTTGCAGTGAGCCGAGATTGCGCCATTGCACTCCAGCCTGGGCAACGAGCGAAACTCCACCAAAAAAAAAAAAAAAAAAAGTCAGAGTTTAGTGTTAGCTTTTATAGGCCCAGCCGTGTGACCATATCTTAATATACCCATTACACACAACTTTTTTTTTTTTTTTTTTTGAGACAGGGTCTCACTCTGTCACCCAGGATACAGTGTCACAGCTTACTGCAGCCTCAGCCTCTAGGGCTCAGGCTATCCTCCTGCCTCAATCTCCTGAGTAGCTGGGACAGTAGTCGTGTGCCACTATGTTTGGCTAACTTTTTTTTATTATTTGTAGAGACAGCGTTTCCCTATCTACATACAACATTCTTCACAAGATTTTACAGTAATGTTTTGTTACTTGAGTGGTTAAATATGCCTTTAAGCAGGTTAGAATAACTAGTAATTTTCTCAGGTATATATTCTATAACTGATCAAATAGGTCTCAATTGTTTAGTTCAAGGGCTTTTTTGTTTACTTTAAAATAAACTCTTTAAAGTTAACATATGGTAAAATTGACTCTTCTGGTTTATTGTTTTACAGTTCTGTGAGGATTTTTTGTTTTTGTTTTTTTTGTTTTTTTTTTTTGTTTTTTTGAGACAGTCTTGCTCTGTTGCCCAGGCTGGATTGCAGTGGTGTGATCTTGGCTCACTGCAGTCTTGCCTCCCAGGCTCAAGCAATCCTCCTCCCTCAGTATCCCAAGTAGCTGAGCCTACAGGTGTGTGCCACCATGCCCAGCTAATTTTTGTATTTTTTGTAGAGACAGGGTTTTGCAATGTTGGCCAGGCTGGTTTCGAACTTCTGACCTCAGGTGATCTGCCTGCCTTGGCCTCCCAAAGTGCTGGCATTAAAGGCGTGAGCCACTGTGCCCAGCTGGTGTGTCCTATTTTCATAATGATGTCCTTTGGAGAGCAAAAATTTTAAACTTTGATAGGGTACAGTTATTAAGTTTTTCTTTTATACTTTGTGGTTGTGTGTGAAGTCTCTCTGTTTAACCTGTTTGCAAAGATTTTCCTCTGTGTTTTCTTCTGGAAGATTTTTAGTTTTAGCTTTGACTTTTAGGTTTGTGATCCATTTTTAGTTAATTTTTGTGTATTGTGTGTGGTTAGGATTGAGGTTAATTTTTTTCCCCCATGGAGAGAAATAGTTGCCAGCACCATTCATTGAAAGACTATCTTGCTCCTATTGAATAACTTTGGCCTCTTTGTTAAAAATCACTTGTGTATATTTGTGTGGGTTTATTCCTAAACTTTCAGTTTTGTTTCTATTCTTTTTTTTTTTTTTTTGAGATGGAGTTTCACTCTTGTTGCTCAGGCTAGAGGGCAATGGTGCAATCTTGGCTCACTGAAACCTCCACCTCCTGGGTTCAAGCAATTCTCCTGAGTAGCTGGGATTACAGGCATGTGCCACCATGGCCGGCTAATTTTGTATTTTTAGTAGAGATGGGGTTTCTCCATGTTGGTCAGGCTGGTCTCGAACTCCCGACCTCAGGTGATCCGCCCACCTTGGCCTCCCAAAGTGCTGGGATTACAGGCGTGAGCCACCGTGCCTGGCCTGCTTCAGTCTATTCTTACATTCAGTTAGTTCCACATTTCCCTGATTACTATAGCTTTGTAGTAATTCTTGAAATTAGGTAGTGCACGTTCTGTTTTTTCTGTTTGTTAACAATTATTTAGGCTGTTATATGTCCCTTATTAACGTTTTTTTTTTTTTACTTTTAAAAGATATTCATGACACTAATAGCCTTATTTTCTGAGGTTAGTTTATTTTTTTCTCATCACATTTTCAAAGTATACACACAGTGTACTGGGATGGTTACAGTTTGTTGAATGTGTTTTAATCTGACAATTGGTCTTCTCTCTTAATCTCTCATATTTTGTTGAGTTGAGCTATGATTGTGACCATATTTATTTTTGTTGAGCTATGTTATGTTTAACAGCAGTTGAACAGATAATATCTATCTTTTCTAAGGTTAGGCATAGGCCTTTCCTTATTACTTTAAGGATTGAGTAAAGATTTGAGTTGTATTAGTTTCTGAGATATTTTGATATTAGTGATAGACTTTACATATTTAGTGTATTCTTTGTTTTATTTTGCTTAATTTAATACTTAACCATATTTGTTTGTAGCCTTTCCAGAAATGTACAGAGTTGAGAGGTCTGTATGTAATAGCTTTGCGGAAGCTTAGCACGCTTTGTTTAGCTTCGCTAAGCTGGATTTGGCAAGTCTTGAATTCTTAAAAACTAGTCAAAAATTTAAATGGGAAGTTGTGTGAATAGCTTTGGTAGTAAAAAATGTGAACATCTCTATTTAATGTCTTTCCATATCCAGAGGATGCCAGCCCCCATCAGATTGCGGGAGCTGATCCGGACCATCCGGACAGCCCGAACCCAAGCTGAAGAACGAGAAATGATCCAGAAAGAATGTGCTGCAATCCGGTCATCTTTTAGAGAAGAAGACAATACATACCGATGTCGGAATGTGGCAAAATTACTGTATATGCACATGCTGGGCTACCCTGCTCACTTTGGACAGGTAGGCTGGGCTGAGACTACATGTAGCAAGGGTATTCTTTGACATTGTTGCTCAGGGATTGTCCATCTTTTTCTGGTGGGGAGGTACTTTTGATAGCCTTGTAGTCTGATCATTGTGGAACTGAGGGTAAGATTGAGAGAGCAAGCCACAGACCTGGAAAGGCATGATATTGCTATCAATTATCCTTTCCACTGGGAGTCTCATTATACGGATGAGAGAATGTTTTGATGGTGGCAGCTAGCTTGCTTAAAGATTGACCAGGATTATGTGGTGGTTCTGCCAGAGTACCTGGACTATAATGAATATTTAAGAAAATGTTTCTTGCTGGGCATGGTGGCTTGTGCCTGTAATCCCAGCTACTTGGGACACTGAAGTGGGAGAATCACTTGAGGCCAGGAGTTTGAGATCAGCCTGGGCAACATAGTGAGACCCTGCTCTTAAAAAAAAAAAAAAGCATGGTGTGGTAGAGCATGCCTTTAGTCCCAGCTACTCAGGAAGCTAAGTCAAGAGGATTGCTTGTGCCCCAGGAGTTTTGAGGCCTCATTGAGCTACGATTGCACCACTGTACTCCAGCCTGGGCAATAGAGTAAGATCCTATTTCTTTTTTTTTTAAAAAAAAAAGCTTGCTAAATGTCTTCTTAATTGCTTTATCTGGGCACAGCGTTGTGTGGAGAAGTTCACAATATGTTTTTCAGTTAAGGAAATTAGGTGGTTGCCAATTGGTGGCGTCTATTTTGTTCTAGTTACTTTGTGCCTTGATTGCTGTAACTAGAGCAGATCTGGCAGCTGATTCTCTCCCATGCACAAATGGTTACTATCTAAGATGTCCATTCTGGGCTTTGAGAATGATAGTCTCAATGATAAGTACTTTCTTCTTTGCATGTTTATATTGTCATAAGTGGGATTTAGTCATGGAAAAGGAAATAGTGGGTTTTTTTTATTTCATATTAGTGCTATTAAATTTTATTTTAATAATTTAAGAATTGTATTATATGCTAAATAGTCTCTCTAAGGAACAGACTGCCCAACTGAAAGAAAGAATGTGCAACACTATCAGGAAAGATAGTCATCAGCTTATTTACTGTTTAGGTCAGTAATTTCAGTGGAAGGAGATCTCCTGCCCCCAAGTTAAAACAAAAAAGTACTGGGATTTAATCTTATCAGACTGACTTGGGTTTTATGGTCATCTTGGGGTTTGGAGTGGGGTCAACATCTTTAGAAATACATGATCAAGAGTGGGAGTCCATTAATTTCCCAAAGAAAAATTGATGTGTTAGTATCAGAGGAAAGGGGACTGGATCAAAAGAAAAGGAGCCAGGCAGAAGCAACTGCTGGGTCATCAATATAGTCATATATTTGGTTTGGGACAGAATTAGTGTCATAATAGCATTCTTCTCTTTCACATGAATAGTTTCTAAAAATATAATATGTTCTTTGAAATATATTTCATATTTCATTCGTAGAGTGTTAGGAGTGGAATGAAACCCTGAGGCTCTGATGTTTCAGTTATAAGCTTTACCACATCAAAAATTGATCCAGGTGGTTATCCATATACTGTGTGTCATAGTATAAAGCAAATAGATGCCTACGTGTTCTTGTTGATCGGTTGATTGATTTTAAGTATTAGGTTAGATTTACAGAAATCTGATATATTAGAAATTGGGCTATAAAAAAGTCTAGTGAGGGAGAAGACTCTTAATTCCTCAGCGATAAGCATTATTAACATTTTGGAAGCAGTACATTTACATATTCCCAAGGAAGTTCTTTAAGAGCATATTCTTTTTTTGTTGTTTTTAGAGGCAGGGTCTTGCTCTATGGCCCATGCTGTGGCTCTGTGATGGCTCACTGTCACCTCAACCTACTGGGCTCAAGTTCTCCTACCTCAGCCTCTCGAGTCACTGGGACTGCAGGTGCATGGCACCACACCCAGCTAATTTTTTTTTTTTTTTTTTTTTTTTTTGAGACAGAGTCTCGCTGTGTTGCCCAGGCTGGAGTCCAGTGGCGTGATCTCGGCTCACTTCAACCTCCACCTACTGGGTTCAAAAGATTCTTCTGCCTCAGCCTCCCGAGTAGCTGGGACTACAGGTGTGTGCCACCACACCCGGCTAATTTTTGTATTTTTAGTAGAGACGGAATGTTACCATATTGGCCAGGCTGGTCTCGAATTCCTGACCTCGTTATCTGTCTGTCTCGGCCTCCTAAAGTTCTGGGATTACAGAAGTGAGCCACTGTGCCCGGGCCCAGCTAATTTTTTGAGACGGGATCTCACTCTGTTGCCCAGGCTGGATTGTGCAGTGGACACCTCAGGCTTACTTTCTACTGGGCTCACTGCAGCCTCGACCTTCTGGGAACCACACCCGGCTAATTTTTGTATTTTTTATAGAGACAGGGCTTTGCTGTGTTGCTCAGGCTCATTTTGAACTCTTGAGCTCAAGCAATCCATGTGTCTTGGCCTCTCAAAGTACTGAGATTACAGGCGTGCACTATTGTGCCCGGTCAGCTAATTAAAAAAAAAATTTGGGCTGGGTGCGGTGGCTCACGCCTGTACACCCAGAACTTTGGGAGGCCGAGGTGGGTGGATCATGAGGTCAAGAGATAGAGGCTATCCTGGCCAACATGGTGGAACCCCCTCTCTACTAAAAATACAAAAATTAGCTGGGCATGGTGGTGCGTGCCTGTAGTCCCAGCTACTCAGGAGGCTGAAGCAGGAGAATCGTTTGAATCCGGGAGGTACAGGTTGCAGTGAGCTGAGATCGTGCCACTGTACTCCAGCCTGGCAACAGAATGAGACTCTTTCTCAAAAAAAAAAAATTTTTGTTGAGTTGGATTTCTGCCACAGTTCCCTGGTTGGTGTTGAACTCCTGGGCTCAAGTGATCTTTGGGCCTCAACCTCCCAAAGTGCTGTGATTATAGGTGTAAGCCACAGTCCCTGGACTAAGGGCAAATTCTTGAATTTGGAATCAGAGTAGATTTAAGACTTTGGGGGATATTTCATTTTGTAAAAAATCTCTCTATATTTTCTAAGATTCATTTCTTTAATATGTTTAAATAGAATGTGCTTTTAAGGTTAGGTGGCATTTGGGGGTATTTTGGGACTTAATTATTTGATAAAATATTTAATTCTTAGAAAGTAAATGCTCGAGAAAACTGTGCTAAAATTTTATCATAAAATATTTTTCTGAATGGGACTGGGAATCATAATTTTAAGTTCTTATTCTGTTTCCTCTGTTTCAATGAGTCACCATCTTGTTCATATCAGTAATTTGGTACCCCATCCGTTGGAATTACCTTTATAATATGCCTTTAAAAGGTTCATATCTAGATTTTGTCACCTGCACGTATGATCACAGTGCCATTTTCATTTAGTGTATAATAATAGCCACTTTTTTTTTTCTTTGAGATGGAGTCTCGCCCTGTTGCCCAGGCTGGAGTGCAATGGTGTGATCTCAGCTCACTGCAAACTCTGCCTCCTGGGTTCACGCCATTCTCCTTCCTCAGCCTCCCTAGTAGCTGGGACTACAGGCGCCTGCCACCATGCCTGGCTAATTTTTTTGTGTTTTTAGTAGAGACGGGATTTCACTGTGTTAGCCAGGGTGGTCTCGATCTGACCTCGTGATCTGCCCGCCTCGGCCTCCCAAAGTGCTGGGATTACAGGCGTGAGCCACCATTCCCAGCCCACTTTTTTTTTTTTTTTTTTTTTTTTGAGGCAGGGTTTCGCTCTTGTCACTCAGGCTGGAGTACAATGGCACAATCTTGGCTCATTGCAGCCTTCACTACCCAGGTTCAAGCGATTCTCCTGCCTCAGCCTCCTGAGTAGCTGGGCTACAGGCACCTGCCACCACACCCGGCTAATTTTTGTATTTTTGGTAGAGACAGGGTTTCACCATGTTGTCCAGACTAGTCTTGAACTCCTGACCTCAAATGATCCACCGTCTTGGCCTCCCAAAGTGCTGGAATTACAGGTGTGAGCCACCACACCCAGCCTAGTTATTGGAAGACTTTTAAATATGTTTTAAACAACTTGGGTATGTGAGTCTACTTTATAAATAGTAAATTTTATGAAATCTAAATACAGTTCAGCTATTTCTTTTTTTTTCTTTTTAGTTTAGCTATTTCTGATGAAAATGTACAAATTGAGATGTGCTGTAAGTGTAAAGTACATACTGTATATAGAAGCTTTAGTGCAAAAGCAAGTGTAAAATACCTAATTATAATTTTTGTGTTGATCATACGTTGAAATGATATTTTAGATATATTGATTAAAGAATATTATTAAAACTAATTTCACCTTTTTAAAACTTTTTACTACAGTATCTAGTATGGTGCTGATAGAAATAAAACACAAGCTACATAGAAATTTAAAAATTTCTAGTAGCTATATTTTAAAAGTCTTAAGTTTTGCAATAAAACTTAAGGGGTAGGATGGACACGGTGACTTACGCCTGTAATCCTGGCACTTTGGGAGGCCAAGGTAGGGGGATCACCTGAAGTCAGGAGTTTGAGACCATCCTGGCCAACATGGTGAAACTCTGTCTCTACTAAAAATACAAAAATTAGCCAGGCGTGATGGTGGGTGCCTGTAATCCCAGCTACTTGGGAGGCTGAGGCAGGAGAATCACTTGAACCTGGAAGGTGGAGGTTGCAGTGAGCCGAGATCATACCATTGCACTCCAGCCTGGGCGACAAAGCGAGACTCTGTCTCAAACAACAACAACAAAAAAATATCTTAGCCCTGCCTTGCTGTACAAAGGATTTGAGATGGCATAAACTACCAGCATCTACATTAAAGAGAAAAATAATAGTAGAAATTAAGAGTTGGAAAAAGGAAGCATTTAGAGCATAAGGCCAGTGTAGTTGCTGTTGGTGCGACAGCTAAGGCAAGAAAAGAGACAGTCACCTCTCAGGTAGTTGTTATTGCCAAGATGGAAGAGCAAAACTGCAGAGAACCAGATTGCCTGGATGTGACTTCTGGCTTTGAGCAAGATCTTTAACCTTTCTGTGTCTCAGTTTCCTCATCTGTAAAATGGGGACAATCTTAATGCCTACTTTATAGTGTTATTATGAAGATTAAGTTATAAGTGTTAGACACATTTTGTATATAAAAAGCCTCATGTTATGCATTTTACCATTTCCTAAAGGACGGCAATGTTTTTTGAAGCACTGAATTCTAAGAGATTTTTTATATGGACCTTTTGTCTAGGAGTCTCTTAATAATGTAAGAGACAGTATCCTCAGCATTTTTATAACAAAAGTGGTGATAGATTTCCTGTAGTGTGTGTAACCTTTTGCGTGTGTAGGTTAAGCACAACCCAGAAATATTAATGAATTATCTAAAGATAAGTAGGTAGATTGCAGGAGTAGAAAACTGGTGGCTCGGGGCCAAATTCTTCCACAGATGTGTTCTTTTTTGTCCTGTGTGGTATTTAAAATTGTTTCTGCCAGTACATAAAAAAGAAAAAAGAATTTCCATAGAAATCTGGACTTCTAGTTTCTCTTAGAAACATAGTAAGATTTGTGGAATGGAAATCTACATTTCCATATGTCAGTAGTGTGCTGCTTTTAGGCTGGGCCTGATTCTGTTTTTCCTCAGTTCTAGCCTTGCTTGCCATACCCAATTACCTGTGTAGGATATTCTTCCCTTCCATCTGTGTAGCATAGGACTGCACTTCTTTAGCTTCTCTAAATTTTACAATGTTTTCTGTACAGTCTTATACATCTTTTTAAAAAATTAAAAAAAAATTTCCTTTAAAACACAGGATTTTTAAGTCTTAACACATCTTTGGAGAAATATATTTGTAGGTTCTTTAGAGCTCTTGTTTCTGTTGCAAATAGTATCCTTTAAAATTTTAAATAATTATGTTGTAGATCTGTAGTGATATAATTGATTTTTAATAATATTTATCTACTTTGCCACATTATTGAACTTGGTTCTAAGAGTCTCTGTGGACGTCATTGTTTCCATGTAGTCAATACTACTATTGTCTGCAAACAATGGCAGTTCTTTTTTTTCCTTTGATATCCTTATACATTTTCTTATTTTCTTATTACACTGTACAGGTAGTACATTATTGCAAATAAGTGATGATAATAGCCACTCTTGTTAAAGCCGTAAACAAATGCTCTACAGTAATATGTGGGTGACTGTCATAGGGTTTAGTAGACACGCTTTCTCACATTAAGGAATTTTTTTCTTAAAATAAAGTACTTAAGCTAGTACTATTCCTTGAAAAGCCTTAGAATTAATGACCAGACCAGAAGCAATGAGCTATCCTTAAGCCTAGACTGTGGTCTCCAGATACTATTTTCAGCCCATTGGAAAGATGGCTGATCCCAAATCCAGGGTAAGGAAATGTACAAAATAAGCTTGAATGATGTTACTATGCCAGAAAGCAAGAAAGACTGCAAAGATCATGTCAGAAGGTTTCAGTAATCACCAGAAGAGGCAGTCATACCCCCAAAAGAGATAATTTGAGTATTAATAAGAATAATAATCGGCTGGGCATGGTGGCTCACACCTGTAATCCCAGCACTTTGGGAGGCCGAGGCAGGCAGATCACGAGGTCAGGAGTTCAATACCATCCTGGCCAACATGATGAAACCCTGTCTCTACTAAAAATACAAAAATTAACCAGGTGTGGTGTCAGGCGCCTATTAATCCCAGCTACTCAGGAGACTGAGGCAGGAGAATCGCTTGAACCCGGGAGGTGGAGGTTGCAGTGAGCCAAGACTGCGCCACTGCACTCCACCCTGGGCAACAGAGCGAGACTCCATCTCAAAATAATAATAAAAATAATAATAATAATAATAATAATTGTAGGCTGGGTGCGGTGACTAAACTTGTAATCTCAGTCTTTTGTGAGGCTGAGGCGGGCAGATTGCTTGAGCTCAGGAGTTCGAGACCAGCCTGACAAACATAGTGAAACCCCATCTCTACTAAAAATACAAAAATTAGCCGGGCATGGTGGCAGATACCTGTAATCCCAGGTATTCCGGAGGCTGAGGCTTGAGAATCACTTGAACCTGGGAGGCGGAGGTTGCAGTGAGGCGAGATCGTGCCACTGCACTCCATCCTGGTTGGCAGAGTGAGACTCTGTGTCAATAAAAAAAGGATAATAATTGCAATTGATTGAAATAAACGTTTATATTGCCTTTCCTTAGCAATAGTATGGCCTTCCTTCTGTATAGAGAAGTTTCTTCTTAGAGCTGTAGTCCAACTAATAAATGAAGGAATGAATTAGAATCTAATCATTTTGCAACCCATGATGATCGTCAGTTGCTGCTAATGTCACAAAAGAGAGACGACTACCAGAAATAATTATACGCCTCCTGGTGAAAGTTCATACCACTGGCTCTAAGTGGTGCATATTTGCAAAATGAGATCACAACAGAACAAAGCAAAACCTGAAAAGTCTGAATTTGATCAAGCCTCCTTAGGTATATAACCTAGATAAATTTTCCAGTATACAAAGACATGTATGTATAAGAGTATTCATTTCAGCAGTGTTTCTAATAGGTAAAACATTGCAAACAATCTGTTTGTCCTCAGATAATAGGTAAGTTTATATTCAAAAGTGGGATACTATGTAGCAGTGAGTTATGACTGAATTAGATCTTCTTGTCTTGATGTGAGTAATACTCAAAGCTGTTGAGTGAAAAGAGCGGGAATACAGTTTGATATTTGTTTAAAGTTTAAAACATTTAAAACCACCTGTCTCTCCATGTGTAGTAAGAATATATGGCATGGCAGTCATGAGCAGCAGTTTAGGGTTCTGATTACTTCTGGGATGGAGAAATGAGATTGAGGCCCAGTACACAGAAGACTTCATTTGAATTTGTAATGTAAAATAAATAGGGTGAAATGTTAAGATTTGATAAAGCTGCTTGGTGTGTCAGTGACAGTTACGTGATTTTTATGTATTTTGAGTGGAATATTTCATAATTTTCTCAAAAGAAAAAATTGGATTCACTAGGAATGTCAGGTTTTTGTTTTTTGTTTTTCTGCCAGAAGAATGAAGAAACAGACTCTGGTCTATATAGATTTTATGTTGTCAGGCCTACATAGTGGTAGTGCAGTTGTAACAAGCTTGCTTTTCAAAAATGATGATTTTAGGTGTGTGTGTGTATAAACCAGGCAGTTATTTCTGAATATTAAAAAGAAATAGGTTGGGTATGGTGCCCCATGCCTATAATCCCAGCACTTTGGGAGGCCAAGGCAGAAGGATCGTTTGAGGACAGGAATTCAAGACCAGCCCAGGTAACATAGTGAGACCTCATCTCTACAAAAGTAAAAAGTTAGGGTAGGGTACAGTGGCTCATGCATGTAATTCCAGCACTTTAGGAAGCTGAGGCAGGCGGATGGCCTGAGCTCAGGAGTTTGACACTAGCCAGGGCAATACGGTGAAACCCCGCTCCAGCCTGGGCGACAGAGTGAGACTCCAGCTCAAAAAAAAAAAAAAAAGTAAAAAATTAGCCTCATGTGGTGGCATATGCCTGTAGTTGTAGCTACTTGGGAGGCTGAGGCAGCAGGATGGCCTGAGCCCAAGAGTTAGAGGTTACTAACTGTGAACTAACAGTGAACTGTGATCATGCCATTGTACTTCAGCTTGGGCGATAGAGCAAGACCTGTCTCTAAACAAAAAAATAAAATAAATAAAGGTGACTTTTAAAAAGGTCTACCCAATCAGTTGCAGGCCTGTTAAAATTTACAGAATTTCAATTGCATGTTTTCATTAAGGTGATTGTTCATATCATAAAGCTGCAATTTTTTTTTTTTTTTTTTTTAAATTAAGAGACAGGATCTTACTCTGTCACTCAGGCTGGAGTGCAGTGGTGCAATCGTAGTTCACTGCAGCCTTCAACAGGAGGCTCAAGCGATCCTGGTGCCTGAGCCTCCTGAGTAGTTGAGACTACAGGTGCATGCCACCACGCCTGGCTGATTTAAAAAAATTTTTAAACAAAATTTTAAGACAAAACTTTGTTTAAGAAACTTTTGGCCGGCGCGGTGGCTCACGCCTGTAATCCCAGCACGAGGCCAAAACGGGTGGATTGCTTGAGGTCAGGAGTTCAAGACCAGCCTGGCCAACATGGCGGAACCCCATCTCTACTAAAAATACAAAAATTAGCCGGATATAGTGGTGCGTGCCTGTAGTCTTAGCTACTTGGGAAGCTGAGGCAGGAGAATTGCTTGAACCCAGGAGGCAGAGGTTGCAGTGAGCCGAGATCGCACCACTGCACCCCAGCCTGGGTGACAGAGCCAGACTTCGTCTCAAAAAAAAAAAAAAAACAAAAAAAAACTGAAACAAAATTTTTTGTTTTTAAATTTTGTAGAGATGGGGTCTTGCTGGGTTGCCTGGACTTGTCTCGAGCTCCTGGGCTTAAGGAATACTCCCGCCTTGGCCTCCCCAAAGTGCTGGGATTACAGGTGTGAGCAATTTAGATGTGCATCTGACCGTGTGCGAAACTGTTCTAAAAGCTAACAAAATAGGTGCAGCTTTTATCCAGGGGTAACCGGATTAAACACTGATAAATGGCAACATTTGTACTTGCTACAGGAAGATGTAAAAAGGCCAGAAACATGGAAAATTCTCTTCGTAAAATAGCTTTGAAATTCAAAGAAAATTGTAACATTAAGAGCCATTTGGCGGGGTGTGATTGCTCACACCTGTAATACCAGTGCTTTGGGAGGCGAGGTGGGCAGATCACTTGAAGCCAGGAGTTTGAGACCAGCCTGGTTAACGTGACAAAACCCCATCTCTACTAAAAACACAAAAATTAGCTGGGGTTGGTGGCACGCATCTGTAGTTCCAGCTACTTGGGAGGTTGAGGCACGAGAACTGCTTGAACGTGAGAGTCAGAGGAGGTTGTGTTGAGCCGAGATAGCACCACTGCACTCCAGCCTGGGTGTCAGAGTGAGACTCTCCCCCCTACTCCCCAAAAAAGAGAGTCATATAGAAAAACTTTGTAAAAATTAAATTGTCAGTGTCTATGTCAAATTTACTCCATCAGAATATTGGCGGGGGTGGGGTGGGGGCGGTGACCCATAGTTTTCAAAACTCTCCTACCTGTTCTGACCAGTTAAGTTTGGGAACCACTTCTTCAGGCACTGTATTTGTTACAAAGGGGGCTGAAAACTTCGATCTCTTAGGCTTGTTGCTAATGGCTGACTAGAATGCTTCTGCTGAGAAGAGTTTGAAGTAAAAGTTTTCCATTAATTGTGTGGAATTTGGATATAAAAGCTGGACTGTTTACTCTGGTCTTATTAAAGCGTCTGCTAGAGTTGTGGTTAGAAATGTTTCAGGTAGGTTTTTCAAGTCGCTTTAAGTGGAGTAGTAGTACTCCATTGAAATATTTGAGATTGTTACCTAAGGGGCAGATGCATGTAATTGATTACTTTTTTCCTTCTGTTCTTTAACTCATGCAACAGTGTGGAGTTTTGCTTTTGGAGATTTGGAGATTGCTGCGGAAAAACGGATGCCCTCCTTTTGTGTGCATCTCCCCCATTGTACTTTTTCCCCCCAAACCTTTATCTTTCTTTTTCAACATTTGATAACTTTGATAACATTCTTTTTTTTTTTCTTTCTTTCTTTTTTTTTTTTTAAGACAGAATCTCAATTTGTTGCCCTGGCTGGAGGGCAGTGGCGCGATCTCAGCTCACTGCAACCTACTCCTCCTGCTTTCAAGTGATTCTCCTTCCTCAGCCTCCCGGGTAGCTGGGATTACAGGCTCACGCCGCTACGCCTGGCTAATTTTTTGTATTTCAGTAGAGACAGGGTTTCACCGTGTTGCGCAGGCTGGTCTAGAACTCCTGAGCTCAGGCAGTCCACCCACCTCGGCCTCCCAAAGTGCTAGGATTACAGGTGTGAGCCACTGCGCCCGGCCTTGATAATATTCTTAAAGATTAAACATGGTATGTTCTCAGCACTATGGCTGGCCACTTAAGTATAAAGTGTGATCAGAGTTAATCCATCACTGGAGTGTATATATCAGATGCTATTTCCAGTCATATAACCTTATATTTTCCCTTAGATTTGTCACCTTCAAAAAGCAAATGCTTGTTTTTGAAGCAGAGTCACTATAAATGGGGGAATATTGAAATAATGCTTGCCCCTTTAAATTTCAGCTTTTCTTTTTGCTGTTTAGTTTTTAGGTAAGGTTTTTTTGTTGTTGTTATTTGTTTTGTTTTTCCACTTCTTCTCTGTGCCTACTGCACACAGAGGAAGAGAGCAAATTTTAGGTATGTCTTAAATGTTACAAAAAACAGCTTGTATTCGTCAGTCACTGGTGACTTAGTGTGACTATCTTAAAACTTGACCCGACTGAGCAACTGCTGCTGCCGCCACCACTGTCACAATGCCAGGTTCTGGTCTCAGCCGCCCTCCACTGTCCAGGGCCCCTCTGTCTTGGCCCTGGGACCCTAGCTGCCTGCCAGCTCCAGTCCTAGCACCATGTTGGAGAAAAGCATGGAGGCAGTGGCTGAGTTGGGCACCAAGGACCTGAAGGAGAAGGTGGAGGAGGAGGCAAGCCAGAAAGAGCGAAAGAAAGAAGTGGTGGAGGAGGAGGAGAACGGGCCCGAAGAGGAAGAAGGAGATGATGAAGGGCCCGAGCTGAAGAGAGCTGCCGAAGAGGAGGATGAACCGGATCCCTAGCAGTAGAAGACAGAATGGGGCATCGGCATGACCGCCTGCCAACAGGCTGGGGATGGGAGGCCTCTCTCGGCCTGGAGGTTGGGGTGGGAACAGACAAGTCCAGCCACTCTTCGCCTGGCTCCTTGCTATGGGCCCTGCACCAGAGCCGCCACCCTCTTCTTTCTCCCCAGCTTTCTCATTTCCACCTCTCCCAGACACTGACCCCTCCACCCTCACTCTACCATTGTTCCACCTCCTGACCTACTCCATCTGAGCTCCCCAGCTGGCCCCCAGTTGCTCCTCTCTCTTTGTTTTCTTCTTGCCTCCCTCCCGCTCCCCCCACCCTCTGGTAGCCTCTCCTGCCTAACCTCTGCATCCCCTAGCCTCATGTCCTGCCTCATCCCTATCCTGCCTGGGATCTCCCTCAGATCCCCTCCTCTAAGACAGCGCCAGACTGGGGGTGGGCTGGGGTTGGGGCCAAACCCCACAGCTGCCTCCCTCCCCTCCCTTTTTGGTATAGTTTTTTTTTTTTTTTTTTTTTTTTTTTTGTAACAGTTTGGCTGTTTTCCTAGGCTGGAGTGCAGTGGCGCGATCTCAGCTCACTGCAACCTCCCGCCTTCAAATTTCAAACCATTCTCCTGCCTCAGCCTCCCGAGTAGCTGGGATTACAGGCGCCCACCACCACACCTGGCTAATTTTTTATTTTTAGTAGAAACGGGGTTTCATCATGTTGACCAGGCTGGTCTCGAACTCCTGATCTCAGGTGATCCATCCACCTTGGCCTCCCAAAGTGCTGGGATTACAGGCATGAGCCACTGCTCCTGGCCTGCCTTTTTTTGTATAGTTTAATAAGAAATGGTCGTGCAAAAAAAACCAAAACAAAAAAACCACACTTGACCCTAAAACCACAAAGTAGTATTAATGCCTAAGAGTATGTC
This sequence comes from Homo sapiens, assembly GCF_000001405.40. Taxonomy (NCBI): domain Eukaryota; kingdom Metazoa; phylum Chordata; class Mammalia; order Primates; family Hominidae; genus Homo; species Homo sapiens. Next base: position 71,776,716 of record NC_000016.10, on the reverse strand, counting down.
CTATTCCTAATAAAATATTTTTGGATAATTTATCTGTGTAATGCTTGGAGTTTGTCAGAAGTAAGATTGAATGAGGATGATGAAAACTCTGATATCTGATTCTTGGAACATTTGCTTTCACTACTAAAATACTTATAGAATTATGAAATGAGAAGATTGAAAAACCAGTTTGAAAAAGAGTAAGGTTTGTTTGATAATATTTTAGCTTCTGATTTTCTCATTCACCTTAGTAAATTTTCTGTTGACATTGTAAAGATGACTTTCATCAACTTCTGTTTCAGAAATTGCTGTTTAAATTTAAATTCAATGTGAAGAAGAAAGGGAAGATTTGTTACTTACATAATCTTTTCCATTTCACAGGCATTTATGTTTTCCTTTTTGATCCTGGTTATGTTCCTTGGAGACTTCTTTGAAATGCTCGTGATAGTATAGTCATTCAGCTAACTTTAGATGTTTTTAATGCAGGTACATTGAGAGAGCAATTTTTAAATAGCTTGAAACAACTCTGTGGAACTGTTTTACTTTCCTCAATTTCACTTTCGAATTTAGTAGATAAATTCATAATGGAAAGTAGTCTCACGTGATTTTAGCTTCCTGTATACACAGGTATCCATTTGAGCCCCTTCCCTTGGGAGGTATGATTCTAAAGGGGATCATGGTTTTTATAACTCTTCTTGGTTAGTCTGTCTTGTGTACGCACTTTGAATACTGCTCTAGAGGTAATGTTTTGGCCTTTTCCATGTTTGTCAAGATGGAGTGATAAAGTATGTCAAAGTGATTTTGAAGGTGGTTCAAGAAAGGCAAAGTAGAGGGACAAACTAATTTACAAGAACTCTTAAGCCCTAAGAAGCTATTTCTAACAATGATGTAAAGAAGAAATGTAAATCGTTTTAGCTTAATTCCACTACTGAGTTTTCCTCTGTTTTTTGTTTTTTCTGTATTGGATTCCTAAACCCTCGCCCTCTCCCGTAGTACTTGGATCAAGCTCTGAATGTACTTGGTTCACATACTTTCCACATTATATTAAACTTAGTTATTGCCTCTCTCTTTTTAAATTAATTATACATTCCTCATGGTTAGTATGGGTTGGTGTATTTCTAGTTATTGAGTTTTTTTTAATTCCCAAAATGGAACTATACCTTAAGTACACGTTAGGTGCTCATTTAATGTAACTTGGGGATTAAAGTAGGAATTTGGTTTGTTAATCTCTTATAATACTTCTAGTTTGTGTTTGTGTGAATCTGCAAAACTAATGCAAAACTGAGAGATTATTTGAATGGCAAATATCATGGGGCCTTGATAAAATGATCTGTTCTAGAACTTGATTTCTATTAAGATATCCAAAGGTCTTAAATCTTTGCCTTCTAAAAAGATTTAGGTAGTTTGGCCGGGCGCGGTGGCTCAGGCCTGTAATACCAGCACTTTGGGAGGCTGAGGCGGGCGAATCATCTGTGGTCAGGAGTCCGTGACCAGCCTGGCCAACATGTTGAAACCCTGTCTGTTCTAAAAATACAAAAAAAAAATTACCTGGGTTTGGTGGTGGGGGCCTGTAGTCCCATTTACTTGGGAGGCTGAGGCAGGAGAATCGCTTGAACCCAGGAGGTGGAGGTTGCAGTAAGCTGGGATCGCGCCATTGCACTCTAGCCTGGGCGACAAGAGCAAAAACCCCATCTCAAAAAAAAAAAAAAAAAAAAAAAGCCAGGCGCGGTGGCTCATGCCTGTAATCCCAGCACTTTGGGAGGCCAAGGCAGGTGGATCGGCAGAGGTCAGGAGTTTGAGACCAGCCTGACCAACATGGTGAAACCCTGTCTCTACTAAAAATGCAAAAATTAGCCAGGCATGGTGGCTAATTCCTGTAATCCCAGCTACTCGGGAGGCTGAGGCAGGAGAATGGCTTGAACCTGGGAGGCAGAGGTTGCAGTGAGCCGAGATCACACCATTGCACTCCAGCCTGGCCAACCAGAGCGAAACCCCGTCTCAAAAAAAAGAAAAGATTTAGGTAGTTTGATGAAACACATTTGTACTTTACTTTAGCCAGCTGGGGACTCTGGGTTAAAAACACTGCTTTTCTAGATTGTGGTAGCAAGTTTTAATTTCCTTCTTTTTTTTTTTCTTTTTTTGCAGTTGGAGTGCCTCAAGCTTATTGCCTCTCAAAAATTTACAGACAAACGCATTGGCTATTTAGGGGCAATGCTGCTGTTAGATGAAAGACAAGATGTCCATCTTCTCATGACCAACTGTATCAAGAAGTAAGTCTTACTTTTCTTTCTTCTAACAACTGTTAACTACTTTGTTCTTTTTTGTATTTTCTTTGAGACGGAGTCTTGCTCTTTTGCCCAGGCTGGAGTGAAGTGGCGTGATCTTGACTCACTGCATCCTCCTCCGCTGCCACCGTCCTCCCCCAACTGCCAGTCTGGTTGAAGTGATTCTCCTGCCTCAGCCTCCTGCGTAGCTGGGATTATAGGCACCTGCCACCACGCCTGGCTAATTTTTGTATTTTTAGTAGAGACGGGGTTTCACCATGTTGGCCAGGCTGGTCTCGAACTCCTGACCTCAGATTATCCATGCACCTCGGCTTCCCAAAGTACTAGGGTTACAGGCTTGAGCCACTGTGCCTGGCCTACTTTGTTCTGGTTTTTTTTTTTTTTTCTTTTTGAGACGGAGTCTCGCTCTGTTGCCCAGGCTGGACTGCAGTGGCGTGATCTCAGATCACGAGGTCAGGAGTTCAAGACCAGCCTGGCCAATGTGGTGAAACCCCGTTTCTACTAAAAATACAAAATACAAAAATTAATGGGACGTGGTGGCGTGCGCCTGTAGTCCCAGCTACTTGAGAGGCTGAGGCAGAAGAATCACTTGAACCTGGGTAGCTACTCAGCCTCCCAAGTAGCTGGGATTATAGGCGCCCGCCACCACGCTCGGCCAATTTTTACAGTTTTAGTGGAGATGAGGTTTCACCATGTTGGCCAGGCTGGTCTCGAACTCTTGACTTCAGGTGATCCACTTGCCTCGGCCTCTGAAAGTGCTAGGATTACAGGTGTGAACCACCCCTACCCTGCTGCCAAGTTTGCTGAGTTTTCTAAAGTGTGTGTCTGACATCCAGTAGATAACATGTTTTTCAACTTCCACTGCTTTGGTACCTGGAAACATTGGCTTGTAAGCCTATAGGAGGGACTGTCAGTCTGTTTACTATATTGATAATTTGTAATAAAGTTGGGATAAACATTTTCTGCAACAAATAATCCTATTGTTTTTGTTATTGGAGAAATCTTGAGTCATCCTGAACTAGTTTGAAATTGTGAAGCTGCTTCTTGGGGAGCACCAGGCTTGTTCCTACCTTCCTCTTTTCTTTTGCAGTGATCTTAATCATAGCACGCAATTCGTACAGGGGTTAGCACTTTGTACCCTCGGCTGCATGGGCTCCTCAGAGATGTGCAGAGATCTTGCAGGAGAGGTAGAGAAGCTCCTGAAAACCTCCAACTCTTACTTAAGAAAAAAGGTAACTTTTAATGAACCAAATGTCTGTTTGGATTAGGGAGTATTATGGAGATGAGAAGGCAGATTACTCATTTTTGAAAGATCTGATGATAATGTAAAGTCATTTTTTCTGTGTAGTAAATCTGTTTTACATGATTATATATTAACCTTAATTCCTCTTTTCTTAAGGAAATGATTTATAAACAAACAAATGTTACTGGATATATCCTAGGTGGCATACCAAATTCCTAAGTTATCTGATTCTAAACAGTATTACAGCAAGGTGATTATGAACAGATTTTTATGAATTTACTTTTGTCCTAATAATTAATACCCATATCTTTGTATTAGTGCCTTTGTGTCTCTGGAAGGGCAGTTCTATTGGGACCTAGATAATTATTAGGGAATGATGTAGAACCCACTTTCTGAATGGATTAGTAATAGAAGAGAATTATTCTTCTATCTGATTTTATTTGTTGATATAAGCATTTTATTGAGTTTTTAAAAATTGCTTGAACCCTACAACCTTTGAAAATGAAGTGTATGGAATTTAGAAGTCCAAGAAATGAACATAAACTGTGATCTGTTTGGCATTTACTGTGCCTCTCTATTAATGGTTTGGGAAAGAGGCATTGAAAAGGCCAAGCCATTTCCCAGGATGATATGCAGTTAATGATGGCTGCAAACAAAGTTAAATTATTTTCTTAATTTGTAAGCTGGTCCTTTTTCTTAAAGAATATGTGAGCTACTCTTGTTCAGAAAGCTCATTGTCATATTAAAATGAAACATTCCTGCAGGTTAGAAAAAAAAGATAGGCTGGGCATGGTGGCTCATGCCTGTAATCCCAGCACTTTGGGAGGCCAAGATGGGTGGATCACAAGGTCAGGAGATCAAGACCATCCTGGCTAACATGGTGAAACCCCGTCTCTACTAAAAATACAAAAAAAATTAGCCGGGCGTGGTGGCGGGCGCCTGTAGTCCCTCACCTGGAGGCTGAGGCAGGAGAATGATGTGAACCCAGGAGGCGGAGCTTGCAGTGAGCCGACATTGCGCCATTGTACTCTAGCCTGGGCGACTGAGCGAGACTCCGTCTCAAAAAAAAAAGAAAAGAAAAGAAAAAAAGATATTTTTTCCTCCCAAATATAACATGGATGGAATTAGCAGAAATTTTTTTTGTTAATATATCTAAACTTTTATGGTATTTGACTCAAACATATAGTAGTTATAGTTACTTTGGGGGATATACAAAAATCAGTGTTTAAATGTACTTTTATTTTCCAGTGAACAAGCTAGTAAAACCATCTTTTCTTTAGTAGAGACTAAGTATTTTTCAAATGATTTTCTTGATGTCAGTAGAGTCATTTGAGGGCCACATAGATACTATTAAACATAACAGTAGATTTATAGCATTTACAGTATATATCTTTCAGTTGTGTGATGTTTTTATAGGCTGTTAGTCATCTTACTCAGAGGTATGATTATCACAGATTGAGATTGTTATCTATTTTTACTTCCTTAAAACTCCACATAAATTATGTTTAACTTTTTGATAAATTCATATTAACCATACATAGTCTAATGTAGAAAGTTTTTGCCTACTTGTCTAGCAATATATGAACAAAGGGAGAGGTGAACTAGAAGATCTCTTTAATATAATAGTATAAACTGGAACTCCCCAACCAGTTAATAAATAATTTTCTCTCCTCTTAATTTTTTTTAAATAGAGGCAGGTTCTTACTGTGTTGCCCAGGCTGTTCTCAAACTCCTGGGCTCAAGTGATTCTCCTGCCTTGGGGCTCCCAAAGTGCTGGATTATAGGAGTGGGCTATCACTGTGTCGAGCCATAAATCTAATATCTAACCTCTTCCTTCTTTATTTTTCTAGTAGATGAACTAGTTGGTGAGATTTTTGTGTTGGTGGTTTTTTAATAAGATTGGTTGCCCTGGCATAATTGAAATAAACCTTTTGTTCTTTTATTTTTTTTTTCATAGGCAGCACTGTGTGCTGTTCATGTCATCAGGAAAGTTCCTGAACTTATGGAGATGTTTTTACCAGCAACAAAAAATTTATTGAATGAGAAGAACCATGGTAATGTAATTTGGATGTATTCATGAAGTATTGAGGGAGAAAGGGAAAGAGAAAAGGCTTAAGGCTATGTTAGTCCTGTGTCTCTCAGAACAGTGGAGTCGCGTTTCTGCTGTGCCTTAGACACTTTTCCAGGAAGGTCTGGTCTGACAAGTCTTTCCACTCACATATCCTAGTTTTATATTAAGAGATTGATTCCTTCATAGTAAACTTATCTTTCATCTCTGGTCCTCTTTTACTTTATTAAAAATATTAAGTTGTTAATATTTAGTGTAATATACAAATGAGCCTACCCATAATTTTCATGTGTAAAATCCTTTGATTTCTTGCCTATTTTACAATAAAAGAAAAAATTCCATTATCATGTGGTAGGAGTATAAGATTTGTGCGGCTGGGCGTGGTAGCTCATGCCTGTAATCCCAGCACTTTGGGAGGCCAAGGTGGGCAGATCATTTGAGCTCAGGACCAGCCTGGGCAACAAAGTCAGAACCCATCTCTGTAAAAAATACCAGAATTAGCTGGGTGTGATGGCACATGCCTGTGGTCCCAGCCACTCAGGAGGCTGAAGTGGGAGGATGGCTTGTACCTGGGAGGCAGAAGTTGCAATGAGCCAAGATTGTACCACTGCACTATAGCCTGGGCTACAGAGCCAGACCCTGCCAGACTCAAAAATTGTGAGAATTCTTTTGGGTTATTTCTGACAGAAGCTTGTATTAGGTACTCAGAATCTTTGTATAAAACAGAGGAATTAAATGGAATGTGACTGTTCTTTTCTCAAACATTTTATTTTTATTTGAAGTCAGTGAAATAAGTTCTGAATAAAGAAAATTCATGTGGCTTAAATGCTAAGAGGAAAAATTGTATGGTATATTTAATTTGACAAATTCAGTGCTGTGCCCAGAATGCTCAAAATATACTTGTTGAACAACTGAATTATTTGGAGCACGTATTTATTATTTAGTGAAAAGCATTGTGAGATTGTTTTTACTGACTCTGGAGCAGTTAAATTTACTTTGTCATCCAAAGTTTTCTCAGAGTTTTGATGCGTTTTATCTGGAAATGTAAAATCTTACTAAGATTTTTGCCTCTTGAATTATCTGTTAGTACTCAGATAATAGCTTACTGATTAAGTATAGAACAGATCATACCTAGCTTGCATTGTGTGTTTTTATGGATATTCTCAGATGGAGAGACATATGTATTGGTCGTCACTTTTTCATAATTATTTTGATCACATAATTGTTGAAAACATTCCGATTTTACCAACTTGGCCAGTTTTAAATCAGGCATCTATTAAGTTCTTCCTTTGTATTCACTTCAATGCTTAGATGCTTTGGGGGATTAAAAAGCAAAAGTAGCAACTATCCTTTTGGAATTGACCTTCAGGAACTCAAAGTCCTGTTCTATAAAATTGAATAATAGGCCTCATTTTTAGTTTTCCTTTGATCTTTTCTTTCAGGTGTCCTCCACACATCTGTAGTCCTCCTCACAGAAATGTGTGAGCGAAGCCCAGACATGCTTGCGCATTTCAGAAAGGTAGGTGCCATTCTGTATGCCTAAGCCTTTCTTGATTGAAAAATGATTTTCCTGAAAAGTACATGATTTTCTTCTTATTTTTTTTTGAAAGCAAGCTATGGATCTGAATAAGGGATTTAACTAGCCCTGCTATGCAATTGGCCTGGAAGCCAGATTTAGGCATATAAGTGAGAACTGGCACTAGTATTGTGTTTTCCCTTTCATAATAGAAGTCTTCTCTCATTGTTGGCAGACACACCAATCTCATGTGTTTTATCTACTGTTTTCACATTTGAGTCAAGAAACATGATCTGAGGTCAAATTAGAAATAGGAGTTTTGTGTGTGTTGTTTTTTTTTTTGAGATGTAGTTTTGCTCTTTTTGCCCAGGCTGGAGTGCAATGGCGTGATCTCAGCTCACTGCAACCTCCTCCTCCTGGGTTCAAGTGATTCTCCTGCCTCAGCCTTCCTTGTAGCTGGGATTACAGGTGCGCGCCACCATGCCCATCTAATTTTTGTATTTTTAGGAGAGTCGGGGTTTCACCATGTTGGCCAAGCTGGTCTTGAACTCCTGACCTCAGGTGATCAGCCCGCCTCAGCCTCCCAAAGTGCTGGGATTACAGGTGTGAGCCACTGCTCCTGGCCTGTTTTTTTTTTTTTTTTTTTTGTATTTTTTTTTTAAAGGCAGGAATTTCTTTTCTTTTCTTTTTTTTTTTTTTTTTTTTTTTGAGACAGAGTCTTGCTCTGTCGCCCATGCTGGAGTGCAGTGGCGCGATCTTGGCTCGCTGCAAGTTCCGCCTCCCGGGTTCATGCCATTCTCCTGCTGCCTCAGCCTCCCAAGTAGCTGGGACTGCAGGTGCCTGGCACCACGCCTGGCTAATTTTTTGTATTTTTAGTAGAGTCAGGGTTTCACTGTGTTAGCCAGGATGGTCTTGATCTCCTGACCTCGTGATCCACCCGCCTCAGCCTCCCAAAGTGCTGTGATTACAGGCGTGAGCCACCGCGCCCAGCTCTTTTCTATTTTTTTAAGGTTAAAACTAAAAATTTTTTTATTACTTTTACTCTACTGTTCGTTTTAGGACATTGACTCCTGTGATGGAAGTCTTAGTTCTCTTAAGTACTCCCTTCTCTCTTTTTTTTTTTTTGTGGCGGAGTCTGGCTCTGTCGCCCAGGCTGAGGTGCAGTGGTGCAATCTTGGCTCACTGCAACCTCCACCTCCTGGGTTCAAGTGATTCTCCTCCCTCAGCCTCCTGAGTAGCTGGGACTACAGGCGCCTGCCACCATGCCCGGCTAATTTTGTTTTGTATTTTTAGTAGAGATGGGGTTTCACCATGTTAGCCAGGCTGGTTCGAACTCTTGACCTCAGGTGATCCACCCGCCTCAGCCTCCTCAAGTGCTGGGATTACAGGCGTGAGCTACCGCGCCCGGCCTTTTTTTTTTTTTTTTTTTTTTTAAACTAGTATTTTAAACTGGACATTTCTGTTTCTCCACTTAATTTTAGACTCAGAAGAAGACTGTTCTTTGGGTAGTTACATGCATTGAACTTCTTTTATAGGATGCTGGTCATTCCATAAATAGAACTCACTTTGTACTTTAGATCTAGTAAGGCTCTAACAGGAGTTCTTTTTTGGCTTTTTTTCCCTTAGATGTTCATGTCTTGATTAAATTATTGTAATATAGTATGAGACCCGTATCTGTCCCTAATGCTTGCTTTGTATGTTTTGTTCCTGTTGTCTGTTTGGAATCCTGCTGTATGTTAGAATGAAAAGGTAAGAATTAACCCTCTTTTAGATGGTGCATGCTGGCATTAGGTCCTTAGTAGCTTTTGTGTATCGATCCACAAATGTGGCTTTTAAAATATACTAATGCTGAAGCTGTGCTTAATACTGTGAGTTATTGTTCTACCATCTTTGGCTAACTTCCTAGTCTAGTTTTTGTTTTGTCACTTAAACTCCTGACTCCAAAGTCAGCCTTGGATTTCAGTTGCAGCCTTTCCTGAGTTGTAAGCCTTCTTCTCTGCCTTTTCTTTATCTTTACTTGAGAAACTTTGAGCAGTTTCCCAGTGGCTTTGGTGATGGCAATTCCAGATTAGTCTGGAGCTTTGACACAAAATGCTGCTGCTTTTTGAAGTAGATATTTTAGAACCGCATGTGGGTAACCTCATACTTTAAAAAGCTCCGTATGTACTGCTGAGCTTTCAGTTCACACTTAGAGATTTTATTTCTCTCTTACCTGTACTTAATCTTACATAGAAGTTTTGGAATATTAAAAGGATTTTGAGGTAGAGTAGTGGGCACCAACTGATTTTCATGGCTGCAGCCTTTCCCTGTGTCATCTTATTTTGTTTGTCTTGTCATCAGTTTTAATAACTTGCATTTTTGTCTGAAAAATGAAACTGGGTTCCAAGAATTGTATGCTGAACATTTAGTCATTTGTGCTCTGTGTCCCAGGGTAATGTTATGTGATGTGCTGGCCTTTTTGGCAGTGGATAAAACAATTTCTGAATTTAGTAGCCCAAGGAAAAATGACTTTTCCAAGAAATAAACCAGATAAAAAATAACTAGGGTTATATCTAGTACAAAAAAAACAGACCATTGGGAAGTATGTAAGATAAGGTTGGTAACTACTTGGTCTTCATTTTATTACAAAAATATTGATTTAAAGTGGTTTTAAAAGGTATATTATTATCTCTAATATAACTTTGCCCATAGTTGACAGATTTAATGAATTTACAGATCTCCATGGCTTAGATTTGTCTTATTTGGAGTTGTCCAAAGTAGACTTTTGTTTAGGTGACTTATAAGTTACTTAATTCCAAACTGTTATGGCTCAACTTATTTAAATTCTTACATACTGTGTTTTCTTGTGTTTATAAGTGGCCTTAATGTTTTGAATGCTTTGAGTGCATGCCTTGGATATAGCTTGGCTTTTCATTTCAATCTTGATCCCCTTTTAGGCTTGGGGAGTAGGGAAGGGACAGAGTCTAAATATAGTGAGAAAAAATAACTGAGTTGCAGCAGAGTTGTAGCTAAAATTGCCTGCAAAAGAGATGGAATGCAATTCACTTTGCACACTATTTAACTTAATTTTTGGTCATTAGAGTTGTTTATATAGCTAAAAATTGAGTTTTTAGTTGGAAACATAAAAAGTTCCTATTGTGGCAAACCTTTTGTTTTAATATCAAGTAATTGATCAACAGAAATGAAATGAGTGCCAATATTTAAAACATCTTCGGCTTGGCAGTAAAATTGCCTTTACTATGTGTTAGGACTCTTAATGGATAAAGTAAAGGAAGGATAGGAAGGAAATTCCTGATTATAAGGAATGTATAGTCTCATTGAAAAGACAAGAAAACAGGCCATAAAGCCATATATATAAATAAGTCCTGAAATTTAAAAAAATTGTATCATAGGAGTTAAGAATAGGAAGAGGAAATTATTCATGGCCTTGATGTCTCTTAAGATGAAAGATGTAATTTTTTCATGTGTCTTCCATTTGATTACCGTATTACTATTGTCAGCTTTGGTATTCCCTGTTGTTTGTTGGAAAAGGGTATAACTCTTCTATCTTAAGAGAAGAGATTTTTTTCTCTATTTGAGGTTGTATGTTTTAAAGCTATAATTTTAATAAGATCACTAGTTGTATTTTGGCATGATGACATGTTACATGCAAATGTTTGAATGGGTGAAAACTGAACATGTTTTTGCCACCTAGGCTTTTCAAGTTCTACAGAACTAGAAATGCGGTATGCCCCATAGGCATCTGTTTTACCTGGTTCCCATAGGCTTTCTGACCCAATATTATTTGTAATATCTTTACATATAACTCTTGCATAAAAAAGTCTGGTTTGGTTTTATCCAGATAAAATACATACTACTTCTTGAATATTGCCCTAAGTTACTCCTAAGTTTATCAAACATCTACAATACACTAGTATATTAAATCAGTAGAATTTGCTTGGACTGGGACCCTTACACCCTTTTTCTAAACCAAAGGACCTGCTTATTCATGAGACATTCTTCAATATTCACTGTTTTTTGATGCATCTTTCTTCTCTGCAGCTTGTGCCCCAATTAGTTCGTATTTTAAAGAACCTCATCATGTCCGGATATTCACCAGAACATGATGTTTCTGGTATCAGTGACCCCTTTTTGCAGGTGAGGTTGAAAGAACGTTTTAAATAAATGTTATATGAATTTAATATCTTTAAGTAGACAATTTCCTTCCTCTTAAGTTTGTGTTGAGTAGAAATTTGGTAGTTAATTGATTAATTATATTAATGAATAGTGACACAATTCTATATTAGATTAAGAGGATACAATTACAGGTCTTGCTCTGTCACTTAGGCTGGAGTGCAGTGGCACAATCTTGCCTCACTGCAGCCTCGACCTCCCAGGGTCAAGTGATCTTCCCAAGTAGCTGGGATTTCAGGTGCATGCCACCATGCCCGGCTCATTTTGTATATTTTGTAGAGACAGGGTTTTGCCATGTTGCCTAGGCTGGTCTCAAACTCCTGGACTCAAGTAGCCCGCCCCCCTCAGCCTCTCAAAGTACTGGGATTACAGGCAAGAGCCACTGTGCCCCACTTCAAATTACAGTTTTAATAGTCAAAATCATTTATTATTTGAATTATTTAATATAGCTCTGCAGGTGGTAGTATCTGGTAGTATCCTTTAGCTGTGGAGTACTGAAGTGTGGGTTGTTTTATAATAACTTTATTAGATGTAGAAGCATATATAGCTTCTCTAAATAAAGAAAATGTTTTCAATTCTTCTGTTTGATTTTTGACTATTTCTGATATGAATAAATGGTTCCAAATGAATTTCTAAGACTTCATTTAGTTATTTGAATTTCATACCAAGTGAGATTTCTTTGTGTGAGACATAATTTGTTGACACCTCTCATCTTTTGCACGTTAGGTACGAATTTTGCGGTTATTAAGAATTTTAGGACGAAATGATGATGATTCAAGTGAAGCTATGAATGATATATTAGCACAGGTGAGTAGACCAAACATATTAAATATATATTTATTTTAGTTTCGCTGGGAGTAGAATGATTATGGTTATATGGAGCAGTTTTTATTTGTGTTTCCTCATTCATAGCTGTAATCACAAAATGCCTCTTGTTACCTGTGAATATGTTTTGGGAGCATTGTTTTTATCACTTATGTACTGCCCTCGATATGTCTTTTCAGGTTGCCACTAATACTGAGACTAGTAAAAATGTAGGAAATGCTATTCTTTATGAAACGGTTTTGACTATCATGGATATTAAGTCAGAGAGTGGATTGCGAGTAAGTCTTTTTGAATCTTTTCTTCCCCCCCTAAATGTTTCACTTAGAATGGTTGACTTGGACTTCAGTACTTCAGAATTGTATTCCATTTGGAACTCGACTTTAAGAAAGAATGATGCAAAATGTGGAATGCTGGATTTTTGGTATCTGAAATATTCCTTCCCACTGAAGGCTTAACATTGATTATAATAAACTTTGGGAGATCTCAGGTGTAGCAATATAGTAGATATATTTGTCTTATCATTGGTGACGTTAACCTTGATCATTTGGTTGAGATGGTGTCTGCTGGGTCTGTCCACTGTAAAGTCATTATTTTTTCTTTTGTAATTAAAAATATTTTGGCAGATATTTTGAGACTATGTAAATATCCTATTCTCAGACTTTTACCTATCAGTTTTAGTATCCACCAGAGGATCTGGCCCACAACAATTATTAAGATGTATTCTAATGACAATTTTTCATTTCCCTCATTTTTTTCTCATTAATTGGAATTCTTCTATAAAGAGGAGTTATCCCTTCTCCTTCATGAATTTGTTCATTCTATCATTTATTAATATTAGAACTATTAGCCTATAGCCTTGTAAAAAGCAAATTTACTAGAGTATAATATTTGTGTACAGTTCTTTTTGTCGGTAGCATTATAGTATCTAGTTAGATAACCAAAGTAACTTAGGTTAAGTTCTTTTCCTCTCCCCACCTTTCAGACAGAATGGTAACATACCATATATATTGTTCGCACCATACTTTGTTCACCTAACATTATCTTGGAGCCACTTCCAAATTCATGCATAGAGATAAGTCATGTTCTTTTTTTCTTAATTGTGATAAAATATATATAACATAAAATTAACCATTTTAAGCATTTTTAAGTGAACAGTTCAGTTAGTACACTCATCTTGTTGTGTAACCAGTACTATAGTTTATCTCCAGAACTTTTTTGTGTTCTTAAAGTCTGTATCCATTAAACAATAACTCTCCATGCTGTAACTATCTGTAGTCCCTGGCAACCACCATTCTACTTTCCGTCTGTGAATTTGACTACTCTCAGGTGCCTCTGAAGAGATACAAGAAAAAAACCCAAAATGTTTTTTCTACTTTTTACTCTCTACTCTCACACAATCATTCAACACTTCACTTCTTTTTTGTTTTGTTTTAGTGACAGGGTCTCTCCCTGTTGCTCAGGCTGATCTTGAACTCCTGGCCTCAAGCAATCTTTCCACCTCAGCCTCCCGAGTAATGTGAGCCATCATGTCCAGCTCCAGCATTTCACTTCTGACGCCATATGTGTTGGGGCTATTTCCCTATACATCAAGCAGTTTTCTGGTGAATACCAGCTGGGTATCTTCTAATTGAATTCAATTCTGACACTGTCTCCCTGGAGATAAGGTGTCACATCCCACAGTTTGAGGGCTCAGTCCCAGAAGACTGACCCCCCGCCGCCCCAACTTCAGATGCCACTCCCAAGCTCAGATTGTGACCTGTGCTTCTGACTAACCAGTTGTAAGTCAGGGTTCCCACAACCCCCTCCTCAGTTTTGGTTAGTTTGCTAGAGTGGCTCACAGAACTCAGGAAAACACTTTACTTATGCTTGCTGGTTTGTTATAAAGGATATAGATGAACAGCCAGATGGAAGAGATGCATAGGGCAAGGCATGTGGGAAGGAGTTGGAAGCTTCCATACCCTCTCCAGATGTGCTGCCCTCCAGGAAGCTCCACATGTTCAGCTATCTGGAAGCTCCTCTGAACCCTGTCCATTTGGGATTTTTGGAGGCCTCATTACACAGACATGATTGATTAAATCATCGGTGATCAGCTTAACCTTCAGCATCTCTCCCCTCCCCAAGGTTGGGGGATGAGACTGAAAGTTCCAATCGTCTAATATCATGGTTGTTCCCCTGGAAACCAGTCTCCATTCTGAGGCTATCTTAGGAGCCCATTGAGAGTCATATCATTAGAACTAAAGATGCTGTCACACAGGAAATTCCAAGGGATTTAGGAGTTGTATGCCAGGAAACAGGGACAAAAACCACATATGTATTTCACCATATCACAGTACCTCATATAAGTGGAATTGTTCAGTTTTTATCCTTTTGAAAAGCAGATTATCTTATTTCATTTAACATAATGTCTTCAAGGTTGAACCATGTGTCAGAATGCATTCTGTCTTAATGGCTGCGTGACATTCCATATTGCATGGGTGTGCCATAGTATAATTAGCAAATTTGCTATTAACGGAGTTTTAGGGTATCTCCTATCATTTGCAGTTATCAGTAGTGCCACAGTAGACTTTTGTCTATATGTACAGTTGTTTGTCAGATCAATTCCTAAAAGTGAAATTGATAAAACAGGGAATATATATTCATTTTAAATATAGTTATTGCCAGATTTCCCTCTAAAGAGGCTGTACTAATATTATTCTTCCACTGACAAAACACTGTCAAAGCATTAAAACAACCTTCCAGCACTTACCTTTAGAATATGATTTTAAGAGTTTGCCTTTAGATTTTTTCCTTTTTTTTTTTTTTTTTTTTTTTGAGATGGAGTCTTGCTCTGTTGCTCCGACTGGAATACAGTGGTATGATCTTGACTCACTGACCTGGCGATCCACCGGCCTTGGCCTCCCAAAGTTCTGGGATTACAGGCGTGAGCCACCGCACCCAGCTCCTTTTTTTTTTTGCTAGCAGTCTGTGAAGCACCAGAGGTCATGAAGTGATCCTTTAAACTCAGGAAACAATATAAAACTTCCATTTTCCTAAATTTCGACCTATGCTGTTTCTCTTTAGGTCCTAGCCATAAATATCCTGGGTCGTTTCTTATTGAACAATGACAAGAATATTAGGTAAGTTAACTGAAATATGTCTTTTATCTTGGATATTATAAGCCCAGTATTTTAAGAGCGATTCTGCTCAAGATCATACATGTATTAAGTCACATATTTAGAACTTTTAGCTCAGAATTTTTATGTTTTTCTGGTCTTAAAACACTGTTTTGTGAAGAACTTGAGGATTTATCTCATGGCATATATTCCTATTTGTTCTGTAAATCAGGAGTCAGCAAAATTTTTCTGTAAAGGGTCAGATGGTAAATATTTTAGGCTTTGTGGGCCATGGAGTCTTTGGTAACTACTCACCTCTGCCCCTTAGCATGAAATTAGCCATAGATAATATGTAAATGATGAGTGTGTCTGTGTTCAGTAAATTGATTTATTTACATGAAACTTGGGAGCTAGTATGAAAAAAATATTTTGATGTACGAAAACAGCAGAGAGCTGGGTTTTACAGGTGGGCTGTAGTTTGTTGACCCCTGCTCTAAATTAAGAAATATGTAACATTTCAGGTAGCAAATCTGGAATGTCTTTGTGAACTCTAGCTAGTTTTTTAGGTAAATGAATTGATCAGTATTATCTTTTATTTTGTTATTTTCCTGTATGTAGTACGTATTCCTGCTTACCTGTTTTTCTAATCAGGAGAAATTTTTCTTGTATTAAACATGAAAAGATGTGGAAGCTAGGCGTAGTGGTTCACCCCTGTAATGCCAACACTTTGGGAGGCAGAGATGGGTAGATCATGATCCCAGGAGTTCGAGACCAGCCTGGGCAACATGGCAAAACTCCATCTCTACAGAAAAATACAAAAATGAGCCAGGTGGCTTGGTGATGTGCACCTGTAGTCCCAGCTACTCAGGAGGCTGAGGTGGGAGGATCACCTGAACCCAGGAGGTTAAAGCTGCAGTGAGCTGTGATCATGCCACTGCATTCCAGTCTAGGTGACACAGAGAGACCCTGTTTCTTTTTTTTTTTTTTTTTGAGATGGAGTTTCGCTCTTGTTGCCCAGGCTGGAGTGCAGTGGCACAATCTTGGCTCACTGCAACCTCCGCCTCCCGAGTTCAAGCGATTCTCTTGCCTCACCCTCCCGAGTAGCTGGGTTTACAGGCGAACGCCACCACGCCCAGCTAATTTTTTTGTATTTTTAGTAGAGACGGGGTTTCACCATGTTGGCTGGGCTGGTCTTTAACTCCTAACCTTAGGTAATCAGCCCACCTTGTCCTCCTGAAGTGCTGGGATTACAGGCGTGAGCCACCACACCTGGCCGAGACCCTGTTTCAAAAAAAAAAAAAAAAAGATGTGGAAATAATTATTGTGGCACCCTGAGTTATCTTCTCCTTCTAAAGAACACTTGGATTGCCGGGCGTGGTGGCTCACACCTGTAATCCAGCACTTTGGCAGGCTAAGGTGGGAGGAACGCTTGAGCCCAAGAGTTTGAGACCAGCCTGGGCAACATAGTGGGGGACCCCATCTCTATTAAAAAATAAATACATAAATAAAATGTTAAAACACTAACATACTAAGTTAAATACTTGGATTTTAAACTCAAATTTTTATAGATACAGTTTTGGTACTAGATCAAATAAAAGCAGAGAAAACTCACATGTTAAAAGTAAAATTGCATTTTGGGGGAAAGGCAGCCTTAAAAGACATATTATATGCTCTTTTTGTTTTACTATTTGGAAAACTTTTAAAGAATTGAGTCAGTCACTTCTATTTATTTTATATTTTATATTTAATTTAATTTAATTAATTTTTTTTTTTTTTGAGACAGAGTCTCGCTCTGTCGCCTAGGCTGGAGTGCAGTGGCACGATCTCCGCTGACTGCAAGCTCCACCTCCTGGGTTCACGCCATTCTCCTGCCTCAGCCTCCTGAGTAGCTGGGACTACAGGTGCCTGCCACCACGCCCAGCTAGTTTTTTGTATTTTTAGTAGAGACGTGGTTTCACCATGGTAGCCAGGGTGGTCTTAATCTCCTGACCTCTTGATCCGCCCACCTGGGCCTCCCAAAGTGCTGGGATTATAGGCATGAGCCACCGCGCCCAGTCCCAATTTTATTTTTTTTTGAGACAGAGTCTCGCTCTGTCACCCAGGCTGGAGTGCAGTGGCATGATCTCAGCCCACTGCAACCGCAGCCTCCCAGGTTCCAGCAATTCTCATGCCTCAGCCCCTCGAGTAGCTGGGACTACAGGCACCTAACACCCATGTGCCCAGCTACTTTTTATATTTTTATTAGAGATAGGGTTTCACCATGTTGGCCAGGCTGGTCTTGAACTCCTGACCTCAGGTATCCACCTGCCTCGGCCTCCCACAGTGCTGGGATTACAGGTGTGAGCCACCATGCCCGGCCTACTTTTAGAAGTTTAAAAGGACTTGACCATGAATACAAATCTAAAATCCAAAGCACCTCCTGGTTGCCACTATTTTAGATTATGGTATCGCTTATACCTTTGAAATGTTACTTTTATGTTCACTAACTTTCTTTTAAATAAAAATGTATGCTTTCTCTTATCCATTAGACGTCTTTCTTTTTATTATTTAAACGGAGAAAAACTATCCTGAATTTTACATTTTAACTCTGTTATTTTGCAACTGTTTCATCCAGATATGTGGCTCTGACATCTTTGTTGAAGACTGTACAGACAGATCATAATGCAGTACAGAGGCACAGAAGCACAATTGTGGACTGTCTTAAAGATTTGGATGTCTCAATAAAACGGTAACAAACTGAGAGCCTTTCTCAGTCTAGTGTTTTTGGTAAATTGAGTGACAGATTATTGATAGCTCTATGCCGCTGCCATGTGATACTTTGTTTTCAGAGCAAGAGTGTTGACATTTATGTATTTAGTCATTGTGTTCACAGATGGACTCTGCTCAGTGAATCCTTTTTTTAGAAAGGATTGGCAGGGAGAAGTTTAGGTTGTTAAGGAGGCCAATAAGAATACTTAAGTGCACACTGAAGTTGTCCTTGGCTCTTTGATAAATACAACAGGCACAGATAAGCTAGGCAAAAGTTTACCTAGTGGAGGTACTGTGCTTTGTGTGTTGGAGGATGAAAGTACGGAGTGATCCATCGGCTAAGTGTCTTGTCACAATGCTGACACTCAAACTGCTGACAGCACACGTTTTTCACAGTACTTACGCCCCAGGATCCTGAAGGCAGCATATTGCTTAGAACAGTGTATCCTGAAATGACTGTTAGGCAGCAGGTAGCACTCTCAAAAAGCATAAATCTCTTCCCTCAGTGGAGTAATTCTACTGGATGTCTTCTTAGAACTCTAGATGTTTGTAGAATATGTAGAACTTAGCTAAAGTTGGCCTCTGAACTTTTGGTTGTATGTTCAAATCTAGAACAAAGTATATTTAAAGTGATCTCTGAAACCATTCAGTTAACAAACATTTATTGATGGTGAGTTCCTTTGATTTGCACAGAACAGGTACAAATAAAAGGTGCTAAGTGCTTGAGCAATCTAAAGATAAGACCTAAACTTAATAACACCAACTTTTATATAGTGCTTTGCAAAAGATTTTATAAGTACCCTCTCAGTGGGTTCTCAGAGCAGGCCAATGAGAGAGCCTAAGCAACTACTTCTATCCCTAATTAACAGATTAGTTACAATTCAGTCCCATGGGGATCAAATGACTTAACCTAAACCTTAATCCTTGTAAGGGGCAGTCCTGGGAATAGATATTAGCCTTCTGACTCTTTTTGTGTTGTTTCTCTCTAGCTCATTACTGGGCTGTGAATTTCAAAAAAAGTGAAACTTGTGTCTCTTTGAAAGGATATATAACAGTAAGAGCTTAGACTCTGGAGCCAGACTGCCTCATTTCATTTTCTGACTCTGCCTTTAATAGACTGGGTCAAATTACTTAAACTTTCAGTGCCTCAATTGCCTCATAAGTAAAATACAGATAGAAGGGCAACCACTTCATAGGGTTATGCAGGATAAATTGAATTAATATATGTAAATTACATAAGCACCCTATAAAAGTTATTATATCTAAGGATTGAATTTTTTGCTACTTACATGTTAGCTAAGATGAAAGTATCCCCACTCGTTAATTTTTTTTTTTTTTTGGAGACGGAGTCTTGTGTCGCTCAGGCTGGAGTGTGGTGGTGCGACCTCGGCTCACTGCAACTTCCGTCTCCTGAGTTCAAGCGATTCTCCTGTCTCAGCCTCTCAAGTACCTGGGATTACAGGCGCCTGCCACCACACCCGGCTAATTTTTATATTTTTAGTAGAGACAGGGTTTTGCCGTATTGGCTAGGTTGGTCTCGAACTCCTGACCTCAGGTGATCTGCCTGCCTTGGCCTCCCAAAGTGCTGGGATTACAGGCGTGAGCCACTTGTGCCCAGCCTAAATTGTTACTTTTGAAAGTCAGTGTACATATAGTGTTTGATATTATTGACCAAGTATGGAAAGATGCATATAGCAACCTTACAGCTTTTACATGTTAAACATTCCTATTTTTAACTTCATTGCCAACTTTGAATAGGCAGTTATAGAAACTCTTATTTGTCCTCCTAGGACATGCCATTTTTTTTTTCCTTCTCATGGCCCTCATTTTCCCTTTGAATTTTTTTTTTTTTTTTTTGAGACAGAGTCTCACTCTGTTTCCGAGGCTGGAGTGCCTCACTTCACTGCAATCTCTGTCTCCTGGGTTCAAGCAATTCTCCTACCTCAGCCTCCCTAGTACCTGGGACTACAGGCGCCCACCACCATGCCCGGCTAATTTTTGTATTTTTAGTACAGAAGTGCTTTCACCATGTTGGCCATGCTGGTCTCAAACTCCTGACCTCAGGTGATTCGCCTGCCTTGGCCTCCCAAAGTGGTGAGAAAACAGGTGTGAGCCACCACGCTCGGCCTTGAATTTGTTTTTAATTTGAATTTTCTGCATACCTTTTGACATAAACTATATTACATCATGTTTGGACAGAGTGGGGTGTAATAAAAGTAGAATATGGTGACTTAACATGTCACATTTTTAAGGAATGAGGCAGATAGGTATTATTATTGGGTAATACATTTATTTGTTGCCCCTCTTTTTGAGACTCTCAGGTATTCTAACTTCCACCTTTGTAGAACAGCCTGTTGAACCCAAGCTGCATGTTTGGACATTAGTGGTATATCTCGTAGGGACTTTTGAAGAAGAATATTGCATGAAGATTCAAAATATCAAAACTAACTTTGATTATGTAAGAATACATCTCCTTGGTTATTTCGTGTGCAAAGATTGGGATCACAAGATCGTGCAAGGACGTCAGCACATCTGGCAGTACTTGGTGTTCACAGAGTGCATACCTGGGTCTTTGTTTCATTTCCACTATAAATTTCTTAACTGTTTTTAATTTTTCCCTTCTGCAAGGCGTGCAATGGAATTGAGTTTTGCCCTGGTAAATGGGAATAATATCCGAGGCATGATGAAAGAATTACTTTATTTTCTGGATTCGTGTGAGCCAGAATTTAAAGCAGACTGTGCATCTGGAATCTTTCTTGCTGCAGAAAAGTAAGATTTAATTTTTACCTTTATTGGTAAAGTCTGCTTGGAACTTTTGGAAGTGTCTTTAAAACATGGGGAGGGGGCTGGGCGCGGTGGCACACGCCTGCAGTCTCAGCAGTTTGGGAGGCCAAGGCAGGTGGATCATGAAGTCAGGAGTTCGAGACCAGCCTGGCCAACATAGTGAAACCCTGTCGCCACTAAAAATACAAAAATTTGTTGGGCCTGGTGGCACGCGCCTGTAGTCCCAGCTACTCGGCAGGCTGAGGCAGGAGAATCACTTGAACCTGGGAGGTGGAGGTTGCAGTGAGCCAAGGTTATGCCACTGCACTCCAGCCTAGGTGACAGAGCAAGACTCCATCTCAAAAACAAAACAAAAAAAAAAAAATGGGGAAACTACTTTAAATATGTTTAAAACACATAACATTTATTTCAAACCCTCAATTATAAATTAGCTTGGAGAAGGCTATTATAGCCAGCATTTAAATATGCTGAGACCAAAAAAATTTCACACTTTTATGAAATCTTCTCCTTTATCTGTTCTTTAACCTCTCATCTATGATGCTGGTTTTTTTTGTTTTGGGTTTTTTTGAGACAGGGTCTCACTTTGTCACCTAGGCTGGAGTGCAGTGGCACAGTCTCGGCTCAGTGCAACCTTGACCTCCCAGGTTCAGGGGATCCTCCTGCCTCAGCCCCCCAAGTAGCTGGGACCATAGGCTTACGCCACCACACCCTGCTAATTTCTGGGTTTGTTTTTTTCTTTTTGTAGAGATGGGGTTTCGCTATGTTGTCCAGGCTGGTCTCGAACTCCTGGACTCAAGCGATTCGCCTGCCTCAGCCTCCCAAAGTGCTAGGATTACAGGCATCAGCCACCACACCTGGCCTGTGATGCTGTTTTAATAAAGGCAATAGAACAGTTACAGCACCTGAATTGCAGCTCTATGCAGAATTTTGAGGAAGTACCTTATGATTTTAGTAGTACAGCTATTCTTTCTCTTCTTTCCACTCTGAATTTAAGGAAACAAGTTTTTAGTCCAAATGTTGTCTTGGTCTGAAAACAGTCCCTTTTCTTCTTTCTTCTTTATCGTCTCCTGCCCTGACTGAATGATTCATTTTCTCTGAAACTGAAAACAAATCTCATTTCTCAGCTTAGCAACTCTTATTGCAATCTTATGGGAAACATCTGAGTTTGACTATGTACCCTCTTTTTTTTTTTTCTTTAATTTTAGAAACGGAGTCTTGCTCTGTCACCCAGGCTGGAGGGCAGTGGCCCAGTCATAGCTTACTGCAGCCTGGACTTCTGGGCTTAAGCCATCCTTCTGCCTCAGCCTCCTGAGTAGCTGGGACTGTAGCTGCAAATCATCATGTGCCACTAATTTTTTAATTTTTATTTTGTAGAGATGGGGTCTTGCTATGTTACCCAGGTTTGTGTGGAACTCCTGGCCTCAAGCACTCCTTCCTCCTTGGCGTCCCAAAGTACTGGGATTATAGGCATGAGCCACTGAAGTCAGTTGACTGTATACCTTTTTATCACTCTTTGAAATGGCATTTGCTGCTAGATTTGAAGTTGAAATGTTTCCAGATATGTTCACTTATCCAGGGAACCTAGAAAAGACTGTAGGACAGGATTTTCTTCTCTTTTCTTTTCCTTTCTTTTCCTTTCCTTCCTTTCTTTCTTTCTTTCTTTTTCTTTCTTTTCTTTCTCTCTCTTTTTTGTTCCTTCCTTCCTTCCTTCCTTCTTTCCTTCCATCTTCTTTCCTTCTTTCTTTTCTTTCTTCTCTTCTCTTTCTTCCCTTTCTTTTCTTTCTTCTGTTTCTTCTCTTTCTTTTCTCTCTCTTCTTTCTCACTGTAGCCTCAACCTCCTAGGCTCAGGCAATCCTCCTACCTCAACCTCCCAGAGTAGCTGAACTACAGGCACCCACCACCACACCCAGCTAATTTTTGTATTTTTTGGTGAGATGGAGTTTCACCGTGTTGCCCAGGCTGGTCTCGAACTCCTGAGCTCAGGTGATCTCCCACCTCGGCCTCCCAAGATGTTGGGATGACAGGTGTGAGTCACCCTGCTTGGGCAGGATTTTCTAGTCACTGAAAACGGTATATTTTACTGGTTCCAAGTGTCCCTTTCCATTGTTTTTTTCAGGTATGCACCTTCCAAACGATGGCATATAGACACAATTATGCGTGTTTTGACAACGGTAAGTAGCTTCTTTCAGACAGCATATACGAAGTGCTGGGATATACTGATGTTATCATGAAGTTTATGTTCTAGTCAGGGAGGTAAGAAATTCACAAGTAAATAGGTAACATTAATGTCAGTTAGGAATAAATGCCATGAAGAAAAACCTAAAGCAGCATGGAGGAATATAATGATGGCAGGATAAGGTGGGATATAGGGCAACTGGCCAAGTGTTTTAGATTAGAGTTAGTCAGGGAGGTCTCTCAGAGGAGATAACATTTGAGTAGAGACCTAAGAGACATGAGGTGCAAGCCATGCAGAGATCGTGAGGAATAGTGTACCATACGGAGGGAACCCTAAGTGCAAAGACCTGAGGTAGGAACAAGCATAGCTTGCTTGGAGAGCAACAGGAAGGCAAGTGAAGCCATAAAGTGAGAGAGGCAGAGAATGGTAGGATGGATGTCAGAGACATAAGCGGAGCCAGACTATGTAGGCCTCATGGGAGCTTGCATTTTATTTTGAATATGTTAGGAAGCCATTGCAGGGTTTTGAATGGCTAAAGTTACTCAGGATTTGAAATCCTGTTTTGGATGGGATCCTTTCTTTGGCATTCTTGCAGAAATTCAGGGTTTCTGTGTTTATTATTCAATTAGTAGGCAAGGATTAGGTATTTAAGAGTAAAAATGAAAGTGCAGTGACATGTAAAGAAAACCATTTCCATTAATTAAGTCACTAGAAGTAGCTACTGTAAAGGAAAAGCCACAAATTTAACCATATTAAAATTTAAAAATTGAATAACAAAAAGGGGAACAGTCTACGATTTAAAAGGCAAATTAACAACTGGGGAAAACATTAACTTATGACAGCATATTAATATATTCAATCTATGAATAATTTATAATTGATAGGAAATACCACTCTAATGGAAAAATTGGTATTTGAACCAGCAATTCATGAAGAAAGAAATGGCTAATTAACATTTGAAAAAATTTTCTTATTAAAGAAATAAAGTAAAATTGAGGTATCATTTTTCACATTTCGTATTTTTTAATCTAATTCCCAGTGTTAGAAAATAGAGAAACAGGCAGTACTCTTCACTTTATGGGAGTATAGGATGATGCCATCTTTTTACTATGCAGTTTGGTAGCATGTAGGAAAAGCCTTAAATTGTACCCTTTGATTCATTAATTCAATTTTTAGGACTTTAGCCTGAAAAAATAATAGGACAAGTACACAAAAATGTGTATGTAAAAGTATTCATCCTAATATTGTTTATAGTAGGAGAAAACCGGAAACAACTAGTAGTCCCCAAATGGGGATTAAGTAAATTATGAAACATCTGTAGGGAGAAAATTATATCATTGAAATTATGACTTATATGTATTTGTTGACTTATGAAATTATGACTTATATGTATATGTATTTGTTGCTGTGGAATTCTCTCTGGGGCATACTCGTTTTTTAGTTTACTTACAATGAATTAACTTGGTAAAAGGTTAAAAGTTAATAAATTTGATTAGCAAGGGGAAAAATTATAATCTAACAAAATGTAATTAACATAATGATGAACAGGACATGTTTTCCTAGTTTTCATGAGGCTCAAAAGAAGGGAGAAATTAACACTCCTGAAGGAAAGTGTTTATGAGAATTCAAAAGCTTTTTTTTTGTGCCCCTGATTTTATTTTTCTAACTGACTTGTGTTCTCTTATGATCATGTGATTTGTTTTCTTTAGCCTGTTACATGCTGGGTTACATTGATATTTGAATGCCTAACCAGCCTTACATACCTGGAATACGTGGTCAGGGTATATTATTCTTTTTATAACTTTGTTGGGTTTGATTTGCTAATATCTTGTTGAGTATTTTTATATGTGTATTCATGAGAGAGATTGGCTTATAGTTTTCTCTTATAATGTTGTTTTTGACCCATGTGTTATTTAGAAGTATGTTCTTTTAATCTCCAAATATTTTGGGATTTTTTTGCACCTGTCTTTGTGTTGCAGATTTCTAGTTTAATTCTGTGTGGTCTAAGAGCATACTGTCTATGATTTATGTTATTTGAAATTTGTTAAGATATTTTTTATGACCCAGAATATGGTCTTTCTTGGTTCAGTGTAAGTTTAAGAAAAATGTGTATTCTGCTGCTGTTGAATGAAGTAGTCTTATTATACAAACCCATTAGATCACCCTGATGCTTTCTTGTATTTAATGCACTCTGCTTTACGGAAGGATGTAAATAAACTATACTGCAAATTACCTGCTTTTTAGCTTCTCACCTTTCCTTCTGATCATTTTCCCAGAATTCTTCCTCTGTCTTTGTGTTTCTTAACAGGAGTGACCTGATAAAACCCTGATCACCTGGCTGTTTTTTTTTTTTTTTCTTTTTTTTCCTTTCCAAAATACACATGGTTAGGACTGGTCTCAGTCTTACAAATTAAATCTATTGTTCTATTTAGGAATGGGAGATTGACCAAGGTTGGGTGATAAAGTTTTAAACCTTTACATTATTATTATTATTATTATTATTGTTGGTAGTGATGGAGTCTTGCTGTGTGGCCCAGGCTTGTGTCAAACTCCTGGCCTCAAGCAGTCATCTTGCTTCAGCCATCCAAAGTGCTGCGATTACAGGTGTGAGCCACTGTGTCCAGCCTTCCTTTTTTAATTTGGACAAAGAGAAATTTTTTTTTTTTTTTTTTTGAGACGGAGTCTCAGTCTGTTGCTCAGGCTGGAGTGCAGTGGCGCAAACTCGGCTCACTGCAAGCTCGGCCTCCTGGGTTCACGCCATTCTGCTGTCTCAGCCTCCTGAGTAGCTGGGACTACAAGCACCCACCACATGCCCGGCTAATTTTTTGTATTTTTAGTAGAGACGGGGTTTCATCGTGTTAGCCAGGATGGTCTCGATCTCCTGACCTTGTGATCCACCCGCCTTGGCCTCCCAAAGTGCTGGGATTACAGGCGTGAGCCACCACACCCGGCCTTTGGACAAAGAGAAAATTTTTAAAAATAAAATAAAATTTAAAAATGTAACATATTTAAATAAGACTTTGAAGTTTGAGCTGTTATGAACCTGAGAATTGGAACCAAATTTATCTTTGAGGGTGTTTTCTGGTATTCTTCTTTTAAAAACAATAGTAATGGCTGGGCGCAGTGGCACACGCCTGTAATCCCAGCACTTTGAGAGGCCGAGGCAGGTGGATCATCTGAGGTCAGGAGTTCGAGACCACCCTGACCAACATGGTGAAACCCCATCTCTACTAAAAATAGAAAAAATTAGCCAGGTGTGGTGGCATGTACCTGTAGTCCCAGCTACTTGGGAGGCTGAGGCATGAGAATCGCTTGAACCTGGGAGGTGGAGGTTGCAGTGAGCCAAGATCGCGCTATCGCACTCCAGCCTGGGTGACAGAGCGAGACTCTGTCTCAAAAAAAGAAAGGAAAAAACACACAGTAATAATAATAGCTAACACTTGTTATCATCATTTCTGTGTGTTTCTAGGGGTAATTGTCTGCATTTCCTTTTAGGCAGGAAGTTATGTTCGTGATGATGCAGTCCCCAATTTAATCCAGTTAATAACTAATAGTGTGGAGATGCATGCCTATACTGTCCAGCGCCTGTACAAAGCAATTCTTGGTGATTATTCTCAAGTAAGTACTTCATTCAACTATTTTAGGGGGTAATTTTACCCTCAATTTTTCTGGTATGTTTTTCTTCTTTTTTTTCCCCCCTCCTCTCTCCCCTTTGGTATGTCTTTATTTCTAACACTCTAGATATGCACAGTTTTGATCTTTATTATGAGATGACCTATGATTTGCATTAAATAACTTTGGAAAAATTGAAGTTCTTGAGAAACGTTGACTTTTCTTTTCACAGCAACCTTTGGTACAAGTGGCTGCATGGTGTATAGGTGAATATGGTGATCTTCTTGTATCTGGCCAGTGTGAAGAGGAAGAGCCTATTCAGGTACTCCTTGTCACTCTTGGTTAAGTGGGGGAAAATAGTGGTTTTGGTTATAGGAGAGTAGTGTTTAATGGGGAGTTGAGGTTGATTCCTTGAAAACTTTTTAGGCCAGGCGTGGTGGCTCATGCCTATAATCCCAGCGCTTTGGGAGGCTGAGATGGGAGCATCGCTTGAGCCCAGGAGTTTGAGACCAGCCTGGGCAACATGGTGAAACTCTGTCTCTACAAAAGACACAAATATTAGACAGGTATGATGGTGTCTAGTCCCAGCTACTCAGGAGTGAGACCCTGTCTCAAAAAAATTTAAAAAATACCCAACTTTTTAAAGAAGCAAACGCGAATTATATTGGAAAACCTGCCATTTTTTGAGATGGAACTTATTGAGCCATTGTGAGGTTTTTTGTTTTTTTTTTTTTAATAGAGTCTCACTCTGTCACCCAAGCTGGAGTGCCATGGTGGGATCACAATTCACTGCAGCCTTGATCTCCTGGGTTTCAAGCGATCTTCCCACCTCAGCCTCCTGAGTAGCTGGGACTATAGGCAGGCACCACCCTGGCTAGTTTATTCTACTTTTTTTTTGTAGAGACAGGGTTTCACCGTGTTGCCCAGGCTGGTCTTGAACTTCTGGACTCAAGCAATCTGCCTGCCTTGGCCTCTCAAAGTGTTGGGATTAACAGGCATTGCTGAGTGTGGTGGCTCATGCCTGTAATCCCAGCACTTTGGGAGGCCAAGGCGGGTGGATCATGAGGTCACCTGCAGGGTGGTTAGCCAGACCATCCTGGCTAACACAGTGAAACCCTATCTCTACTAAAAAGTAGAAAAAATTGGCCGGGCGTGGTGGCAGGCACCTGTAGTCCCAGCTACTCGGGAGGCTGAGGCAGGAGAATGGCGTGAACCCGGGAGGTGGAGCTTGCAGTGAGCCAAGATTGCGCCACTGCATTCCAGCCTGGGTGACAGAGCCAGACTCCGTCTCAAAACAAAAAAAACAAAAAAAAAACAAAACAGGTGTGAGCCACTTTGCCTGGCCCCATTGTGAGATTTTAAAACCACTTTAGGCCCAAGTCTCTGTCCTAGTGGACTGAATTACTGTTTCTCTTACCCTCTGGCTGGTAAACAAGAAGAAATGAGACATGTATCCATGTTCTTATTTGCACATTAAAGGACTGGCTTTAAAAGGGAAAATTGTGGCAACAACACTTGAACTCTGTATGTTTTTCTTTTCTTCTTCTGTTTCTGCCACTTGAAGCTCTAATATTGCCTCTCAGCCCCAGTGGTCATTTTTCACTCTTTTTACCCCCACCTGCTCTGGTTGATAGAACCAGAGCACTTTTTTTTACCCCCAACTACTCTGGTTGATAGAACAGCTTGGACAGTTACCCTGGCAAAGCACAGGTTGAGTTAGAGGCTTTTGTAACGGTAGGATTGTCTTTCTGGCTGCTTCCCCTGACTTGATATCAGATTTAGATGCTTAATCATGCTACTCATTCTTCATCGTCTTCTTTTTCCTCCTCCTCCTCAGGTAACAGAGGATGAAGTGTTGGATATTTTAGAAAGTGTCCTAATCTCTAATATGTCCACCTCTGTGACACGAGGTTATGCCCTCACTGCCATTATGAAGCTTTCCACTCGATTCACTTGTACTGTAAAGTGAGTATTGAAGAAACATAGGGTGAACAGGTTGTTTTGTAATTAAAAAACAAAAAAAATCCCAAAAAACTTGTTATCATGGAAAATTTCAAGCATAGACAAAAGTAGAGAGAATAATAACACAAATTTCCATTACTTATTTCTCCACAGTCACAGTGATCAATTTGTGGTTAATCTTTATTCATCAGCACTTTGTTCCCTCTCATTCTTTTACTCCCTTGTGGATTATTTTGAAGCAGAAAAGTTTAGGGGGTTTTGTTTGTTTGTTGAGACAGGGTCTCGCTCTCTTACCCAGGATGGGGTGCAGTGGCGCCATCATATTTTACTGCAACCTTGAACTCCTGGGCTTAAGGGATCTTCCTGTCTCAGCCTCCAGAGGAGCTGGGACTATAAGTGCACACCATCGTGCCTGGCTAATTTTTACATTTTTTTGTAGAGAAAGTGTTTCGTTTGTTTGCCCAGGCTGGTCTCAAACTCCTGGGCTCAAGTGATCCTCCTGCCCTGACCTCCCAAAGTGCAGGGATTACAGATGTGACCCACTCCACCTGGCCTAAAAGTTACGTTTTTAGAATGAGATTTCTAATACCTTTTTTTTTTCTTTTTAAGTTGAGAATCTACTTCCCCATATAAAGGTTTTGGTTTATTTGTATTTTATATTTCATTTTATTTTATGACAGAATCTTGCTCTGTTGCCAGGCTGGAGTGCAGTGGCATACAATCTCGGCTCACTGCAATCTCCATCTCCAGGGTTCAAGCAATTCTCCTGCCTCAGCCTCCTGAGTAGCTGGGATTACAGGCGCACACCACCATGCCTGGCTAATTTTTGTATTTTTTGGTGGAGATGGGGTTTCACCATTTTGGCCAGACTGGTCTCGAACTCCTGACCTTGTAATCTGGCCAAGGTTTTGGTTTATTATATTTTGACAAGTCTTAATAGGAATAAAATCATGAATGTTTTGGTGATTAAATCTTTTAATTCTCCTCTTTGCTTTTTTGAATAAAGTAGATTCTCAGGTCACTTTCCCACCCAAGCATATTTAAGGCCAACGTAGTTCTTGTAGTCTTTCTGCTTCACTTTTAAATGTGAAGTCTTATAAAAAATGGTATTGAATTACTTTTAAAATTCTGAACTGGAAGAATTTGGGGTCAACATTTTGAGGCTCTGACCCTTTTATAGATTAAAAATTATTTAAAAATTATCAAAGAAGAGAATGAACAGTACAAATTTCTTTTGTGGCAAAGTAATAGTTGGTACTTTTGTCTAGCAAAGTTTAGGGAGTGGCATATATATATGTGTTTTTTCCACACCATCATTGTTGCTGAATGGGGATGGCATATTTAACAGACAAAAATCTAGTGTTACAATGAGAATAGTATAATGCGAATGTCAGATAAATGGATGAAAGTAAAGTGTTTTGTTTTTGAAAAACTATATAAATTAAGAAAAAATGAGTATTTCAGTATTTTAACCAGAAAATTCTGGCTTATTAAACATTATCTCTGCTTATTTGTGAATTTTCTTTTGGGTATTTTATTTCGTTTGTCATTTTATCTATAGCCGAATTAAGAAAGTGGTTTCCATCTACGGAAGCAGCATTGATGTGGAACTCCAGCAGAGGGCAGTAGAATATAATGCACTTTTCAAGAAATATGACCACATGAGGTGAGCGAAAGAAACTAAGCAATGCGTGTATCTCTTAGCATCCTGACTAAATTGTCATGGTAATCCATAAAGAAGATTCATTCCTTGTGCTTTATTAATTGTTCCTCGTATCCCTATTTAGTTCTAATTGCTTGTCTGCTTCTGTTTTGTCCATCTTCTATTCTGCCTAGTCTCTAAAGAAATAAATTAACTCTCTTTCATTCCACCTCCAACACTTACACTTTTTTTGATATGGAAAGTTTGCTTTATTTTCTATTTTATTTAGTTAAGAAGTGGGAGGCCGGGCGTGGTGGCTCACGCCTGTAATCCCAGCACTTTGGGAGGCCGAGGCGGGCAGATCACGAGGTCAAGAGATCGAGACCATCCTGGCCAACATGGTGAAACCCCGTCTCTACTAAAAATACAAAAAAATTAGTTGGGCATGGTGGCGCATGCCTGTATTCCCAGCTACTCGAGAGGCTGAAGCAGGAGAATCATTTGAACCTGGGAGGCGGATGTTTCAGTGAGCCAAGATCATGCCACTGCACTCCAGCCTGGCGACAGAGCAAGACTCTGTCTCAAAAAAAAAAGAAGTGGGAGTTGTATTTTTTCAAGACAAATAATCTCATTCAAATTCTTTTACTGTTAACATTCTAGTGTTTGGGTCATCTTTTATTCTTCTATTATACAGTATCTTCTTGACTGTTAATACCTATGGATTTACCTTTCTTTCATCTCAGTCTCTCTACCACTGAAATATATGCTTTGGGATTTAGCTGGGCAGTCTGTTTATTCAAGATTTTTTTGTCTGCCCTTAATCCAGCCAGGAATTTAGGTCATGTATTCTTGTAATCTACCTTCTATTTTAGTGTGTGTGTTGGATGGGGAGGGGAGATAGATCTCCATGCTTGGGCTCAACATAGTTAATGGTGATTATTTTGGGTAGGGAATCTAGGTTAACTGCCTAGAATTTAACCACTTCAGATTCTTCTAGGTCTGCCCTACTTGAGAGAATGCCTGTCATGGAAAAAGTGACCACAAATGGCCCTACTGAGATTGTGCAGACAAATGGAGAGACAGAACCAGCTCCACTAGAGACCAAACCGCCACCCTCTGGGCCACAGCCCACCAGCCAGGTAGCCAGCCTTTCACTTGCTCATCTGGGGCTTCTTACGATTTTATAGTCCCTTACAGCTTGTCTCTTAGCTGAGTCCCTTTAATGTTCCTGGGTTGGTTGATGATTTCCTTCCTTATTTTTACATATTGAAAGAGCTTTGCATTAGATGTATACTAGACAAATCAAATAATAATGAATTGAGGTGTTGTTACCTTGTTTAGGCCAATGATTTATTGGATTTGTTGGGAGGAAATGACATAACACCTGTTATTCCAACTGCGCCTACAAGCAAACCATCTTCTGCTGGTGGAGAACTTCTTGATTTGCTGGGAGACATCAACCTTACAGGTGAGGCAGTCTGGAGCTATTTAATACCTGGGAAAAGATAGAGGCCTCAGGGAAAAACTAAACTGAACCCAGACTTTCCAGCACGTGAATCATTTGAAGATGGGAGAGGCTAAATCAGAAGCAAGAGTCAAATCTTCACAATATCCGGGTTATATGTTGTATACTAATAATGCTCTAAAGATAATTTATACGGATTTCTTAAAGGCAAACTCCTAATTTTGGGTGAATAAATTATTCATAGTGTTTTAAGATAGAAACTACTTTTCCTGGCTGGGCGCAGTGGCTCATGCCTGTAATCCCAGCACTTTGGGAGGCAGAGGCAGGTGGATCACCTGAGGTCAGGAGTTCTAGACCAGCCTGGCCAACATGGTGAAACGCCATCTCTACTAAAAATACAACAATTAGCCGGGTGAAGTGGTGCATGCCTATAATCCCAGCTACTCCGGAGGCTGAGGCAGGAGAATCGCTTGAACCTGAGAGACGGAGGTTGCAGTGAGCCGAGATCGCGCCAGTGTGTACTGCAGCCTGGGTGACAGAGCAAGACTCTGTCTCCAAAAAAAAAAAAAAAAAAACACACTTTCTCTTTCAAGCTCAAAAAATATATCCCGTATCACCTTTGCTTTTAGTGTCCCAAGACATGACTTCTTCTTGGTTCCTTCCCACTAATGGTTAGTTTTCAGTAGCTGTGGCCATTTGTGGAGAGATGTTAACCTGCTACTTACCTCTTCCCTTTCACACTTTCTGTAATTAAAGCAACTGAAGGGCAATCACTCATAATATTCAAACATAACTTTTCATTTGGGAATATTTTTTCTTCTGTTCATATATACCAGTCATTTGTAATTGACATGTTCAGCAATATGATAAACCCGAGTCCAATACAACTTTTATTTTTATTTTGAGATGGAGTCTTGCTCTGTTGCACAGGCTGGAGTGCAGTGGCACGATCTCGACTCACTGCAACCTCCGCCTCCCGGGTTCAAGCGATTCTTCTGCCTCAGCCTCCTGAGTAGCTGGGATCACAGGCACGCACCACCATGCCCTGGCTAATTTTCGTATTTTTAGTAGAGATGGGGTTTCTCCATGTTCGTCAGGCTGGTCCTGAACTCCTGACCTCATGATCCCCCTGCCTCGGCCTCCCAAAGTGCTGGGATTACAGGCGTGAGCCACTTCGCCTGGCCTTTTTTTTTTTTTTTTTGAGACAGAGTCTCACTCTGTCACCCAGGCTGGAGTGCAGTAGCATGATCTCGGCTCACTGCAGCCTCTGCAACCTGGGTTCAAGCAGGTCTCCTGCCTCAGCCTCCTGAATAGCTGGGATTACAGGCGCCTGCTACTGCGCCTGGCTAATTTTTGTAGTTTTAGGAGAGACAGGGTTTCACCATGTAGGCCAGGTTGGTCCCGACCTCGTGATCCACCCACCTCAGCCTCCCAAAGTGCTGGGATTACAGGTGTGAGCCACCACGCCTGGCCTACAACTTCTATCCTAAATTTCAGTGTAAAGTATAGCTGAAAGGTTAAAGTGTCTTTTTTTTTTTTTTTTTGAGACAGAGTCTCACTCTGTCAGCCAGGCTGGAGTGCAGTGGGATTATCTCGGCTCACTTCAACCTCTGCCTCCTGCGTTCAAGTGAGCCTCCTGCCTCAGCCTCCTGAGTAGCTGGGATTATAGGCGAATGCCACCATGCCCGGCTAATTTTTTGTATTTTTAGTAGAGACGGGGTTTTGCTGTCTTCTTTAAGAGGATAATGAAGAGTTAAAGCACACATGACCTTGAGTAAAAAATAGACATAGGATAACAAGTTGGATGGTTAGCTAAGCTCATTCCCACAGGCTGATTTTTTTTTTTCCTAATACAGTGGAGTCACAGAGTATAGGATTTATGTCTGTGTCTTAACAAAATTTCAAAATGTTACTTGTCATGTACTTATGAATCATTTACAAATGGTCAATTTCAAATCCTCAAATGTCAAAGCTGTACTGGATAACCGGCAAAGAAAAAACAACCCCACAGTTAAACCATAGCATATACTTCACCTAATATGTTAGTATTTCCATGTTAATATATATAGCCTTCATAATTATAATTTTAGGTGACTAATACTTTATCAACAAATTTGCTCTGTTTACTCAGTTCGTTAGTATTGGGTAGTTTGGCTTTTTTTTTTGGTTTTTTTGAAACGGAATCTTGCTTTGTTGCCCGGGCTGGAGTGCAACAGCACGATCTCGGCTCACTGCAACCTCTGCCTCCCGGGTTCAAGTGATTCTCCTGCCTCAGCCTCCCGAGTAGCTGGGATTTATAGGCACGTGCCACCATGCCCAGCTAATTTTTGTATTTTTTTATTAGAGATGGGGTTTCACCATGTTGGCCAGGCTGGTCTTGAACTCCTGACCTCAAATGATCCTCCCGCCTTGGCCTCCCAAAGTGCTGGGATTACAGGCATGAGTCACCGCACCCAGCCAGTATGGGGTATTTTGTTTCTAGATTTTTCTTACCTAGCGGCCTCAACAAATATTACATCAATTTGTTCTTATTTTAGATTAATTTGTTAGACTAAGTGACTTAGTCTTTCTGAATCTGGTTAAAATTAGGATGATTAATACTTACTCCATAAGATATTTGTGAGGCCCATTGACCTATTCAGTGCATGATACATAGTAGGCACTTGGTAAATATTATTTACCTTTTCCTCAATTTATATGTTTAACCGCACAGTCATAAGCATTGTATATTATCATTTTAAAAAGCCCTATTGGGTGAAAATTTGGTCCTATTATATTTTATTTTTATTATTATTTTTTAAATTTTGTAGCCCTCTGCCAGGCTTGGTCAGCAGAGAGAGGCCCTATTATTTTTTGATCACAGAGAATGTTTAATATTTATTCACATATTTGTATTATAGATGAGGTTCCTTTCTGAACATTCCTGTATCCTTAGCTCATTTATTGTGGAGTCTTTTCTTTTTGTTCCTACTGTCTTGTTTTCCTAGTGTTATATGTTAAAGCAAAATGATAAAATGTTAAAAAGTCTGGGTTTTCTTGCCTTATTCATAATGTGTTTTAAAGATGTTTTTCCACTTTTTACATTAAGTTTTAAAATTTTGAATTCTAGATTTCTTAATTTATCATTACAGTTTTACCCCATTATATAGAAATTTAAGTCAGTAGAAATTCAGAATAGATTTAACATGTGTTTTTAAAGGGTTTGGAGCAGTAAGTTTCTGCTCTTCTCCTAAACTACCTTGCTATACTTTTACAGGACAAAGAAAAGTGAAAATTTGAGGGAGTTGGGGACCTATATGCTGCCTGTATCTTGAGTAGCCTCTGATTTTCCATGAGAACACATTTCTAAAATTGTTTTGAAAATGGGAATTGGGGGAAATTTTCTCGATTTGATTTTTTAGACTAGGAGAACTGTATGAATATTTCTTTGTCTGCTTCATTGATAATCTGCTGGACTGCACAAATGGTGTTTGCATTTATTTTAGCTTCTCGTGCTTGCTTAGCCATCCGTATTTCTATTCTCTTTGCTAATTTTTAATATGTCATTTACTTGTTTTTGTTTTTGAGATGGTGTCTTGCTCTGTCACCCAGGCTGGAGTGCAATGGTGTGATCTTGGCTCACTGCAACCTTTGCCTCCCAGATTCAAGCGATTCTCCTGCCTCAGCCTCCCGAGTGGCTGGGACTATAGGCGCGTGCCACCACACCCGGCTAATTTTTGTATTTTTAGTAGAGATAGGGTTTCGCTGTGTTGGCCAGGCTGGTCTCAAACTCCTGACCTCAGGTGATCCACCCGCCTCGACCTCCCAAAGTGCTGGGATTACAGGCATGAGCCATCGCGCCCAGCCTGTCATTTACTTTTCTAGTATTCTTTAGTATCTTTTTTCCCCCTCATTCTTGCTGTCAATTTCTTAAAAAAAGATGATATTCTAGCCTTCCTTTATTTCATTGTGATAGTTCTTTTTTAAATGGCATATTTTCAGTTAATTTCACAAGTAGTTTGAAATCTATTTAAATATTAAATACATTCTCTTAATTTTACTGAATTTCCTTATGCTTCTTCTTCGAATCTTGATATCCCTCATGTTCTATGAATTATCTTCTATTGTATGATTGTCAAGTTGTTCTTATTTGGAAAGATTAAATAAGAATGGTAATCTATTTCTTTTTCCCACCCCACTTTATACCACCCCTCACAGGGTGCGTGTGTGTGTGTGAAAATTTTATTATACAGCATTTAACATCTACAAAATTTAATGAATGTTTTGATCTACCTAGTTTGTAAAATAAAATATTAAGAGGGTTGATGTTCTTTGTGTATTTCCCTCTCATCCCATTTCTTTTTGATTCCAGACGTAACTACTGTCTATCCTAAAGTAGTGTTTAACATTGGTGTTTGCCATTCCTGTGCATTTCTTGATATAGTATGTAGTATTATTTTGCCAATTTTTACCTTTTTAGACAAGGTATCCAACTGAATGTGTTCTTTTTTGCACCTTTTTTTGCTAAACATTGTAATTGTGAGAATGAGTTATGAATAATCCATGTTAAGTGTATTTCTAGTGAATTCACTTTTTACTGTTGTACATGTGTAGTATTTTAGTATATCAATATATCAGTTTACTTATTCATTATCAAGATGACAGACATTTTGGTTGTTTCCAGTATTTCACCATTAGGAGTGTTCCTGCTATGAATGCTTTTGGATGTATCTCCCAGTGAACACATGCAAGGATTAATTAAAAGCATTCCTAAGAAGGGGTAATCGGTTCTCAACTGGGGAAGATTTTGCCCTCCAGGGGTTGGCAGTGTCTGAAGATATTTTTGGTTGTTACAACTGGGAGGATGCTACCGTCTAATGCATAAAAGCCCAGGGGTGCTACTTAATATCCTACAATAAACAAGGCAGCCCCCTACAACAAAGAATTAGGAAGCCTAAAAGCTATTACTGTCAAGGTTGAGAAACCTCAGTTTAAGGATATACTGATGTTCAACTCTACTGTTGCCAAATTACTCTCTAGATTGGTTGTGCCAGTTTACCTTCCTATAGCAGAGCTTAAAATTTCCCATCGTTCCATCTTCTTGCCAACATCTGGAATTATCAGACATCGAAATTTTCACCATTCTGGTAGACATGAGGTAGTATCTCACTATAATTTTAAATTCCACTTCCATCATTACTGGTAAAATTGAGCATCTGTTTGTAAGATTCCCTTTTCATTCAGGTTTCCTCTTTTGTGACTTGCGTGTTTTTATATCTTGACACTTTTAAATTGGGTTATCTGTTTCTTATTGGTTTTATAGAAGACAGTTATCGTTTGGATACTTATCCATTCATTACTGTATAGCAAACATTTTCTCCTGTCTGTGGGCTCTCTCTCTTTACTTTTTTTTTTTTTTTTGCGACAGAGTCTCGCTCTGTCCCCCAGGCTGGAGTACAGTGGTGCAAGCTCACTGTAGCCTCAACTTTCCAGGCTCCAGTGATCCTCCCACTGCAGTCTCCCAAGTAGCTGGGACTACAGGCGCACACCACCATGCCTGGCTAATTTTTGTATTTTTTTTTGTAGAGACAGGGTCTCGCCATGTTGCTCAGACTGTACTTTTTCTTACAGTATTTTTTAATAAACAGAAGTTGCTCGTTTTAAAGTACTTGAGTTTTTAGTTCTTTCTCTTTGTGGTCTATGCTTTTTGCATCTTGTTTAAGGAATCTTTCCTTAACCTGAGACCGAAATAATTTTCCCTATAATTTCTTGGTAAGCTTTGTCATGCTGCCTAAGGTTAACTTTCCATTAAAATATTTCCTTTAGGTGCTCCAGCTGCTGCTCCTGCCCCTGCCTCAGTCCCACAGATATCCCAGCCCCCCTTCTTGTTGGATGGGCTTTCATCACAGCCTCTCTTCAATGATATTGCTGCAGGTACGATGACTGTTGTTACCATCATTACATGGAGCACTGAGTAATGAGATGTGGTTATTAAGAAAAAGAAGTAATAATTCTGCAAGCATTAGGCTGACTACAATAAGACTTATCTTCCTGTACTTTCTCAGGCATCCCCTCCATCACAGCATACAGTAAGAATGGCTTGAAGATAGAATTCACCTTTGAACGGTCAAATACCAACCCCAGTGTAACAGTGATAACGATACAGGCCTCCAACAGCACAGAGCTAGATATGACGGACTTTGTTTTCCAAGCTGCAGTACCAAAGGTACTACAATGTCTTCTTTAGATGTTTCCTTTGATTAAAGATTGGCTGGCTTTTTTTTTTCATGTGTTTGGTAAAGGATATGTTTTAATGTTTACAGATTAAATTTGTAGACTTAATTCAAACTAACAATAATGTAGCTTATGGTTCATGGAAGCATATCATTTTTAGTGAATAATTTTTACTAGGTTACAAGTATTCTGATGGTTAGCATTGTAGGATAAAGAAAAACAATTCTAATAGTAGTGAGAGCAGAATTCTACGAGGTGATCAGTTAATGCTCAGGGCATTGAGGATAGGTTAGGCTTTAGTAATACAGTGTTAAAGACCTAAAAACATAAAATATGGCATAGGATTAAAGTTAAGTAAGATGAGAGACTTTGTCTATCTGGTATTATCTTCTAGTTAACCAGATCAGAATTGAAATTTTTTCTCTCTTGATACATAAATGAGAGAAACATTCCTCCTTCGTTAACATCCAATTTATTATAGATACAGTAACTGTTTTTGTGAATCAAGGTTTGGTTTACACCAAATTTTAGTTTAAGGATATTTATGTTCATTTATGAATAGTGAAAAATCTTGAGGCCGGGTGCAGTGGCTCACGGCTGTAATCCCAGTACTTTGGGAGGCTGAGGCAGGCAGATCACTTGAGATCAGGAGTTCGAGAACCTGGCCAACATGGTGAAACTCCCGTCTCTACTAAAAGTACAAAAAAAAAAAAAAATTAGCCGGGCGTGATGGCAGGTTCCTCTAATCCCAGTTACTCGGGAGGCTGATGAGGCAGGAGAATTGCTTGAACCCAGGAGGCTGAGGATGCAGTGAGCTCAGATTATGCCACTGCACTCCAGCCTGGGTGACAGAGCGAGACTCCATCTCAAAACAAACAAACAAAGAGTTCTAAATAAAGAAAAGTTGAGAATGAGGAGTGGGTAGTTTTTCTTAAAAAGATGAGACAGTAAGTATTTTAGGCTGCTATCTGGTCTTTATTGGTACTCAGTTCTGCTCTTATAGTACAGAAACAGCTGTAGATGACATGTAAATGAATGAACATAGTTCTGTTCCAATAAAATGTTATTTGCAAAATCAGATGTTGGGCGATTCTTGGCCAGTGGGCCATAGTTTGCCAACCACTGGTTTAGACTAAGCTAACCTAATCTTGGCAGTGGCATGTGAAATATGGCATTTAGACATTCCGACAACACACTTGGACTTGGAAATTGAGGATGTTTTCTTTGTTTGTGGGTACTGCTGACTTTGCAGTCTTTTTTTATTTTTTCCCCATCCTCTGACTCTCATGCAACCCTCTTTGCTTACACTTTGTAGGAGCCAGAATAATTTAGATGTTTAAGAAGCAGTTAGCTGGACACGGTATCTCACGCCTGTAATCCCAGCAATTTGGGAGGCTGAGGCGGGTGGATCGCTTGAGCTCAGGAGTTTGAGACCAGCCTCAGCAACATGGTGAAACACCATCTTTACCAAAAATACAAAAAATTAGCCAGGTGCAATGGTGCGTGCCTGTGGTCCCAGCTACTCAGGAGGCTGAGGTGGGAGACTCACTTGAACCCAGGAGGTGGAAGTTGCAGTTAGCCAAGATCATGCCACTGCACTTTAGCCTGGGTGATAGAGTGAGACGCTGTCCAAAAAAAAGAAGAAAAAAAAGGGGAGCAGTAGTGTCAATTGGTGAAAGACCACTAATGAACTCTAGAGCCATTCTGTTTGGATTTTAGTAGTAGTTGTATGACATGAAGAAAGTCACTGAACCTCTATGCCTCAGTGTCTTCATTTGCAAAGAGGGTGGTGATAATGATAGCCACTTCCTAAGGTTGCTTAAAGGAATAAATAAGTTTTTTGAATCAGGCACTGTTTGAAGCACTTTTCATCTGTTCAGTGCTCAGTATATTTAGTTTCTTCAACTTAGGTTTTATACTTGTTACTTTAGGCTGCTGCTCTAGTGACTTATCACTTCTGCTATTAAAACATGACATTTTTGGTGGTGTACTGTACAGTGCAACATGATAATGTATTTTCAACTTAAAATGTCATATTTTGCTGGGCGCGGTGGCTCACGCCTGTAATCCCAGCACTTTGGGAGGCCGAGGCAGGCGGATCCCACGAGGTCAGGAGATTGAGACCATCCTGGCTAACACGGTGAAACCCCGTCTCTACTAAAAAAAAAAAAAAAAAAAAAATTAGCCGGGCGTGGTGGCGGGCGCCTGTAGTGTCAGCTACTTGGGAGGCTGAGGCGGGAGAATGGCGTGAGCCCGGGAGGTGGAGCTTGCAGTGAGCCGAGATCACCCCACTGGACTCCAGCCTGGGCAACAGAGCGAGACTCGTCTCAAAAAATAAATAAATAAATAAATAAATAAATAAATAAATAAATAAATAAATAATAAATTAGCCGGGCGTGGTGGCGGGCGCCTGTAGTCCCAGCTACTCAGGAGGCTGAGGCAGGAGAATGGCATGAACCTGGGAGATGGAGCTTGCAGTGAGCCGAGATCGCACCACTGCACTCCAGCCTGGGCGACAGAGCGAGACTCCATCTAAAAAAAAAAAAAAAGTCATATTTTATAGGTTCTACTATGTACTAATTTCGTGTTTTAATGTTTCTAAAATTAGGATACATTTAAAAATTGGTATCTTGTCATAATTCAGTGGGCAGCATGTTTTCTATCTCAGTGGTACATAAAATAATGGTGTGAATTACGATTGGTATCTTACATTTAATGAAATATGGTAGTAATGAATAATACTTTAGCTTACATAATTTTAATGTGGCAGAATTATGAATAAGACCATATATATATATATATATATATATATATATTTTTTTTTTTTTTTTTTTTGAGATGGAGTCTCACTCTGTCACCCAGGCAACCTCTGCCTCCTGGGTTCAAGCAAATCTCTTGCCTCAGCCTCCTGAGTAGCTGGGATTACAGGCATGCGCCACCATACCCAGCTAATTTTTGTATTTTTAGTAGAGATGGGGTTTTGCCATGTTGACCAGACTAATCTAGATCTCCTGACCTCAGGTGATCTGCCCGCCTTGGCCTCCCAAAGTGCTGGGAATACCGTGCCCAGCCCCCAGTGTAATATATCTGTACATTGAGAGTGAATCTTCACTCTTGCAACTTTTGGCCCTAGAGAAGACTAGTGTCTCTCTCTCTCAAATATTTTAGAAGTTTAATCTACTTTTAGGAAAGATTTTCAAATGCTAGTTCATACAATAGCTACGTAGTACAGTATGGTTTACCTAGCTTGCCCTATATAGCACTTTTTTTTTTTTTTTGAGACGGAGTCTTGCTCTGTTGCCCAGGCTGGAGTGCAGTGGCACAGTCTCGGCTCACCACAACCTCCTGGGTTCAAGCGATTCTCCTGCCTCAGCCTCCCGAGTAGCTGGGACTACAGGCATGTGCCACCATGCCCAGCTAATTTTTGTATTTTTAGTAGAGACGGGGTTTCACTGTGTTGGCCAGGCTGGTCTCGAACTCCTGACCTCGTGATCCGCTCGCCTTGACCTCCCAAAGTGCTGGGATTACAGGCTTGAGCCACCACACCCAGCCAGCACTTTCAACTCTTATTTCTATAAGCAAGCAAATAAACCCCACCAGCATTCAACAAATTAATACTGTTTGGCTTATCTAGGTCTTTTGCTGTATAGGCTGGTTCTGCAAGTCTTTCCGTTCCTTCTGTCATGTGGAGAGGAGGCTCTGACACATTATAGATTATGCAGGCTTTAAAAAACAAAAGTTCAAGTCTCTGCATCCCAGTTATCCAATCACACAAAAGCCTAAAAGCTTATAGTTGGTGACCAGTATGTTGGTTTGCTATTTTTGGGAAGCTTTTCTTTTCATTTCTTTCTGGCTGTTTTTTAAGCCAAAAGCACCGATATTTTACTTGCATAGTTGATCAGTTACCATTAAGTGAAGTTGCCAGAAGAAGAATTGGTCAGCTTTTGAAAAGAGGTAGGCTAGAATTCCTTCTGCCAGAAAGGAGAATGTGGTTTATTACTAGTTGTCATGATCAAAGAACCGAACAGTGGATTTTTACAAATACCACAGGGAGTCAACTCACGTGCTGTGAATTCCTGATATCTAGAAAACAAGTAGTAGGCAAAACTTAGTAGTAGTGAAATCTGTTGCTTGACCCATCATCTGGGTGTCTAAATGGTTTTTGGTATCTCTGACCTAGCGTTGTGTAATTCTTTTTCTGAAGAGTGCCCTTTGTTCCCCCCTAGACATTCCAGCTGCAGCTCTTGTCTCCTAGCAGCAGCATTGTCCCAGCATTTAACACGGGGACCATCACACAAGTCATTAAAGTTCTGAACCCTCAGAAGGTGAGTAGCACATTTGTAGCCAATATCTGAGCCGAAGTGTAAGCATATTTCCCGAAATAAAATTCTGCTTTGTTTCTTTAGGTTTTTCTGACTCATAGTTAGAGAAGAGATCAATGAAAATGCCTGGTCTAACTTCCTTGCTCTTTTGTAAATAACAAATGGAACCCAGAGACATCAGGTGGCTTAGTGGCATCTTATTAAAATGCAACTTCAAAAAAAGCTAGATTAAAGGTCTGGTTTTTGGGGGTAGGGGAGAAGCTTAGACATTTTAATTTATACACAAGTTGAAATCTGAGGTAAGAGCATTTGTTGAAACCAAATACCTACATTTACTGCTACAGTTATTAAGTATGAATAGAAAAATAGAGGCATTTTAAATGAAGCAGCCAAATGAAAAATAGCTTTAGAAACTGAAATTAAGCAATATTTTTATTATCTCTTCTCAAAGAAATAAGCTCACCTTAATAGTAATCAGTTGGTTTTCAGTTTTTGAAAATGGTTCAGAGAATTTCTTTAATAGAGCTCTACTAGTTGCTCATAAGTAACAGTATACTTTCTTTCTCTTGTAACACTTGCCTTTCCTCTGCTATTCACTATATTTTGAGCATCGGCCTCTATAGTACAAGCACAAACTCCTTTGACCATCTGATACAGAGAGTAAAAAATGTCTTAGTGCATTTGTATTTGAAATCTGCCATACAAAAAGTGTCTAATTGAGTTCTCTTAAAACTACTGCTGTTACCTGTGAGTTAAGTCATTTTTTAAAATTTTATGCTTTAGGAACAAAAGGTCATGTTCACATTTACTGTAGGTTTTTCAGATAAAGCAACAGTGTATCTGAATGGAGAGCGTACGATGAGTATATGTTCACCTCATTTTTTAAGAGACTTGGATACAAGGTTTGAATCTTTTTGAAAAGGACTCAGCAAAATGTTACTAGGAGAATGCTCCATGGTGGCTCACGCCTGTAATGCCAGCATTTTAGGAGGCTGAGGTGGGTGTATTATCTGAGGTCAGGAGTTGAAGACCAGCCTGGCCAACATGGTGAAACCCCGTCTCTACTAAAAATAAAAATATTAGTCTGGTGTGGCGGTGAGCCAAGATTGTGCCACTGCACTCCAGCCTGGGCAATAAGAACAAAACCCTGTTTCAAAAGAAAAGAAAAGAAAAAATGCTCCCAAGGAGTTCTGTCCTTTTAATGCAGTTCAAGGATTAAAGCTAACCGTGTATTCTGCAGATGCGCTTTCTCAACTTGGTGGCATGACATTGTTAGCTTCTTGGCTCAAGCCTAGAGTACTGGGTGTTTTTTGTTGTTGTTTACCTGTCATTCTTAACAGACAGCTTTGCTTTAAGTTTTGACCTCTAAGATTAAAAGTCTATTTGTGGACCGGACAGATTCTGGAGATTTCATTTCAGTATATAATTTGCACTTCTCTTTTCCTCTTATAGCAACAGCTGCGAATGCGGATCAAGCTTACATATAATCACAAGGGCTCAGCAATGCAAGATCTAGCAGAGGTGAACAACTTTCCCCCTCAGTCCTGGCAATGAGGGTTTGGCACCATTCTCATTCTTTATCCCACTCAATCAAAGGAACTCTGGGAAGGAGGTTGTGATTGCTGGCAAGTCCCCCCCAACTGTACCACGGGCATGAGGAGCTGAAGAGAACTGCTGAGGAGGATTTTCCTAAAGTTACTGCTGACCTTGAAGCATTGTTAAAGACTAATGTCCTCTCCTCCACTGTTGAGGCTGGCTGCTTCTGGAGGCTACTTTGCACTCTTCCTCTTCTCCTTTTTCCGCACTTCTCCACCCCTCCCACATTTACAGCCAGAATCAACATTCCCTGGGCCCCTGAGGAAATAAGCAGCTGGTCTGGAGGAGAGGACTGCAATCCATGGCGAAAAAACACTCACTTTGTCTCTGCAGCAAAGAGTTGCCCCTTCTTTCTACTGTTGTTTCTCTGTGGACTGGGCAAGGTGGGGTATTTATTCCTCACTAGCTGGGTTACCATCTTCAGGCACTTTTAACATCTGGCATTCGGAATGGAAATGTAATAATGGACATTAGGGAGCCCTGCCTTTTTCTACTGGTTCCCCCAATGTT
Organism: Homo sapiens; assembly: GCF_000001405.40. Classification (NCBI taxonomy): domain Eukaryota; kingdom Metazoa; phylum Chordata; class Mammalia; order Primates; family Hominidae; genus Homo; species Homo sapiens. The sequence goes on along the minus strand of NC_000016.10, from coordinate 71,732,505 downwards.
TGAAAGAGGCATTAGGCTCCTGGTAGCCTTTTCTGTGCATTGCTGTATACACACAGACACACACATGTATGTTTGTTACCAAGAACTGGTCAGACCTTGCGAGTTTATTTGTAAACACTGGACAGATGGAGTTAAAAAGAGCTTTTGTTGAGATTTGGCATGAAGGATATGGTGCTCTATTTGTAATAGAAACTTCCAAGGCTCTTCCAGCTCCCCTTTCTCGCCATTCTTTAGCTGTAGTCATGAATAGTCTCCATGATTTTCAAAATTGATTCCCTTTAAAGTGCAAAATGGTCACCTTCTAAAAGATATATTCATAGTTATTAATGACCCTATTCCCACCACAAATTTTAAAGTGCTCCTAAGCCCATAACTTGCCTGTTTGAACTATGGTAATGGGTGGAAGAGGAGTTCACCAGTTTCAAAGATCAGACTCTGTATCAAAAGTACCTTTGCCCTTAGGAAGAGTGAGTATTGGAGTCATCTTATCTATTACTCCAAACCTCCCTTTTTATTTCTTGAGCCTGGCTTGGACCTTGGCATTCCGTTTGAATTCCTTCTAACTGGAACATTTGTGTTGTATCTGTAACACTGGCACTGAAATAAAGACCACACGGTTAAAGAAATCTTTCCATATTGTACTTTATGGTGTTGGAGTGAAGCCTTGTAGCTTCCATACCCCTATGTCAGAGGAGGTCTTACGGACACCATAGGGTAGGAATAGCCTTTCCTCAGTCTGAGAAATTGGTCTCTTTTAAAAGACGAATCTCATGAATATTCACATCAAAGACTTGAGCTTTTTAAACTAGTGAGAGTGCCAAGTGCTTTTTAGAAAGGACCCATATGTTATCAAACTTTGAAATTGAGTTGCTGGAATGAAGTAGAGGTGACTCTCTCTGTGGTACACATTGAATGTACTATGTATGTTCAAGTATTCAGGCGCCATGTCTTATATACTGAAGAAAGAAAAAGTGAGGCCCACCTTGCTCTTACAATGTTTGCAATTGTTACTGTATTGAATACAGTATAATGACTACTATGGCTTCAATCTTAAACCTGGAAACAAATATCCCTTTTTTTCCCCTTCATTTCACCAAGCCTTTACTTAAAATCTTCAGTGTCTTGTCAAATCTAGCTCTGTATCAGATGCTGGAATATTCCTAACATTTGACAAACTGGAGTTGAACTAAAGGCTCCACGGGAAAGTTTCTGGTCTTACTAGTGTGTATGAGCAAGATCTGCTAAAACTTACTCCACTGGGTAAATGGTTGACTGAGTCAAGAACAGGATAATATCTCCTGCATAGTTTTCAGTAATGTAAGTGTGGACTAGTGCATATTTCAGACAACTGCTCTGCCTGTGCAATGAAAAATAGCCTTTAAGGGTTTCTTTGCAGACTGATTTCATTGGATGGATACTTAATGCTGTGAAACATGATAGGATTAACATAATGTTGGTGGATTTCTTGAATAGAATTTGTCTTAACATTCCTCTTTGTGTAGAGGCTTTATTTTCTCTCTTATATTTGTAGCTAACCAGCTCAGGTTTTTTTATTTGAACTGGGTTGAATCTCTGAAGAAATCTGTTCAAGACCATGCTATAAGACACTGTCAGCTAATGGAGCTGGGAAGGGTCTACTCTGCTGACAGAGCATTTCCTTGGGTGATCATAGTTTCGAGGTAGAGTTTATGATCATTCATAGCTTTGTCTAGAAGGAGTAAAATATCATGGCCTTAACACAAAGGGTGCTGCGTAGAATATGAATTGATTTTGGAATCAGAACACAAGCACCATACTGAAGGACTAGCAGCCAAATAACTGCCTAGGATACTGATGGTTGTGAAGACTGTTTCAAATGATTGGATCTTTGAAAGCTTCAGCGTGCCTTAGTTTCTAGGATCAGAATTAGTTTTCCTCTCACTTGGCCTTGCAGCTAAATGGAGAAATGTTTCAATTTCTTTGAATACTTGCACATTTCAATAATTCCTTTCCCGAGTATAACCACTCAAGGGGGAGCAAATTTGGATGGATTTACGACTTCACAGGCATTGTGAGGAAAGAGCATTTTCCAAGGCTGTTTTGATAACCCTGGGGTGATAAGCAGTGAGCCCTCACACACTTACTTTGACAATTTCACATGCACTTGTACTTCATTATTTCCCTCTTCAAGAGTCGTTTCTATTCTAGTTTCTGCCCCATCCCGGGGAATCCTAAAGGAGAATTAATTCATCTAAGTAATCTCAAAAAACTGTAGGAAGGGTGCTCTCCCTGAGAAGCTTCTCCCACAGTGCTTTGGTGCTGTTACCTTGAGGTGGTTTGGACAGTCACGGAAGTTTTAGGCTGTGCATAGTGATCATCTGTTAATTTTAAGGTCTTTATCATTTAAAGAAACATTCCTCAGTGTAACATTTGGGAGGGGATTCTTTCCTCTTGCTAGTTTAAAGGTGTGATTTGTACTCCTTGTTTGTCCCATTCATATATGAAAATAGACTTTTAAAACTGTCCAACACTAATGGTTTATATAACATGCTTCCCATTTTTTTTATGTCGTAGAAATTGGAAGTTAGGGAGTACTGCTTTCAAGGTTCAACTTCATTATCTTCTGCATTGGAAAATATTTGGGCCATGAGAACTAGGGGAAAGGAGTTTGAATGTGTCTATTTTTTTCTAGTGAATGTATTTTAACCACAGTGTCCTAAACTGAGAAAACTAGAGAGGAAAAAGTGGGTGTTCATGAACTTTGTAGTTGGGAGAGTGGTTTTACATGTCTGTGTATTCATGACTTTGGGAGTGGGTAGGATCATTGGAGAGAGAATTGCACAGAAAGTCCTGAAGTTTAAAACACTTTTGACCAGCTTTGGCTCGGGAGAGTGGGGCTGCTTGTAGAACTGGAAGTGAATAACTTTTTCAAGCAATATCAGTGAGTGGGTCCCATCGACAGGGTTCCAGGACCTGGAACACTTTAACAGAAGGAAATGCCGAAGCAGCTTGCACAGTTGCTTTACAGACTTCCAAGAGGCTGATTCTGGCTTCAAGATGGAGCCTTGGAGTTGGTTTTTTTTTTTTTTTTTTTCTTCCCTCAAAGAACCTGCGGTTGCGCTTTGTGTGTTTTGTTTTTGTTTTCCATTTGGGGGCCCCATGGGAAAGAGCTTCTGAACTCTTTCCTTTATGAACTCCCACTGTGTTCCTATAAAGGCCCTTTTCTTTCTTAGTGTTGTAAGTTACATTTTCATTATGCCCCATCACATCTTCTTTACTGTAAAAATATTAAAAAGCTGTTTCCAAGTGGGACAGCTAATGAAGCTCTAATTATTGCAGACATATTTTTGAGATGTAAAAAAAAAAATTTAAAGTTAAATGATAAGTCTTAGAGGCGAGTGAGGAATAAAATGGATGTAAACATTTACATGGGATGCATTAGAATTCTGCTGTGTGTACTGTCTTTTGGTTGAAACAAATTATGAACAGTGACTAATAATAAAAAGTCAATACCCAATGATTTAAAATTTGCTTCCTTGCTTCTTACAATTGGATTAGAAGACTTAGATGAATTCTTATTCCAGAGGTTGAGCTAACTTACTGACCTGTTAGTATTCCTTTCACACATAAGTCTCACCAAGAGAGGAATTTGAATCACTTAAAAACTTGTAGCCAGGCGCGGTGGCTCACGCCTGTAATCCCAGCACTTTGGGAGGCCGAGGTGGGCGGATCACCTGAGGTTGGGAGTTAGAGACCAGCCTGACCAACATGGAGAATCCCTGTCTCTACTAAAAATACAAAATCAGCCACGTGTGGTGGCGCATGCCTGTAATCCCAGCTACTCGGGAGGCTGAGGCAGGAGAATTGCTTGACCACAGGAAGCGGAGGTTACAGTGAGCCGAGATCACGCCATTGCACTCCAGCCTGGGGTGACAAGAGTGAAACTTCATCTCAAAAACAACAACAACAACAAACTTGTGTTATAGACAGTAAAAAAGTCCTAAGTGCAATTGGACATTTTAACTATAATATGATTAATTTCATGCTTAATCTCCATAGGTCAATTCTCAAGGCAGAGAAACCAAGATGAAATGTATATTAAGGGTGGTTATGGGTTTTCTTTATAAGCTGCTTTTTGTGAATTTTTCAAGTGTATCTGTGACTGGGCAGAGGAAGGCTTGACCAGTCAAAATGAGTTATATTTCATGGTCTATTTTATATGAACTGTGTATTTTGTATATATTAACTTTTGTAGGGATGTGGTCTTGCTATGTTGCCTAGGCTGGTCTTGAACTCTTGGCCTCAAGCAATCCTCTTGCCTCAACTTCCCAAAGTGCGGGGATTACAGGCGTAAGCCACCGCACCTGGCTTGTCTTTTTTTAAGACAGAGTCTCGCTGTGTCACCCAGCTGGAGTGCAGTGGTGCGGTCACTGATCACTTCAGCTTTGACTGCCCTGGTTCAGGCAGTCCTCCCACCTCAGCCGTTCTAGTAGCTGGGACTACTGGCATGCACCACCATGCCTGGCTAATTTTTGTATTTTTTTTTTTCCTTTGGTAGAGACAGGGTCTCACTATGTTGCCCAAGCTAGTCTCAAACTCCTGGGCTCAAGTGATCCACTAGCCTCTGCCTCCCAAAGTTCTGGGATTACAGGCGTGAGTCACTGTGCCTGGCTGTCAACTCTGTGTTTTGGAGGTTGGTAGCTTTAGGTTTTCTGTTATTCTGATGATCCCTGACAGTCCCTTGATTGAGAAAGGGGAGAGTGTGATAGTCCCGATTGAAAAGGGGAAGGGTGTAGGCCCTGGCAGTTATCTAGTTTATGCAGAAGTGCCCTTTGGTACTGTTTGATAAGCAACATTTCTATAATCTTATGTATGAGTTAGTTAAAATTCATAGTTGTTTCTAATATTAAATTTAGTTGGCACCTTCATGTAATTAGAGGAAAATAGAAAAGTTTAGCCAGTAATAGACATTTAACAATACAACAAATAGTATTCAGATCTGAATTTCAATTCAGAAGCACCAAATTAATTTTTATCACTTTTAAGGGTTTTCTATCCTATGTCTTCAATTGTCAATTCAATTGTCCCCATATTTGAAAAATATCAAAATGTTCACAGAAAAATTCTCCAAACTTTGAAGCTAGGTAAACACTGCCTGTTTATTTGGAACCAAAATTAGGAATATCCAAATCTGCTTAACCTATTGGTAGAATAACAAGGGATTTAGGCCCAAAGATGACTTTGTGGATCACTGGAGTGCGTACTAGATATAAATAAGTAAATATAAGTCTCATCTGCTTCCTCTCCCAACATCTGATAGGCATGAGCTTCCCTTCTCCAGACTTCCCATTTTGTAGTGAAGATCTGGAAAAGCTCCTGGCATAAAGAAGGTGTGTGCGTGTGTACATACCAGAGAGGGGAAGCACAGCTGCTACAGGAAGGAGACAGAAAGGAGAGATCATGATGACTTCTCTGTCTCTTGGTTTGAGCTAAACAGTGATTTTTGTAATGATGAACCTGCAGTGAGGGCAGATGGATTTTCGCACAAAAAAAATCCCAGAGGAATTTATTTTTAGGGTTAGTCTCAGCTGTTTACCATTTCCAGAAATTGTAGTTACATAACCCTTGGCATACATAATGCACAGTGCCTTGAACTGGGGGAGAACATCAATATGTGACCTTTGAAACAAAGTATAAAATGTTAATGGCACTACATGATTTGAAAAAAATCAACTGGTTGTCACTACTGAATTGGATCTTAAATCATGGGAACCATTAAAGGTAGTTACATCATAAATTAGCCCCTGAAACTTTTGGGCGGATGGGTTTTTTTTTTTATGTTTTCCCTTTTGAAAGAGGAACTACTGTTGCCAGAATGAAGAAGTAAATAGCAATGCTTATGCCTACTATCCCTTTAATTAAACAATTATTCACCACTGCTGTTCCCCAGCATGAGCTGAAACTTTAGTTCTGCAACAAGATCTTTCCTTTTTGTGTAGTCAGTCAATAAAGAGCTTCTACTCATGAAATCTGGAAAAGGTAATGTATAATGCCTCAAGAAACAGACTCTTACAGCCAGGTGTGGTGGCTCACACCTGTAATCCCAGCATTTTGGGAGGCTGAAGTGGGCGGATGGCTTGAGCTCAGGAGTTCGAGACCAGCTTGGACAATATGGTGAAGCCCCATCTCTACAAAAAAAATGCAAAAAGTAGCCAAGCGTAGGGTGGTGCTCACTTGTGGTCCCAGCTACTGGGAGGCTGAGGTGGCATGATCACCTTAGCCCATGGAGGTTGAACCTGCAGTGAGCTATGATTGTGTCCATACCGTACTCCAGCCTGAGCAACAAAGCGAGACCCTGTCTCAAAAATAAAAAAAATATAAAAGGCTTTTGAAAAACACTTTTTTTTTTCCTTGAGACAAGAGTCTCCCTCTGTCACCCAGACTGCAGTGCAGTGGCGCGATATCTCGGCTCACTGCAACCTCCACCTCCCAAGTTCAAGTGATTCTCCTGCCTCAGCCTCCTGAGTAGCTGGGCCTACAGGCTCGTGCCCCCACACTGCCTAATTTTTGTATTTTTAGTAGAGATGGGGTTTTGCCATGTTGGCCAGGCTGGGTTCAAACTCCTGACCTCAGGTGATCTGCCCGTCTTGGCCTCCCAAAGTGCTGAATTACAGGCATGAGCCACTGCACCCAGCCAGAAACACTTGTTCTAAACCACATTTTTTTCTTATCACTGCTTGCCTGCCCTTGTTAAAATTTGCTTCTGTCTCCATATTGGTGCCTATTGCTTATATACCAGTTTTCTTGTTGGGAGAAATTACCCAGTAAGCACTGAAATGGGAATCCAACTACTTTGAGTACCTTTCCTGAAAATAATTTCAAGGTGGAAGGAAAATCCAGGAGGTGGATGACCTAAGAGTTTTCTCCCACCTTAAACCAGACTCACAGTGACAAATCGTTTTTAATGCATTAAAATGAGGCCAAGAAATGAAGATTACTGGAGATTGGAATTTTGGTATATACAAAGCTAACTTGTGAAGGGAGAAAGTAGGTCAGAAAGGGGTCGGAACCTGCAAGAGCCAAATTTGGTCCTGGCATTTAAAATATCTCCAAATGGATACATATCTCAGATGGGGGACACAGACTGCTCTGTTAAATCTAAAAGTCTTGTACTAAGCCTGCAATTATTCTAGACATACAGTTAGTCTGAATGAGGCAAACTGAAGCAATGGATAATAGGGACAAAGGGTCCTGCTTTGTCACCCAGGCTGGAGTGCAGTGGCACGATCTCGTCTCACTGCAACCTCCGCCTCCCGGGTTCAAGCGATTCTCCTGCCTCCACCTCCCAAGTGGCTGGGATTACAGGCGTGCGCCACCCTGCCCAGCTCATTTTTTTGTATTTTTGGTATAGACAGGGTTTCGCTATGTTGGTCAGGCTGGTCTCGGACTCCTGGCCTCAAGTAATCTGCCTGCCTTGGCTTCCCAAAGTACTGGAATTACAGTTCTATGAAAGTGAAGAAATTACTGTTTTTTGCTGTCTAATTCCTTACAAGTTGCTTGAAGATTCAACACCCTATGTATGAGGGGAAGCCCTAAAAATCTGGAAGTCTAGAAGCCTTCCTAGGAAAATTTAGGAGGAATCGACAGAGTACTTTTCGAGAAACCGATTGGATCTTCAATTTAGAATTTTGGAATTATAATGGCTACTATGGATCCCCACTATACGTTAGGCACTTTGTATGCACTAAATCTTCATCATAACTACTTGGCAGATTTTAATCTCTTTCTCACAGCTTAAGAACGAAAGGCTTAGATCAAGTAACTTGCACAGGGGTATAGATCTAAAGAAGGGCAGAGGGGAGATCTGGAAACAGGCTGGCTGACTCCAAATTTGGCCCATTGGCAACAAAACTACTATCACTGCGAGAACGAAAAGAAAAACAAAACAAAGAAAAGAAAAGAAGTTAACTTTTAAAAGTTTTTTTCTGAATCAGCCTTGCAAATAAATCATAAACCGGGTCACAGGCCATATTACTGCTTGAAGCAGAGCACCGAATTCTGATAATTTTGCTCCAGGAGGAGGCAAGGGAATTAAAACATGGCTGGGAGGTGAGCGGACGTTTTGTACGAGGTTGGGTTGAATTTGCTTAAGAAGGTCGCACGCATCTCTGATAAGGAAGAGAAAAGGCCTTGCCAAGGTGAGTATTCTCAACAGTTCGTTCAACGGCTTGGCAGGTGAGGGAAGTTACAAGAGCCACCCTGGCGGAGGGCAGCGTCTTGTCACAATTGACAGGTGCCGGCGCCACCTGCTTCTTTCTCCCGCGGGTTTCTTAGAGGGCGGGGAAAGCAGCAAATACCCCTCCTTGCGCTCTAGTCCTCCAAGCCTAGGGCGGCGGGCAGTGGAGGCCCAGCGCTCTGCGGTGGTGCCAGGTTCCGCCACGCGGGCCGCGGCCGGAATGCGGCTCGGTGGCGCCCGGGCCACTCGGCGCCGGCAGCTGCTTAGGTCCAGCGGGGCTGCGGGAGGGGCGGAGCTGGCGAGCCGCCGGAGGGGCGGAGCCGGCGGGCCGCGGGGGGCGGGGCCACCGGTTGCTCGCGCGCGCCGCCGAGGCTCCGCACGCCGTCGCGCGGGCCGGGCGTCTCTGTGAATCCTGGGTCGCCGATGGGGGAGGTGGAGCCGGGGCCCGCGGGCCCGCTGGAGCCCCCGGAGCCGCCCGAAGCGCCCGCGAGCCGCCGGCCGGGAGGGATCCGGGTCCTGAAGGTGAGGAGGCGGATGGACCAGCGAGCGAGCGAGCGGGCGAGCGGGCAAGCGGACTAGGGAGGGAACGAGGGAGGCTAGAGGCCGCTGCCGCCCCCGCCCCGCGCAGTGGCTGAGGCAGTCGGCGGCCCCCGCCCGGCGTCAGTCAGTCGGCCGCCCCACACCCGGCTGGGGACGCCGAGGCCTCCGCGCCGCGCCCGCGTCCAGGCCTCGGCGCCTCGGTACCCCGCTGCTGCCCATCCCTGGCCGCGCGCCGCCCGCCTCGCAGGCCCACGCCTTTGGGCTGCGGGTAGCCGCCGCCCACCCGGACCCTTCGCCGCCCCTGCTTGCCTCGCCGCGCTCGGGGCCCGGAGGCCGGCTCCGGAGGGCTCGGAGGGCCGCCGGTTCCTGGCACAGGAGCGGGGCTGGAAGTACGCAGGGCTTTCTCCCCTCCCGGACACCTGAAGACATCACCCCAGCGGGAGGATGGCAGCGGCGATTGGCCGGCGCCGCGGAGGGTTCGGGGCCAGGCCGGGTGGAGCCGGCTCCTCTGCCCTCGGGGCTCGCTACCCGAGGTGCCAGCCGGCAAGGACGACCCGCCCAGCTTGGAGAGAGAATCCCCGCTGGAGCTGCGTCGCGGGGACTTGCTGGGCGTGTTGCGGAAGGGAGGAGGGGCCGGGCCGAAAGGGGCATTCCTGCTCCCGGGAGCGGGGCCGACTGCCGAGGGAGACGGAATGGGGGAGCCGTTATGCAACAGGCAGCTAGCGGGGCTTCTTGGCAGGAATTGGGGGAGTGGGAGGATATGAAAACAGATGTAGGCAAGAGGGGAGTGGAACCTTGAAGGTGATGAGAAGTAAGTTTACGAAGGAATGCACAAGGTAGGGTGGCGATAGTGGGGAGGAGAAGATGGTTAAAGGGAGGGGTTGTGGGAGGCTGACTGGGTGGAGTTTTTTACTAGCATTTGAAAGAGTTGCAGAGAAATTTTTCTGTAGGTCAAATACGTAAACTAGGTGTCCTTCCGCAGGTGGAATGGAATTCCTTCTAGAGTTCTACATGAGGAATTCAGGATATGAAACTTGCCCAGTAGAAGGATGGAAAGGAAAGAAAATTTAAATTTGATGTGTTTCAAAAATACATTGCAAAACAAAACGTATGATGTTAAAAATCCTTTAGTAGTTTATTGGGATTGAGGTTCAGCAGTATTTACATGTTATGAAGGTTAGTACGATGTTACAAAGATGGGAACACGGAAAAACAATAATAGAACCCAGTGAATCCATGGAACAACGTAAACTAGAACTCTGTAAAATATAAAACATTTTTTGTGCTACTGCCTCTCAGTTTTTTTTCTTTTTATTTATTTTTTGAGACAGGGTCTCACTCTGTCACCCAAGCCTGAGTGCAGTGACTCGATCTCTGCAACCTCTGCCTCCAGGGTTCAAGCGATTCTCCTGCCTCAGCCTCTTGAGTAGCTAGGATCACGGGCACCCGCCACCACACCCCACTGATTTTTTTGTATTTTTAGTAGAGACAGGGTTGCGCTATGTTTCCCAGGCTGGTCTTGAACTCCTGATCTCCAGTGATCCGCCCGCCTTGGCCTCCCGAAGTGTTGGAATTACAAGGATGAGCCACCACGCCCGGCCTCATACAGTTTTGTTAAGTAGCTGAGTGGTTGAATTGTGCCAAGTGATGCTGGAAAAGAAGTATTACAGTAGAATACTCTGAATTGGGAAGAGTCATCTCCCACTCATTTTTCTCTGAAGACCCTTCCAAAACTTCATTCTTTTTTGTAACTCTTTTATACCTAATACCAAATCATGAACATTATTGTCAGATAATACAGATATTCTTCAAAAGGCTAATATAACTAAGCCAGTCTAACTTAGCCAGACTAGATCCAGTTCCATCTATCCTGGGATACTGGAAAATTTCCTTCAAAATGTGCCCCCAGATTTATTTAGCGAATTGCTGGACCATAGGTTTGTAAATTTTCCAGGTGTTTCCTACAATTTGGGGTTTATGGTTTTTTTTTAGTAATGATTAACTTTTTTACTCAGCTTATAGAAGATAGGAAGTTACAGCTAATGTCGGTGTGTGTCATGAGATTCATTTTTTTTTTTTCAAGAACAGTTTTGGGTGTTTAGCAAAGTATGTATAAACAATTAATGCCAAAAAAAATTTAAAAAGATTTTTTTTTAGAGACATAGCTTCATTGTGTAGCCCACGCTGGAGTGCAGTGGTGTGATCATAGCTCACTGCAGGTTCAAACTCCTGAGCTCAAGTACCTCAGCCTCTCAAGTAGCTAGGACTATAGGCACATGCCTGGCTAATTTTTATTTTTATTTTTGTAGAGATGGGGTCTTGCTATGTTGATCTCAAACTCCTGGCCTCAAGTGATCCTCTTAACCTTGGGCTCCGAAAGCACTGGAATTACAGGCATGAGCCACTGCACCCAGCCCAAAACGTTATTATTGTTATTATTTTTTTGAGGCAGAGCCTCTCTCTTGCCCAGGCTAGAATGCAGTGGCGCGATCATGGCTCAAGTGATCCTCCTGCCTTAGCTTCCTGAGTAGCTGGGATCATAGGCACGTTTTTTTTTTTGTTTGTTTGTTTTGTTTTTTTAGTAGAGATGAGGTCTTACCTTGTTGCCTAGGCTGGCCTTCAACTCCTGGGCTTAAAGGCTGTCCCTCCTCGGCATCCCAAAGTGCTGGGATTACAGGCATGAGCCACCGCACCCAGCCCCAAAACATTTTTAAAGCGCTGACATATTCTTTCTCTATCTCATCCCATCCCTCCCCACCGCTTTCACAATATTTAATAACGTGTGTATTCCCAGATATGAGTCTATATTGTTTTAAAGTTTTGAATGCAGAAACATCTTCTACCTAAGAGTATTTCACATTGTTTTTTTTTTTTTCGTCTTTTGTTTTTTTTTCCGAGGTGGAGTTTCGCTCTTGTTGCCCATGCTGGAGTGCAATGGCACGATCTTGGCTCACCGCCTCCCGGGTTCAAGCGATTCTCCTGCCTCAGCCTCTCGTGTAGCTGGGATTACAGGCATGTGCCACTACGCCTGGCTAATTTTGTATTTTTAGTAGAGACAGGGTTTCTCTATGTTGGTCAGGCTGGTGTTGAAGTCCTGGCCTCAGGTGATCCGCCTGCCTCAGCCTGCCAAAGTGCTGGGATTACAGGCATGAGCCACCGCACCCGGCCGTATTTCACATTCTTGCAGAACTAACTGAATATGGAGAGTTACTTTACCAGACCCTGTTTATACCATGTATATCTTATTATTGTATGTGAGTGTGTAATAGTATATCACCTTTGAACTGATCATTGCCCTCATGGAACACTTTTAGAGTTAAAAGTATAAAACTGGGCTGGGCACAGTGGCTAACTACTATAATCCCAACACTTTGGGAGGCCGAGGCGGGTGGATCATTTGAGGCCAAGAGTTCAAGACCAGCCTGGCCAACATAGTGAAACCCCGTCTCTGCTAAAAATATTTTTAAAAATTAGCTGGGCGTGGCCAGGCGCGGTGGCTCACGCCTGTAATCCCAGCACTTTGGGAGGCCGAGGCTGGTGGATCACGAGGTCAGGAGATCGAGACCATCCTGGCTAACACAGTGAAACCCCGTCTCTACTAAAAATACAAAAAATTAGCCAGGCGAGGTGGTGGGCGCCTGTAGTCCCAGCTACTCGGGAGGCTGAGGCAGGAGAATGGCATGAACCCCGGGGGGCGGAGCCTGCAGTGAGCCGAGATTGTGCCACTGCACTGCAGCCTGGACAACAGCGACACTCCGTCTCAAAAAAAAAAAAAAAAAAAAAAAATTAGCTGGGCATGGTGTTGTGCACCTGTAATCCCAGCTACTCAGGAGCCTGAGGCAGGAAAATCGCTTGAACCCGGGCGGTGGAGGTTGCGGTGAGCCGAGATCGTGCCACGGCACTCCAGCCTGGGCAACAGAGGGAGATGCTGTCTCCAAAAAAACAAACAAACAAAAGTGTAAAATTGAAGCAGTGGGTATTTAATTCATGGCTTACCCTCAAGACTTTTGCCTTCTAGAAAGATTTTTTTTTTTTTTAAAGACAGAGTCTCCTTGTGTCACCCAGGCCCATAGCTTATAGAAGATACGAAGTTACAACTAATGTCGGTGTGTGTCATGAGATTCTTTTTTTTTTTTCAAGAATAGTTTTGGGTGTTGAGCAAAGTATGTATAAACAATTAATGCCAAAAAAATTAAAAAAGATACTTTTTAGAGAGATAGCCTCATTGTGTAGCCCACGCTGGAGTACAGTGGCGTGATCTCCGCTCACTGCAGTCTCCACCTACTGTGTTCAAGCGATTCTCATGCCTCAGCCTCCAGGGTAGCTGGGATTACAGGCATGCGTGCCACCACCCCCGGGTAATTCTTCTGTATTTTTAATAGAGACGGGGTTTTGCTACGTTGGCCAGGCTGGTCTCGAGCTCCTGACCTCAGGTGATCCTGCCCGCCTCAGCCTCCCAAAGTGCTGGGATTACAGGCATGAGCCACTGCGCCCGGCTAGAAAGATCTTTAAATCTAAAATACGCTCTTTGTATACTTGTTTGATGTAAGAGGTAATTGTCATTGTGTTCCCTTTCAAATAAATTTGTGATAACAATTCTATAAGAGTAAGGGGAAAATAATTTTCTCAACCTAGCAATTCCAGTAGAATGGTGATTCTAAAAGTTGAAAGCACCTCAGAGGACCGTGTCATCTGCAGTCCTGGCTCCTAGGAAGGTTTTTCCAGCAGTTAACTGATGTGTTAAGCAGTGGAGCAAGACATTCTTGAGAAGAAGGAAGCACTAGGCAATTCAGCAGTGGCTAATAACAGCTAAACAGTCCATCTAGATTGTTGCTGTAAGCCTTTGCTTTGCTTAATATCCAGGCCTTTTAAGTGCCCATCGGTCAGGTTTAAGAGAATGATATATACTGAAGTTGTAACTTAGCAGTTTATCTTCTTAGGGCGGAATGTATCATGTAGACAGGAGATAGATCCTTTGAGGTAAATGATGACCAACAGCGTGTATATTTTGTTGTTGTTGTTTTAATCTTTATTTTATTTTAATTTTTTTTGAGACGCGGTTTCACTATGTTGCCCAGGCTGGTCTTGAACCCCTGACCTCAAGTGATCCTCCCTCCTTGGCCTCCTGAAGTGCTGGGATTACAGGCATGTGTTTTGTTTTTTTTTTTTTTGAGATAGAGTCTTGCACTGTCACCCAGGCTGGATTGCAGTGGCGCAATCTCGGCTCACTGTGGCCTCCGCCTCCCAGGTTCAAGTGATTTCCTTGCCTCAGCCTCCCAAGTATTTGGGATTTCAGGCGTGCACCACCACGCCCAGCTAATGTTTTTGTATTTTTAGTAGAGACGGGGTTTCACTATGTTGGCCAGGCTGGTCTCGAACTCCTGACCTTGTGATCCGCCTGCCTTGGCCTCCCAAAGTGCTGGGATTACAGGTGTGAGCCACTGCGCCCGACCGCATATATGTTTTGATAATGTAAAGTTCCTTAAGGAATTTATAATCTAAGGTAAATATATATGCACTAAAAATGACTGTTAAAAATCCTCACAGAAGAAAAATCAGGCCTGGTGTGGTGGCTCATGCTTGTAATCCCAGCACTTTGGAAGGCCCAAGCAGGAGGATTGCTTGAGTCCAGAAATTCAAGACCAGCCTGGGCAACATAGCAAGACTCCATCTCTTAAAAACATACAAAAAATTAGCTGGGTGTGGTGGCATGTGCATGTAGTCCCAGCTACTCTGAAGGCTGAGGCTTTAGGATCACTTGAGGTCAGGAGTTCGAAGCTGCCGTGGGCTATGATCACGCCACTGTAGTCCAGGCTGGGTGACAGAGCGAGATCGTGTCTCAAAACAAACAAAACTTCCTGGAGTCTTCCTTGACTTTTCTAAGATTTAGAAGGTCAGTGGACCATTATTTGACCTTAGAAAGTTGTTCTGAAGACGACTTTTTTGTTTGTGTGAAACAGTGTCTGCTTACTCTTTTTTCTCCACTGAGTAGAGAATGCGGAGCTTTGTATAAATATTGCTATACTATATGGAATACTGTTTTCAGATGGTCCAGTTAATCTTTCCCAAAGATTAAAAAATGAGGAGTATTTAAAATTTAACAGTATTTACCTACTAAATATTTAACTATTAGCAGTATTTGACTATTCAGTGGTTAAAATTACTTAGTACAAATACGATGGTCCCTATGTTTATGCAGTAAGCCCTTGAAAGCCCTTTCATTCTGAGATGTTCAGCTTTGAGAAAATGCATTTGATGAGAAAACTAGTTCTCACTTGTAGCAGGGATTTATCCTACTTCTCTAAAGTTAGATTCAATAATCCTCATGGTTTTGAATAGCAATGCCTAAATCCCCAAGATCTGCAAAATGATCAGTTTTCCTGAGTTCTAAATTTAAACAATAAAGCCATTCTTACTCTTGTTTTTCTTTTTTCCCACATAGAAATACCTGCTAACTTTTCATTCCTCTTTCTCTGACATCTTTAGAAATGTATTACCCTCAAATATTTAATCTTAGTAATTATAAAAATAGTATTTGCTGTATTTATAGGTATTTCTATTTTCCAATGAGGAATACTACTGAAAGTATTTTATTTACTCCCATTCACTTTGCAGCTGCTGCAAAGATGTAGGGTTCTCCATAGAAATGGGAATTTTCCCCCCCAAGTTTGTTCAGCTTCTTGCCAGAGCTAATTGGACTAAGGTACAGATTGGGAATAGGTTTCTGTGATGTCAGCTGAGTTCTACAAACACTTCTGTGTCACCCAGGTGTTAACATGCTAGAAATGGAGAAGAGGAAGAAATATCAAATAAATAAATAAAACCCATTGTCATCGATGTAGTATTAGAGGTGTACTCAAGGTGAAGAAGTTCTTAATTCTGTCTAGATAATTCATTAATTCTGTCTAGTAAAAATGTCTGGTAGTCATTAATTCTGTCTAGGGAGAATAAGGATAGGAGATATGGAAGGCTCCATAGAGAAGGTGATGCCTGAGTAGGATTTTGAAGAATAACTTGTCATATGGATGAGGTGGAGAAAGCCATTTCAGACAGGCCACAGAATTGTGGTGTACTTGGTGTGTTTGGAGAGCTGCAGGTAGTTGGAGGTGATTGAAACATGGAGTAAAGGGCAGTAGTAGGGAACGAAGCTGGAGAGGTATGGCTGCGGAAATGTCAGTGGAAATTTCTTTTTTATCAAAAAGAACAGAAATAGCCCATCATAAAAATAGAGCAGGCAAATGCTGATCTTTAGAAACTTGTTATATTACCTGTAGAAATTGTTTTTGCTTTGAGATAACTTGGCAATATATGAATTTCACATACCTAAATTATCAAATGCGACATTAATTTTTTTTGAAACAGGGCAGGAATGGAAAGTATATTTGTGCAGTATTGTGTTGATACTACACTTGGCTTATTTGGGATGTAAAGCAAAGGGTTAGGACCCTAGAGAAACACACATTTTCATAAGGAGACATGTACAAAAATGTTTATTGCTGGATTGTTTCTAGCAGTGAAAAATTGGAAGCAAACTGAATGCTGTCAACAGGAGAGTGGATAAAGTTTGGTGTATTTGTATAAGGGAATATTATTCAAATGAATGAACTGGGTATATTAACACAGTTGTATCTCTAAAGCAATATTGAACTAAATAAAATTACAGGGTGAAACATAAGTATTGTTAAGGATTAGATGAAGTTTAAATTAGATAAGACAATACTGTGTATGGTTTATAGATTAAAGTTTTTTTTTTTTTTTTGAGACAGAGTCTCTGTTGCCCAGACTGGAGTGCGGTGGCACAATCTCGGCTCACTGCAATCTCTGCCTCCTGGGTTCAAGTGATTCTCCTACCTCAGCCTCCCAAGTAGCTGGGATTACAGGCACGTGCCACCACACTCGGCTAATTTTTTGTTTTTTTTTTTTTTTTGTATTTTTAGTGGAGATGGGGCTTTACCATGTTGGCCAAGCTGGTCTCGAATTCTTGACCTCAAATGATCCCTCACCTGGGCCTCCTAAAGTGTTGGGATTACAGGTGTGAGCCACCTTGCCCAGCCTAAAGTTTCTTTTTTTTTGAGATGGAGTCTTGCTCTGTCACCCAGGCCGGAGTGCAGTGGCGCTGTCTTGGCTCACTGAAACCTCTGCCTCCCAGGTTCAAGCAATCTTCACACCTCTGCCTCCCAGGTAGCTAGGATTACAGGCGTGTGCCACCACAGCTGGCTAATTTTTTTGTATTTTTTAGTAGAGATAGGGTTTCACCATGCTGGCCAGGCTGGTCTCGAATTCCTGACCTCAGGTGATCCGCCAGCCTTGGCCTCCCAAAGTGCTGGGATTACAGATGTGAGCCACTGTGCCCAGGCAAAATATTAAAATTTCTATTTTTGAGAGACAAGGTCTCGCTCTGTCACCCAGATAGGGTTGCAGTGGCACAATCACGGCTCACTGCAACCTCAATCTCCCGGGTTCAATCTGTTCTCCAACTCAATCTGTTCTCCACCCTCAAGTAGCTGGGACTACAGGCGTGTGCCACCATGCCTGGCTAATATATAAAAAAAAATTTCTTTTGTAGAGATGGGATGTTGCCATCTTACCTAGGCTAGTCTTGAACTCCTGGCCTCAAGCAGTCCTCTTACCTTGGCCCCCCAAAGTGCTGGGATTACAGGCCTGAGCCACTGCAACCCGCTGTTTCGTTATTCTTGACACGTTTCTGAAAACACAAGGAAAAGAGAGGTCAACGAAGATGATGGATGGAAACACAGACAGCAGTAAAGAAAATTAAGTTATCTGAGTTATTACGAATGAGCATGATAGATGTGAAGTGCTCCACAAAAGGAGGGGATACTTGAGCAGAATGTTGGGGAATATAAAGTAGAGAGAGGTGGGGTGAGGACTGAAATGTCTAATTCAGTCAGATGTTCTAGCTAACGATTTCTTTCTCTTGATATTTTTTAGAGAAATATGAAACGCAATGGGAGCAGAAATTGTTTGAATAGGAGAAGTAGGTTTGGTTCTCGAGAAAGAGACTGGCTAAGAGAAGATGTAAAGAGAGGCTGTGTTTACCTTTATGGAGCAGACACTACCACTGCCACTACAACCACCACCACCTCCTCTTCCTCTTCCTCCTCCTCCTCTTCCTCTGACTTACATCTCGTCCTTTGCACTGTAGAGACACCAGCATCAGAAATATGTGCTGGAGAGGGAAGAGAAAGTCTTTATTTACAGCTTCATGGAGACCTGGTCAGGTGAGGTCTCAGTTTTACCACTCTAATTCTACCGTAATATAAATAATAATGTGTTTCTGCTTAGAACTGGACTTTAGGATTTTAATTCTGCCGGAACTGATGTTGATTACGGACTCACTGGGCTTCAAGATTTGTCCTTGGAAGGCTGACTTTATGAATCTTGAATTTAAAAACTATTGACCAAGGAAAATTTGAGAGTTCTTTGATTTGGAATACACCATAGGTCAGATATCTAAATTTAAAAATAAGTATTTTAAAAGTTAAATTTTTTTGGCTGGGCACAGTGGCTTATGCCTATAATCCCAGCACTTGGGGAGGCTGAGGTGGGTGTATCACTTGAGGTCAGGAGTTCGAGACCAGCCTGGTCAACATGGCGAAACCCTGCTGCTACTAAAAATATAAAAATTAGCCAGGCATGGTAGTGCGCACCTGTAATCCCAGCTAGTCAGGAGGCTGAGATATGAGAATCTCTTGAACCTGGGAGACCAAGGTTGCGGTGAGCCGAGATCATGCCACTGCACTGCAGCCTGGGTGACAGCAAGACACTGTCTCAAAAAAAAAAAAAAGAAAAGTTGTTGTTTTTTTTTTGAAAAGTGTAAATAGAATGAAATTTTTAAAAAGGGTATAGAGTGAGAAGTACTTTTCTGTCCCTCATTCCCCAACTACCCAGGCCTGTTCTTGATAGTTATTACCAGCTTCTTTATGCACGCTAGGAATATTCTGTTAAATTATAAGCATATATGTGCCCATGCGTGAGTATGTGTCTCTACATATATTATAAATTTTAAAACTCATGGTGCTGTATGCAACACATTATTGACTTAATATCTTTTAGAGATCTTTCCATGTTAAAATTTATATAGTTGTCACTTATTTAATGGCTGCAGTAGTGTTCAATTTTGAGTCTACTATAATTTTAGCCAGTCTTCTATTAATGGACATTCAAGTTGTTACCAGTTTTTTGCTACTACAAGAAGTGCTGCAGTGAGTATCCATGTACCTGTGGTATCTCTCATATGTGAGAGTCTGTATGATAAACTCCTAGAAGTGGAACTGCTGGGTCAAAGGATATTAGTATTGTTAATTTTCATAGTTACTGTCAAATTCTTCTTCATAGAGGTTATATTTCCATCAGAAATATGAAAGTATATCTATTTTCTCCTTACTTTCTCAAAAATATGTTAGTAGTAAATTTTATGTATAAATAGAGGCACATACACATGAATGAGCTCAGACTTGCTCTTAAATAGAAATGATTGTTAAAAGTTTTAAAATTAGAGAATCATAAAGTCAGCATTCCAACGACAAATCTTTTTCTAGGCCAAGTGACTTAGATTTCTGCAAATGTGAGAGGAATTTTGTTGTTTTGTTATTTTAATTTTCATTTCTCTTAATGAGCATATTTTCATGGGTTTAAAAGCCATTTGTGTGTTGAAAAATTTTTATGCAAATGTGAAGAAAATATTTTTATAATAGTCTTATACTATGCATGTGAACTCTTTGATTCAGCTTTTTAAAGAAAATCGCTGTTAGTTCTTTGAATTAGTTGTCAAATAAGAGGTCTTTAAATGCCTGACCATGATTTTTCTCCTTTCTGCATTTCCTGTCATTGAAAAAGTGTCTTGAAACAGAATTCAAAGCTGTGGATTTAATACTGTTGAAAGTGAAAAGGAAGCTCCCACTTACACCTTAAAAGTGTGGTAATAATAGTAACACCTTTAGCTGAGCTAAAATTTGATGTCATTTTTAAAGTCTAAACTGAGATCTACTATGTGTTCCTTTTAGGATTTGGACTAATTCCTGAAAAAGTAGATTAGCATTTGAATGTTTTCCTTGTTCACCAGTTTACTACATTTGCTAAATCCATTTGTAAAACGAAAGGATCAGACTGGGTGATCCTTAGGCTTTTCTAAGTCTTAACACTGATTCTGATCTAATTTTATCAGGTGGAAAGCCTTGACCTATATTATATCTGGTAGTGATTGATTAACTTATTTAAGTATATGGTGTATTCATTTGTATAGTAATGTTTATGTATACAAAGATATTAGAAATACGAAGAAAACCCCACTGGAATGGCTTGCTACTAGTAGTTGTGTAATTAGTTAAGAATCCGAATGTGATAGTTTATTTACTTATGTGTTTATTTACTTATGTGCCCTGTAGCCTTCATCATTTATAATGAAATAGCCCTTTGAAGGTATAATTGATTAGAAAATAATGAAAGCACTATTGAACTGTGGTTTCAAAGAATGAATATATTTTCATTGCTGGAGTAGGAGCTCAATAACTTTTATCCAGCTAAGGATGATGATGATGGTAGATTTCAGCTAACATTAAGTGCTTTCATGTGTTGGTATGCTTAGTGCTTTATGCACATTTTCTCATTAAATCCTCACAATAACTCCAAGGGAGGTAGTATCGTTGCTTTTAGATGAGGAAGATTGAGGCCTTGAGAGAGATTCAGTAACCTGCTCAAGGACAGGCAGGTACTGCCCTGCAGTTGGAATGCCTGAATCATTCAAGGTAGATGATGGACTTCTTTCTGAGTAAAGGCCAGCTGTGACAGGAACTGGCGCAGCAGTGACACTTCCTCAGTTTCACTATTTAATCATGCTTATTTCAAGATTGTTTTTAGATCTGTTACTCAGCTGTTACTTGTTTATGATCAGTTTTACATTATCTAATCAAGGGAGTATTTTCTGCGTAAAAGCCCTTTGTCAGATAGTTGACAATCTAAGGCATTATCTTTTTAAGGAACTTTTTGCTGATTACTGAAGTATGTTCACCGAAGAAATTTTGGAAAATGAAAAAGCATAAAGAGAAATGATAATCAATGCTTATGCTTTATGTAAATTACCTCATTTAATCCTCACAACCATCTTGTGAGGTAGACGCTGTCCCCATTTTATAAATGAGGAAATTAAAGTTTCACAGGGTTAAGCATCTCATCTAAGTGCAATCGGCTACTAAGTGGTAGAGCTGGAGTTTGAATCCTGGCATTCTTATACTACGTCTGTCTTCTGTATTGCCTCCCCATAGTAACATTATTTTTACCCAGATCTTTTTTCAATCCCACATACTTTTAAATATTTATGTATTTGGGCTCACATCATATTCAGTTTTATATCCTGTCTCCTGTCTACTTAGTGGATCATCTTAATTCCTTTTTTTTTTTTTGAGACGGAGTTTCACTCTTGTTGCCCAGGCTGGAGTGCAGTGGTGCGATCTCGGCTCACTGCAACCTCTGCCTCCTGGGTTCAAGCGATTCTCCTGCCTCAGCCTCCTGAGTTGCTGGGATTACAGGCATGAGCCACCACACTTGGCTAATTTTCTGTATTTTTAGTAGAGACGGGGTTTCTCCATATTGGGCAGCCTAGTCTCAAATTCCTGACCTCAGGTGATCTGCCCGCCTCGGCCTCCCAAAGTGCTGGGATTACAGGCATGAGCCACCGTGCCCGGCTGGATCATCTTAATTTCATGGTGTCATTAGAAATTCTTTAGACACCAGTTTTAATAGTTACAGAATATTCCTCTGTATGGATATACTATAAATTGAGACATAATATGCAGCAATGGTTTAGAGATTGGATTCTGGAATGAGAGTGTATGGGTTCAAATCCTGGCTTCGACAGTTACTATGCAGGATATATAATGCTCTGTGCTTCAGTGTAGTAATCTGTAAAATGGAAGATGATAATATTTACATTGTTGAGTTGTCATGAGGATTAAATTATAAATGATATGAAGATTAAATGAATTAATATTTGTAGTGCTGCTTAAACTGTCCACCTGTGGGGCTTGTTCAAGTACAGATTCTGATTCAGTAGGTTTAGGTGGAGCCTGAGAATGTACATTTCAATTAAGCTCCTAAGAGATGTGCTGTACTTCAGATAGCAATAAAGTACTTAGATTGATGTCTGGCACCTAACAAGTGCTCAATAAATATTACCTATTTCAGTTGTCTGAAATCATGCAAGTCTTAGAATTGGTGTTGCATTGACTAAACCATTGCCCATGTATTGTCACATTGCTGATTTCCCTAGGCTAGGTCCTGGAAATGGGATTACTGGGATTAAAATTACCCCACGTTTTCTCTGAGTTATTCATTACTACTTTATGTTTTTTTTAACCATGAGTTATCACTTGACTATAACTCAAGAATTACTAATTTATAGAATTTTAGCACTTGAGGAAACCTTAGAGAGATCATCTGGTGGTGAAACTAAATCTACCCTGTAACCCTCCCACCTTGCCATTTGGAAATATGTGTGGGGACAGGGTTTTTTGGTTGTCATAACTGCTGGGAAGAGTTACAGAATTTAGGTGGCAAGGTCCAGAGAGACTTATTGAAATGTGTGTGTGCCAAGTGCAGTGGCTCAAGTCTGTAATCCTAGCACTTTGGGAGGCCAAGGCAGAAGGATTGCTTGGGCTCAGGAGTCCTAGATCAGCCTGGGCAACATGGTGAAGCCCCGTCGCTACCAAAAATATTAATATAAAAAATTAGACAGGCATGGTGGTGCACACCTGTGGTTCCAGTGCGCGCACTTCTTGGGACGCTGAGGTAGGAGAATCGCTTGAGCCTGGGAGGCGGAGGTTGCAGTGAGCCAAGATTGCACCACTGCATTCCAGCCTGGGCGACAGAGAGATCCTGTCTCAGAAAAAAAAGAAAAAGAAAAATGTGTGTGGGACAACCTTGTACAGCCAAGGATTTTCCTGTCCCAAAAGTCAGAAACTTCCCCATTAGGAATCACTGAGGCCATTTCCCTCAGTGAAAACAGACTCAGAGGGTTCAGGTTGAATGCACATTCCTGCAGCTGGCTGGTGATAGATTGGTCTTGTCTCTCAATCTGCTGCTACTTACAATTAAAATATTTGGCTTGTCTTTTCTATTGAACTGTTTCGAGTGATAAAAATGACTCACTAGTGAAGCTTAGTGTAATCATTGCCTCCTGTCTGAAAAGTTGTTAAGATCATTTGTGATAAAATGGATTGCCCTTTGGCTGATGGTCATATACTTTTATTCTTAGTCATCGAAATAACCAACTGTTTTTCTTTTTTTTTAATTTTTATTTTTTCATTAACCAGATGAGAAGAGAAACTAAGATTTCTAAATAGTCAGTAGCTATCTTTTAAAATTAGTTTAGAACCAATAGGGTGTGTATAACAGAAAATAGCACCCTTGGGATTTGGGATGCTGAGTTCTGATTCCCATTTGCTGAGTCACTAAAATTTTGTTTGCCATATTTTGAAATTATAAAGGTGGAATGAAACATCCTGTTTTAGGATACATACTGAACTGATTACCACTGAATAGGGGAAAGGGAGTTTTTTTTCCTACATGTTTTTGTGCTATTTAAAAATTTTAAAAGAATGCATTATATGTTACAAAATTGGAATATAGGTAAATAATTTTCTTTATTTTGAAACATTTTTTATCCATTTTAAAACTTCTGAAATCAGCATATATATTAGAGTTGATGGTAGGTTATAGTTTAATTGGCAGAATTTTTTAAAATTTATTTTTCTTTTTTTAAAAAAATAGAGATTGGATCATGCTATGTTGTCCAGGCTGGAGTACTGTGGCTATTCACAGGCCCTATCATAACACACTACAACCTTGACCTCCTGGGCTCAAGTGATTCTCCTGTCTCAGCCTCCTGAGTAGCTGGGACTACAGGGGCACGCTGCTGCATCTGGCTAGATTTTTCTTTTTTTTGGTTTCTGAGATGGAGTCTCATTCTGTTGCCCAAGCTGGAGTGTAGTGGCACAATCTCAGCTCACTGCAACATCCGCTTCCTGGGTTCAAGTGATTCTCATGCCTCAGCCTCCCGAGTAGCTGGGACTACAGGCGCGCAACACCAGGCGCAGCTAATTTTTGTATTTTTAGTAGAGACGGGGTTTCACCATGTTGGCCAGGATGGTCTTGATCTCTTTGTCAGGGACATCCGTGCGAAGAGACCACCAAACAGGCTTTGTGTGAGCAATAAAGCTTTTTAATCACATGGGTGCAGGCGGGCTGAGTCGGAAAAAGGAATCAGCAAAGGGAGATGGGGTGGGGCAGTTTTATAGGATTTGGGTAGGTAGTGGAAAATTACAGTCAACCTGCTCTTGCGGGCAGGGTTGGGGGTTACAAGATGCTCAGTGGAGGAGCTTCTGAGACTCATTGTCCAGGAGAAGGAATTTCACAAGGTAATGTCATCAGTTAAGGCAGGAGCCGGCCATTTTCACTTCTCTTGTGGTTCTTCAGTTGCCTCAGGCCATCTGGATGTGTACAGGCAGTCTTGGGCTCAGAGGCTTGACATTCCTGTCTTTTTATATTAATAAGAAACACAAAACAAAACAGTGGTGGAGTATTGGGATGGCAAAAATGTTTGGGGGTGGTATGGAGAGATAATGGGCGATGTTTCTCAGGGCTGCTTCGAGCAGGATTAGGGGCGGCGTGGACACCTTAAAGAAAGGCTTTGACCTGGTGATTCACCCACTGCTGCTTCCCAAAGTGCTCGTATTACAGGGGTGAGCCACTGTGCCCTGCCGATTTTTCTTAATGGTTATTCTGACACCAGCTGGCTTGCTGTAATACAGATCTGACACTGACTGCCAGAGTTAGTGCAGAATTCACAAGTTAAAGGGCAAGGCCCCAGCAAGACTGCCCTTCAGACTCCAGCTGCACTTCTGACCAACTGTCTGCAAGGAAGAACTTGGCAGAACTCAGGAAGGTGCTATACTTACAATTACAGTTTTAGCTTGATGCAAATCAGCACCAGCCAACTGAAGAGACACATAGGGTGAGGTCTAGAAGAGTCCCAAATACAGAACTTTGTACCCTCTCCCAGTGGAATCAAGGCCTGTCACCCTCCTACCATATCGAACAGTTCATCAGCTGGGAAACTCCACTGGTGTTCAGTACAATGTTTTTATTGGGGAATCATTATGAAGGCATAATTGGTTGAATCTTTGACCTCATGATTCAACTCAGTCTCCAGCCCCCTGTGCTTCCCCACCCAGGTCAGGGTGGCTCAGAGCCCCAACCCTCTAATCACATGGTGGTTGGTCTTTTCTGGTGACCAGCCGCTGTCCTGAGTCTTCTCATCTCTTAGCATAAACTGGGGGGTGATCCAAGGGGGTCATGAATAACAAAGACACTCCTATTATTCAGGAAATGCTAAGGATTAGAGTCTCCTCACAGGAACCAGGGACAAAGACCAGCTGTATTCTTTATTATTCAGCAGTGGTGCGTAAAAAATGGTGTATCTTGGCCGGGCGCGGTGGCTCACTCCTGTAATCCCAGCACTTTGGGAGGCCGAGGCGGGCGGATCACGAGGTCAGGAGATCGAGACCATCCTGGCTAACACGGTGAAACCCCGTCTCTACTAAAAATACAAAAAAATTAGCCGGGCGAGGTGGCGGGCGCCTGTAGTCCCAGCTACTCGGGAGGCTGAGGCAGGAGAATGGCGTGAACCCCAGGGGGCGGAGCCTGCAGTGAGCCGAGATTGCGCCACTGCACTCCAGCCTGGGCGACAGCAAGACTCCGTCTCAAAAAAAAAAAAAAAAAAAAAAAAAAATGGTGTATCTTTTAAATCATGATATATTGGACTTAATGAAATAATGGTAATTTTAAAACATAGCTTTTTTAGGTTTCTTGGTGTGAATAAGTTAACACATAAAGTGGTTTGAGCTCTCTTCTGCTTAATTTATTTTAACTATATATAAAATAATTTGGTTTTCCTGAAAAGAACCTAGGTTTTATGAAACCGACACAGGTTCCTACCCTGATGTCATTATGTACTAATTGTGTGACTCTGAATCTCATTTTTCTTATTTGCAAAATAGACATAGTTTTGTAATAATTAAACATTTTCAGCATAGTGTCAGGTATGAAATAAACATTTGTTGAAGTATCCCTATTGTTTCTATTTGTATTATTATCTATATTACTGATTTTAACATTTGCAGATTTTACCTTTATAGGCAGTCAAGGATTGAGTTTTAATCTGAATTTGATGTAGAACATGGTACTATACTTTGTTAGGGTCTTTGATTCCATGTGTTTGATTTTAATAGTGTATAGTTTGGCCACCCCACTATTAACTAAAACTCTTGTGAAATGATACTTGGAATGAAATTTACTCTTCTTACATATA
Source organism: Homo sapiens (assembly GCF_000001405.40). Lineage (NCBI taxonomy): Eukaryota > Metazoa > Chordata > Mammalia > Primates > Hominidae > Homo > Homo sapiens. The sequence continues at coordinate 71,706,367 of NC_000016.10, read as the reverse complement.
TCTTAACTATAGGGACTGCTTAGAATAACTAATACAGAATGATACTACTCTTGGCTAAGCGGTATAATCTGCTGTTAACAGCATTGCTATGTCCGTTGGCTGGTTTGGAGAGAAATTACCATATGCATATATATTCAAATTTACATGGACTATAGTAGGTCTCACAAGCATTTGAAGCAAACCAAAACTGTTACTCCAAAACTATTGTCTCCTTAAAGCAGTAGTAGAAATAGTTCAAATGCTGAATAGAACTTTTTGTTGCCAGTATTACTTTCTCTCACACCTGTTTTGCAGTATATTATTTCCCTTTGATTGGTGAGAGATTTAACAAATAGCTAATTACCAGATTCTTAAACTTTTGGAACTTTGAAACACAAAATTGAACTGTAAGCACATTATAGCATTTCCCTCCCCAATACTGTCTACTTTTTTCAGCAGAAGAGTTTAATGAGTAAATGGAATTAGTCCTTCATTTTACTTGTTTTTGTACTTCTTGAAATATTACTTGTTTACTTAGAAGAAAGAAAATACTTTCTTACGGTAGATATGTATAAGGAGGTCTGGGTGTGGTGGCTCATGCCTGTAATCCCAGCACTTTGGGAGGCCAAGGCGGGCAGATCATGAGGTCAGGGGTTTGAGAGCAGCCTGGCCAGTATGATAAAACCCTGTCCCTACTAAAAATACAAAAATTAGCTGGGCATGGTGGCGTGGGCCTGTAGTCCCAGCTACTCGGGAGGCTGAGGCAGAAGAATTGCTTGAACCTGGGTGGCAGGGGTTGCAGTGAACCAAGATCGCACCACTGCACTCCAGCCTGGGCAACAGAGCGAGACTTCGGCTCAAAAAAAAGAAAAAGAAAAAGAAAAAGAAAAAAAAGACATGTGTAAGGAGGGTTTCCAAAATCTACAGAGCCTTTTTAGGCCAGGAAATTTGGTTGTGTAAAATATGTCAGAATTAGGATGCTTCCATTTCTTTCAGTTTTCTAGAGAGAAATAGAAAAATTGAGCACTCGAGATTTAGCCTGAAAGTATAATTGTTTGTTGGTCCTGAATACGTGGTCCTTATATGGAATTATAGTGTTTAAATACACTGAACTGTAGGGGTCAGGTAGAATTTGTATTATATTAGGAAGGTGCCTTAGATACCTCATAGACCCTTGATTTCTGAAATGCCCTGAAGATCATCTGGCCCCGTTTGGTTCTTACAGGTGTTTCTTCTAAAATGTCTGTGACAGATGGCTCTCCAGGTCTCTCTGAACAGTTCTGAGAGGCAGTTCATTTCATGGTTGAGCATCTCTAATGGTTAAAATTCTTCCTCATGTTTAGCTTAAATCTACCTATGCACCTTCTCATTGTTCTGAGTCCCATTCTTTGGAGCAGTACAGAGTTAAGTCCAATCCGTCTGAACATTTGAAGATCTGTCTCTTTATATCCTTACTCTCCTTGTCTTGAAGTTAATCCTCCATCAGTTTATTCATATTATATGGTTAGTTGACCTCTCTCCAGGATGCAGTTTATTAAAAGTCCCCCTTAAAACGTGTCTTTCTCTCAGAAGAATCCCACCATTGTGCTGGGAAAATGCCTAAGATTGTCATAGACAATGAGTTTTGTAAATTTTGGTTTTGTTTGGCTAGGGATTAATTGTAATTGATGTCTACATAATCTGAAAAGTTTATTTCCCATTTCTCTTTAATTCAATCTTTATTGGTCGTTACAGGCTTTTTTTTCTTTGATCATTCCCCATGTAGCAGTTCATTCTGAGTTTATGTGATAGTTTCTGGAAGCTAAAATACTGAACTGAGCAGTCAGGAGAGGCCAGGTGGTTGTTTTATTTTTGTCTTTTTTGTACATCAGTATGATTTCTGTTCCAAAATTATCATTTTGTTACAGTTGTTTATGTTCAGCTTTGTAGTTGTTTATGTTCAGCTTGTTGCCAACAGCATTTTCTAGTTCTTAAACTACAAAATGCAGACATCATTCATATGTTTTTGTCATGATGGGAAATGCATCATGTTTCTTATAGTTATTAATACTATAATTATTAAGTTTTTTTTTTTTTTTTTTGAGACAGAGTCTCACTGTCGCCCAGGCTGGAGTGCGGTGGCACCATCTCGGCTCACTGCAAGCTCTTCTCCCAGGTTCATGCCATTCTCCTGCCTCAGCCTCCCGAGTAGCTGGGACTGCAGGTGCCCGCCACCATGCCTGGCTAATTTTTTTGTATTTTTAGCAGAGATGGAGTTTCACCATGTTAGCCATCTCCTGACCTCGTGATCCGCCCGCCTCAGCCTCCTGAAGTGCTGGGATTACAGGCGTGAGCCACTGCGCCCGGCTATTCTTAAGTTTTCTGAACAGGTTCTTAACAGGTTCTTTAAATGTTCTTTCAGACCTTTTGAACACATACGGACTTTCCTGTGCTTGCTTTTGGTTGTTGTTTGAGATGGGAGAAATACTCTATTTTTATTCTAAAATTGATTCCAATCTTAAAATTTTTTAGAATAATAATTGTCAGTATCTTACTGAACACTTACTACATGTGAGATATTTTGCTAAGCACTTTTCATACTATATAGTATCTTGTTGAAAGTAAATAAATAAATTTAAACATCTTATGAGTTAGGTATTGTTGCTATTCCCATGATACTGATGAGGATTTAAAACAGTGAGAGTAAATATACTGGGGCATGCAGTTGGTAAGTGGCAGGACTAAGACTTGAACCCAGGCAGTTGACTGTTGGAGCCTATACGTTTAGCCACTGTATTTATAACTGTTTGGTTTCTGGTAAAAGCATTATAAAAGAGCTGTCTTGCTATTATGACTATTATAGCCCCTTCTATCAAAATGCACATTCATCACTTTTGTTTTTTTTTTAAATATTTTTCAGTATTTTAAGTCTGTGATTTAAAATACAGTGTCACCAGAGGCCACAAGTGATTGCAGGACATTCTGGTTTTACCTTAGCTTTCAATTAGGACCATGTAGTAGAATGATCTTTAGGGAGTTATTTTAAGGTGAATTAATAAATGGAAATTCTCAATTTTAATTTCTAATTTGGTAAATATCAATAGATATAACACATGTAAACAAAAGCTCTTTGTGATCCCCAAAGTATAAAGGGGTCCTGACACCAAAAAGTTAAAAAAACACTTGTTTAGATTAGTTGTATCATAGAATATTAAAGAAAAACTTGACCTAGGAATAAAAATCAAGAGCAGATTTTGTATGTTGAGTTACTACTCAGCCATGAAAAAGGAATGAAGTCATGTCTTAATGTAGCAACATGGATGGACCTGGAAGTCATTATCTTCAGTGAAATAACTCAGAAACAGAAAGTCAAATACTACCTGTTCTCTCTTACAAGTGGTAGCTAAATAATAGAGTGTGGGGTAATAGACATTGGAAAAGCAGAAGGGTGTGAGGGTGGGGTGGGAGTGAAGGATGAGAAATTACTTAATGAATACAATATACATGATTCAGGTGAGGATTACACTAAAAGCCCAGACTTCACTACTAAGCAGTATATTCATGTGACAGAATAGCACTTGTACCCCTGAAATTTATACAAATAAAAATACTAAAAAATTAAATGAACCATTTTTATTACTTACCAAATATATATATTTTTTTGAATTGTGTAATCAGGAGACTGGAACCTACTGAACGACCTCTTCAGATCGTTTATGATTACTTATCCAGGCTGGGATTTGATGATCCTGTGCGCATACAGGAGGAGGCTACAAATCCTGACCTCGGCTGTATGATTCGATTTTATGGTGGTAAGAATTTATCAGTGGCTTTGTATGTTAACTACTTTTAGGTTGATCATTTGTGCCTCTTATCTGCCGTCAGCTTTTTAAAGGTATTTTATCAAAAGCTAGTTTTAAGCCAATTAACTAACGTAGTTAACACCAACCAAACAACAACAAAAGCCAAGAGGTCAGGGGTAAGGGAACACTTTAAAAATATCTTCTCTTTTTATTTTTGCTCATTTTGCACTTGTATTTTGCTAACTTACTAGCATTATTTTATACCTTTGCCAGAATCTTGACTGGATCATGCTTTAGTAAATTATTTTTTCAAGCTCCTGGTAAAGTCTGTGAACTTCTGGATAGCTCAAAAATGTTGAGAGTAAGTAATCATTATCATATATGACTTGACGTTGATGAGTATACCTGTCAAATTTGTATATTGGTGAATTTAGTGGGGTTTAAATCTAGGATTTTTGACTCTTCTGAGAAAAATATTTTAAGATGAATTTGAGGAACACGACCCATCTATCACTATAATAGTTAAAAAAACAAAAACTTGGAACAGTAACATGCTTCTTATCTGATTGTGGTTGAACCCTAGTTCTTCATTATGGTAGTCCCCCCTTATCCACTGGGATTGCGTTCCAAGATCCTTAGTGGATGACTGAAATTGCAGATAGTACTGAACTCTATATGTACTATGTGTTTTCCTGTATACACATACCTATGGTAAAGTTTAATTGATAAATTAGGCAAAGTAAGAGATTAACAATATTTAATTATAAAATAGTATAATTATAGCAATATGCTGTAATAAAAGTTAGTGAATGTTCTCTCTCTCAAAATATCTTGTACTTTACTTCCTATTTTCAGACCATGATTGACTGCAGATAACTAAAACCTTGGAAAGCAAGACCACAGGTGGCAGGGGGGCTACTGTGTATATTTTTTTCTAGAATGAAAGTTGAACCTTTCTTTTACGTGCAGTTATACTGCACAGTGGTTGGCTCTGATGCCCCTACTTTTCCTACCACCATCTGATAAATGACAGCATATGCAGGATCTTAATGTACTATACCCTTAAGAGGATATTTCCAGTAGAGTCTAAAAGAGTACCAGTTTGTAGTACTTAAATTTTGAGGGATCTTTCCAAAAGTGAGTTCTGTTGACATAGAAAAGCTAGTATGGTTTGAGTGAGGAAATTAAGTTTGGGATGAAACTTAAAGTTAATAATCTTTGAAAAGTAATAATGTACCTGGTACCAAAAACAAAACGTAGGTAGTAGGTAGGTAGGTAGGTAGATAGATATATAGATAGATAGATAGATAGATAGATAGATAGATAGATAGATAGATAGATGAATTAGTTATCTGTTGGCTCTGTAACAAATTGCCTCAAAAGTTAGGACTTAAAATGATTAATACTTAATAATTATATAGTTTTTGTGGGCCAGAAATCTAGGAGCAGTTTAGCTGGAGGGATGGTCCTGGCTTGGGTTTCATGAGATTTTAGTCATCTGAAGGCCTGAGTAGGCCTGGAAGATTCACTTTCAACACGGTTCACTCACATGGCCTCAGTTCCTCACCAGCTGCTGGTAGGAGGCTTCAGTTCCCTCTTCTGTGGATCTTTCCATAGGGCTTCCTAGGCGTCTTCACAACATAGTGGCTAGTTTCCCCAGTGATGAGACACACGTATACACACATGCATGCACGTGCACAGAGGCCTCAGTGTCTTTTATAACCAAGCTTTGTAAGTCACCTTTACTTTTACCACTTTTTACTTATTAAGAAATGAGTCACAGGCCAGGTGCGGTGGCTCACGCCTGTAATCCCAGCACTTTGGGAGGCTGAGGCGGGCAGATCACAAGGTCAGGAGATTGAGACCATCCTGGCTAACACAGTGAAACCCTGTCTCTACTAAAAATACAAAAAATTAGCTGGGCCTGGTGGCGGGCACCTATAGTCCCAGCTACTGGGAAGGCTGAGGCAGGAGAATGGCGTCAACCTGGGAGGTAGAGCTTGCAGTGAGCCGAGATCGTGCCCCTGCACTCAAGCCTGGGTGACAGAGCGAGACTCTGTCTCAAAAAAAAAAAAAAAAAAAAAAAAGAAATGAGTCACTAAACACAGCCCATACTATAGAGAGAGGAATTAGCTCCAGTTTTTGAAAGGAGTGTCAAAGAATTTGTGGGTCTATTTTTTTTTTTAATTTTTTATTTTTTTTGAGACAGGGTATCACCCAGTTGCCTAGGCTGTAGTGCAATGCTGCCATCATGGCTCACTGCAGCCTCAACCTCCTGGGCCCAAATGATTCTCCCACCTCAGCCTCCCAAGTAGCTGGAACTACACGTGCGCACCACTGCACCTGGCTAATTTTTGTATTTTTTGTAGAGCTGAGGTCTCGCCATGTTGCTCATGGCTCGAGGCTGGTCTCAAACTCCTGGGCTCAAGTGATCCTCCTATCTTGGCCTCCTAAAGTGCTGGGATTACAGGCACGAGCCACTGTGAGCAGCCGGATCTATAATAAAACTGATGCAGGATATTTTCTTGACCCCTCTTTGGGACTTGTGACAGGGGTACCCCATTTACTCAGCCCACCCCGCTCAACCCCTTGTGGGAGGGAATGCGCAGGTGAATGAGTGCGTGAACTGGCTAGCTGATTGGACGCTGGTGGGAACAAACCGTGTTCACTGGGGTCTGTTGTGCTCCACCCTTTGTGGGATGTAGCGCATAGGAGAGCGAGTGCAGGAACTGGCTGCCTGCTTTAGCACCAGCAGAAGCAAACTCTGTGTAGGCTTGCAGCAGCGTCCAGGTGGGGGTGTCTGTGATCCCAAGGCCCCAGAGGACATGTTATAATGCTCTCTTACCTCTCTCATCTGCAGACGGCAATGTGTTACCAGGTCAGTGGTCCCTTTGCCTTGTTGCGTAGGGCGGCTGCTTTCCACCAGTGAGGGTAAAGGGCCAGTGTGACAGCCTTTTTGAATACCGGCACTTGGTGCGTCCCAAATTCTTGTCTGGTGCCTAAGAGGCATGAGGTCATGTGGACAAATTGAAAGATGGTGAATGCGGAGAATTTTATTGAATGATGAAAGCAGCTCTCAGTGAAGAGTGGAGCTGGAAAGGGAATGGGAAGGGCAGCTCACTCTCCCTTGAAGTCAAGTTGCCTCCCTGCCACTGTCTTCTGAAGTCAAGTCGCCTCTCCCTGATGTCCAGCTGCTTCTCTTCTCTGCTCGCTGAGTCTGGGGTCTTCATGGGCACAGGATGGGAGGTGCTGTAGGTAGTTTTGGAAAAGGCAACATTCGATTGGTAAAAAGACACTCAGAAAGAACCATTCAGGAGAGAGCAGACAAACAGGGATGGAAATTCTCACTTTGGGCCACAGGTTTCAGGCTTTTTGGCTCGAAGGTGGGGTTTTGCTGGGCACCTGTCCCTGTCTGCCTAGAATTTCTCTGCCTCCTGTCTCTATCAAAACTATCATAGAAAATATGCTTCCCTCTCACCTTTTTCCTCCAACCACCCAGTTCCTGAAACCAGACACAACTATTGTTACGGAAGGAAAGAGTTGAAGTATTCTCTTTGAAGTAAATAGCTTAGTAATCAGCTTCAAATATTTTATGTGTAGAATTTTTGGTGCATCAGCTTATTTGGAATATAGTGTTAATAAAGCCAAGGTCATAAGGGCCCGAGTGCGAACCAGTTAATGTTGTGTTCTCTGGTTATAAAAGGACACTGGGTAGTGTCCCAGTCAGCCATTATGCAAATGCCAGTTATCAGTCTTGCTGGAGAGGGAGTGCTGGGGGAAAAGTGAGTGGAATGGCTCTCTCAGTTCGAATTCATGATATAAAAGCTGTGGAGATAACATTTCACTAAAGTCAAGTTGAGTAGGTAGCATGATTAATCATGGGATTAAGAGAGCATGTAAATCCTCTGCAGACAGTTAAGCCAACTGAGTTCCTTTCCTCAGGGAGGCCCAGTGTACAATGGCTGCCCACAGCAGCTTCCTTGGTAGCGTACTCAGCCTGTTTCTTGTATGGGTTGCTCTAAGGGACCTTAGAGACAGGCCTTTCAGATGGATGTTCATGTCTCTGACTTTGTGCTATCCCCAGTCTAGGCTCCAAACAGGTATGCGAGGTGCCTTTGGAAAGCCGCAGGGCACTGTGGCCGAGGTTCACATTGGCCAAGTTACCATGTCCATCTGCACCAAGCTGCATAACAAGGAGCACATGATTGAGGCCCTATGTAGGGCCAAGTTGAAGTTCCCTGGTTGCCAGAAGATCCCACATCTCTAAGAAGTGGGGCTTTACCAAGTTCAATGCAGATGAATTTGAAGACATGGGGGCTGAGAAGCAGCTCATCCCAGATGGCTGCGGGGTCAGTTACATCCCCAGTAGTGGCCCTCTGGACAAGTGGCGGGCCCTGCTCTTGTGAGGGCTTCCACTGTGCTGCCCCCTCTTAATGCTCACCAATAAATCCTACTTTCTGGGCCGGGCGCGGTGGCTCACACCTGTAATCCCAGCACTTTGGGAGGCTGTGGCAGGCGGATCACGAGGTCAGGAGATTGAGACCATCCTGGCTAACACAGTGAAACCCCGTCTCTACTAAAAATACAAAAAATTAGCTGGACGTGGTGGCGGGTGCCTGTAGTCCCAGCTACTCTGGAGGCTGAGGTGGGAGAATGGTGTGAACCCGGGAGGCAGAGCTTGCAGTGAGCTGAGATGGTGCCACTGCACTCCAGCCTGGGCGACAGAGCAAGACTCCATCTCAAAAAAAAAAAAAAAAATCCTACTTCCTGTTCACCTTAAAAAAAAAAAGAGAGAGAGAGAGAGAAAGAGCAAACCTCTTATTTGCGTTGGAGAAAGTGGCATATAGAGGGTATGATTTGTGAGGGAAGTTGTAGCTCTGGGACTGTATGGCTCAGGTAGCACAACTCCCTGCCTGAACGTTTCTCTGTGTACTGCATTCTCTGCACATATTGTTTAAAACAGCTTTGTCAAAAGAGCATAAATACAAACATCAGAAGCCAGACGCAAAAGAATTACATCGTATATTTCCATTCATTTAAAGTTCAGAAAACAGGCTAAAACACAGCCATATTATTTTGAAATGTGTGGCAATACTATTGTTTATCAAAATCTGTTCTTTCATAGTAACAAAATTGTAGTGGGGCATATAACTGCCTAGCTACAGCCCATTTCGCAGCCTTTCTTGCGGTTAGGTGTGTACATGTGACAAAATTTTCTTCCATTGTATGGAGTGGACTTGATGTGCGCCACTTCTACCTGGTTCCTAAAACCCCCAGTGTGTGCTTCTCAGGGCTGTGGTGCTCTTTTCCTGTCTGGTGGGCTAGGATGGCAATAATCAGAGCAATAATTGAAGTCAAGTGTGGAAAATTGCAGACCCTGAGTTTCTTTTTATTTATTTATTTATTTATTTATTTATTTATTTATTTATTTATTGAGACAGAGTCTTGCTCTGTCGCCCAGGCTTGAGTGCAGTGGTGCCATCTCAGCTCACTGCAACCTCCGCCTCTCAAAGATTCAAACAGTTCTCCTTCCTCAGCCTCCTGAGTGACTGGGATTAGAGGAACCCACCACCACAGCTGGCTAATTTTTGTATTTTTAGTAGAGATGGGGTTTCACCATGTTGGCCAGGTCTCGAATTCCTGACCTCAAGTCATCCGCCTACCTCGGCCTCCCAAATGTGCTGGGATTACAGGTGTGAGCCACTGTGCGTGGCCAGAACCTGAGTTTTTGAATGACAGTGTTAACCCCTGGCAAAACAGAATGCTCACTTGAATGAATTAAATTCCTGTTGCTTGAGCCATTATATTGTTTGCTACAGCCATAGTTAATACAGGATATATACGAAAGTGGCAAAAATATAAAGAGAGCAAGGAAATTATTATAAAAGTCAAGGGAGTGACTGAGGAGTGCAGGGAAGAGGACATGATTCTTACAAGTAGAATTTTTTTTTTTTTTTTTGAGATGGAGTCTCACTGTGGCCCAGGCTGGAGTGCAGTGTCGTCTAGGCCGGGTGCAATCTCAGCTCACTGCAGCCTCTGCCTCCTGGGTTCAAGCAATTCTCATGCCTCAGCCTCCCAAGTAGCTGGAGCTACAGGCACCCACCACCATGCCTGGCTAGTTTTTGTATTTTTAGTAGAGACAGGGTTTCACCATGTTGGTCAGGCTGGTCTCGAACTCCTGACCTCAGGTGATCTGCCCACCTTGGCCTCCTGAAGTGCTAGGATTGCAGGCGTGAGCCACTGCGCCCGGCCACATTTAAAATTTTGACTGAGCATTCCCAAGTTGCACAAATAGGTGTTACTAGTGTGTAGTTGATTTGGTAGAATTTGAGAGTACTTATTTCCCTACACCTTTGACAACATCAGGTATCATCTTTTCCCCGATTGCAAAAATACTATCTCATGTTAATTTGCATATTTAAAGCTTCTTTGTTAAAATATAGGAGTAACGTGGTAGAAAAACATTCCACCACCCTAATACAATTATTTTTATGATTGTGTATTTTCTTAGTCTTATTTTATATGCATATTTTATATTTTTATTTATTGTTCATATATTTTTGCATTTAAAACATTGGGTGTTTAACTACACAAGTGTAATATGACTATGGTGTCATTATCTGTGGTGTTTTAATTTGTTATAATCACCTCCTAAGTCCATTAACTGCTCTATAGATAACCACCATCAATTTGGTGTATATCTGTTCAGAATTTTCCAACTTGATTATTTTTATATAGTATATATTCATAGAACCATATGGATTTTGTTTACATAAATGGTATTATTTGGTATTGGTCTTCATGCTTTTTTCACCCAAGAGTTTGTCTTGGAGATCTTACCTTGTCAGCATTTGCAGAACCATCTTCTGTATGCATTTCTTTTTTTTTTTTTTTCTGAGACAGAGTCTCACTCTTGTTTCCCAGGCTGGAGTGCAGTGGCATGACCTCGGCTCACTGCAACCTCCACCCCCCAGGTTCAAGCGATTCTGCTGCCTCAGCCTCCCAACTAGCTGGGATTACAGGTGGCTTACCACCACACCCAGCTAATTTTTGTATTTTTAGTAGAGGCGGGGTTTCACCATGTTGGCCAGGCTGGTCTTGAACTCCTGACCTCAGGTGATCCGACGGCCTTGGCCTCCCAAAGTGCTGGGATTACAGGCATGAGCCACTGTGCCCGGCCCTGTATACATTTCTTTCAGGGGCATAGTATTGGACATCATGTATGCATTATAGTCTGTGTAACCATCTCCTTAGTGATGGACATTTACTTTGTTTCCAGTTTTGGACGGTTAAAACAGCCATTTTAGTAAAATTATCTCTTTATGCACCTGTATTCCTTCAGAGTGATCTCTAAGAATGAAATTATTGGGTTATAGGTTACTCACGTTTAAAATATTAATAGTTACTACTGCAGAACACTTTTATATCCTGTCAGTATAACAGAGTACCCCTTTGCCTATAACCTTTCAATATTATTAGGCTTTAAAATATTTACTAATCTGATAGATAAAATGATGGTCTTGGCTGGGCACGGTGGCTCATGCCTGTAATCCCAGCACTTTGGGATGCCAAGACGGGCGGATCATGAGGTCGGGAGATCGAGACCATCCTGGCTAACACAGTGAACCCTTGTCTCTACTAAAAAATACAAAATATTAGCCGGGCGTGGTGGCAGGCGCCTGTAGTCCCAGCTACTCGGGAGGCTGAGGCAGGAGAATGGCGTGAACCCAAAAGGCGGAGCTTGCAGTGAGCCAAGATCGAGCCACTGCACTCCAGCCTGGGCGACAGAGCAAGACTCCGTCTCAAAAATAAAAAAAAAAATTTAAAAAATGATGGTCTCTTTGTTTAAATTTTTTTCCCCTGATTACTAGTGTGATTGAGAATTATTTCATATTTTTATTGGATCTTTCAGTTTCTTTGAACTACTCATTGATATTTTTGTACATGTTTCTGTTTCTCTTTTTTCATATTGATTTAAAGGACTTCTGCATGTATTCTGAATATATATCTTTTGGGTACTATATTTGTGACTCAATTTTTTTCCAGCCTGTAACTTTTTATTTTATTTATTACTTTTTATTGTGCATAAGTTTAAAATTTTTATTTAGTCACTGTTTAGTCAATTTATTTATTTTATTTATTTTTTGAGACGGAGTCTTGCTCTGTTGCCCAGGTAGGAGTGCAATGGCATGATCTCGGCTCACTGCAAGCTCGGCCTCCCAGGTTCAAGCAATTCTCCTGCCTCAGCCTCCTGAGTAGCTGGGATTACAGGTGTCTGCCACCATGCCCAGCTAATTTTTGTATTTTAGTAGAGATGGGATTTCACCATGTTGGTCACGCTGGTCTCAAACTCTTGACCTCAGGTGATCCAGCCAGTCAATTTTAAAAATTATTTTATTTTATTTTATTATTTTTGAGACAGTATTGCTCTGTCACCCAGGTTGGAGTGCAGTGGCATGATCTCAGCTCACTGCAGCTTCTACCTCCCTGGTGCAATCGATTCTCCTGCCTCAGCCTCCCGAGTAGCTGAGATTACAGGTGCCTGCTACCACGCCCAGCTAATTGTTGTGTTTTTAGTAGAGATGGGGATTTTGCCATGTTGGCCAGACTGGTCTTGAACTCCTGGCCTCAAGTGATCCAACTGCCCGGGCCTCCCAAAGTGCTGGGATTACAGTTGTAAGCCACTACACCTGGCCAGATTTTTACTAATATACATATATGATATATTTTGCTAGCTGATAGGAAAGTTTTCTGTCCCTGTTCTCTGGAAAATCAGAGATGTCAAGAAATTGGGGGAAGTCTTTGTGAAGAAGTTGTATTTGAGTTGGTTCTTTAAAAATTGACAACGTTTCACTAAGCAGAAATGAAAAAGAAGGCAGCCGTGGGAGATTAAAAATTTCATTGCATGTTCATGAATCACAGTTAATTTGAGTCCAGATTGTTTTGGGCCATGGGTGCTCCATCAGGAGTTTAGCCGTCATTTGGCAGATGGTAGCAGGAAGTGATGGGATCCAAGTGAGCCCAGGGAAGATCAGTCTGGTGCCAGTGTGGATAGTGATTCAGGTGTGAATTGATAAGGATCTGAACTAGGGAATAGGAAGGAATTGTTCATGTGAGAGACTTTTTGAAGGAGTAATCAGTAAGACTTAATGATTGATTGAAAAGAGAAGTTGAGAAAGCGAACCCAAGAGTTGAAGCTGCTTCTGAGGTTTTGAGCATGGGTGACTTCAGGAGATGAGCTTGAGTTGTGAGAAGGAGCTGCTGCTGTACAGGGATGGTGATGACTTGGTTTAGGCATGTTGATCTTTTTTTTCTTTTGTGAGACAGAGTCTCGCTTTGTCCCCCAGGCTGGAGTGCAATGGTGCGATCTCAGCTCACTGCAACCTCCGCCTCCTGGGTTCAAGCGATTCTCCTGCCTCAGCCTCCTGAGTAGCTGGGATTACAGGCATACGCCACCATGCCTGGCTAATTTTTGTATTTTTAGTAGAGATGGGGTTTCCATGTTGGTCAGGCTGGTCTTGAACTTCTGACCTCGTGATCCGCCCGCCTCAGCCTCCCAAAGTGCTGGGATTACAGGCATAAGCCACTGCTCCTGGCCAGGCATGTTGAATTTTAAGTGATGGTAAACATGTAGTTGGAGATATCTGGATAGTTGGAAATGTGGAACTAGAACTTAGGAATATAGATCTGGGAGAACCAAACTCTCTGAGGAAGGTGGAATTTAGAATACAGTCAGTCGTCCATATCCACAATGGATCAAAAATATTTTAAAAAAATAAAAAAACAAAGAAAAATATGGCATAACAACTATTTACTTAACATTTACATTGTTTTAGATATTATAAGTAATCTAGAGATTATTCAAATTATACAGGAAGTTGTGCGTAGGTTATATGCAAATACCATTTCATTTTATATAAGAGACTATAGCATCTGTGGATTTTGGTATCCTTGGGGAGGTCCTGGAATCAATCACTTGCCAATACCAAGGAACGACTGTATAGATGAAAGGATTGACCTAGAATAGAAGGTGAAATGCTTATCCTGTATAGTGTATTAATATACAAAGTTTTATTGAATAATACAATTTTAAGGCTTTGAAGTAATCTAGCTCATTTCCTCATATTGTATATGGGAAACACATGGTTAAATAGGCAAAGTGATACCTAAGTTAAATAGGCAAAGTGATACCTAATTTAAATAGGCAAAGTGATACCTAATTGTATAAACAATTAAGTGGCCAGGTGCGGTGGCTCACACTTGTAATCCCAGCACTTTGGGAGGCCGAGGCAGGCGGATCACGAGGTCAGGAGATGGAGACCATCCTGGCTAACACAGTGAAACCCCGTCTCTACTAAAAATACAAAATATTAGCCGGGCGTGTTGGCGGGTGCTTGTAGTCCCAGCTACTCGGGAGGCTGAGGCAGGAGAATGGCATGAAGCTGGGAGGCGGGGCTCGCAGTGAGCCGAGATCGCGCCACTGCACTCCAACCTGGGCGACAGAGCAAGACTCCGTCTCAAAAAAAAAAAATTATGTAATAATACCAGGAGTACAACCCAGTCTTTCCAACTTCTGTGTTACTGTTTGGACCACCTCATACTGCTACTCCTGCTCATTTCTGTGTATAGTTAGTTGTCCCTTTTTGTTGTTGTTGTTTTGTTTTTTTTTGTTTTTAAGACACAGGGTCTTACTATGATGTCCAGGTTGGCCTTGAACTCCTGGGCTCAAACAGTCTTCCTGCCTCAGCCTCCTGAGTACCTGGGACTACAGGTGCACACTTCTTTTAATAGTGCTCTTACCAAGAACTTCACGTCTTTTCTGTTATTATGTGCTGTTTTGTTCACTGTATCTCAGTCATGAAGGCCTCTGATGAGAAGTAGAATTTCCACCACCGTGATCGGAATAGTTGATTGAAGTACCACCCATAAGCTTTTCCATATTAGTGGCAGAGAGATGGAGGATTATGTACAAAATTAGAGTACTCCTGTAGTTACTAATTTCTTCCTTCTAGGGTAGATTAGTAACAATAGTGGTTGTCATTTATTCCATGTTCTTTTTGTACCTAAAACTATGCTTAGTATTTTATATTCCTTATTTATTTATTTATTTATTTATTTATTTATTTATTTATTTATTTATTTATTTGAGACAGCGTCTTGCTCTGTCGCCCAGGCTGGAGTGCAGTGGCATGATCTTGGCTCACTGCAAGCTTTGCCTTCTGGGTTCACGCCATTCTCCTGCCTCAGCTTCCTGAGCAGCTGGGACTATAGGTGTCCGCCACCATGCCCGGCTAATTTTTTTGTTTTTGTATTTTTAGTAGAGACGGGGTTTCACCGTGCTAGCCAGGATGGTCTCGATCTCCTGACCTTGTGATATGCCCGCCTTGGCCCCCCCAAAGTGCTGGGATTGCAGGCGGGAGCCACTGCAGCTGGCCATCTTACTTAATTTTTATAAGAATCCCCAGAAGGTAGGTTGTGTTAAGATTCAAACTGTATAAATGAGTAAAGTAAAGCGTAATGAGAATAAATAGTTCAAGTAAACAAAGTGACAGAACCAGCATTCAAATTCAAGTATCTCTGACTTCAGAGTTCATGATCTTAACCACTCTACCATACTGCCTTTCTCTGGGTACATAGGAGATATGGCTGTTGGAAGAAGGGTTAATGTAACAATGGCATCCAAAGTACAATTTTGCTTCATAGACCAAAATTCAAAGGTACTCCTACTGTATATAATTCAGTGATGGACTAGATCTAATTTTGTCTTAACTATATTGCTTGGTTACTTATATCTATAAATAAGGTTGTTGAATGTTGACACACAATGCTTTCTTTTTCCATTTCTGTATTCTTACACTACTTTAATGGTGGATTCTGAAGTATTATTTCCTTTTCAGAAAAACCATGCCACATGGATCGTTTGGATCGAATCCTATTGTCTGGCATCTATAATGTACGCAAGGGAAAGACCCAGCTGCATAAGTGGGCTGAGCGCCTAGTTGTCCTCTGTGGTACCTGCCTTATCGTTTCCTCAGTGAAGGATTGTCAAACTGGAAAGATGCACATTTTGCCTCTGGTTGGTGGAAAGGTAAGACTCACAAAGATGAATTATTTTTCATTTGATCATCTTAATTAAGAAAATATCACATAATGCTTTTCATAGCTTTTAGTCATATCTTTTCAAAGAAGCCAGTATGGGCATTATTAAAGATTATATCAGAGACTGTTTCAGAGGTTCAGAGGCTATTATGCCCCAAATCCTGTTGCAGAACTATCTGTTCAAGACATCCCCACCTCCACTGCTAGGCATTAGATTCTGGGGCTCACAATAGCCAGAGTAGACAGTGGATGCTACCATTAGAAGCTGCCTTTGGAAATTAGAAGTAGCTGCCAGCATCCATCACCAAATAGATTCTTTCGGGGTTTTTTTTCCCCCCCAATTAAATTAAAATTCAGAGTCTGAGGTAGTCATAAGTTGTGATCCAGCAGCCAGGGAGCCATGCCATTTCTTCCATCTGTCCTAGAGGAGTCTCCATCCCAGGAAAGGAGTTCACTTGTTAGTCAAACAGAATGAATGACAAATGACCATAAACAGATATGTTAATATTTTTAGGAAGCTATCTATACATGATTTTACTCTGTTTTGAATCTTGACTGTCATAAACCAATCTGAGTTTGTCTGGAAGACTTCCAGACAAAATTACCTCATGAATTCACACTTTGGATCAGGCATCCATTCTGATCCAAATACACAGCAATATTGATAGAATACATGTATGAAAAAGATAAATAAGCTGGGCGTGGTAGCTTGTGCCTGTAATCCCAGCTACTCAGGAGGCTGAGGTGGGAGGATCACTTGAGGCCAGGAGTTTGAAACCAGCCTGAGCAACATTAGCAAGACCCTGTCTTGGCCGGGTGCGGTGGCTCGTGCCTGTAATCCTAGCACTTTGGGAGGCCTAGGTGGGCGGATCACTTGAGGTCAGGAGTTCAAAACCAGCCTGGCCAACATAGTGAAACCCCGTCTCTACTAAAAATAATTTTAAAAAATTAGCTGGGCATGGTGGTGGGTGCCTGTAATCCCAGTTACTTGGGAGGCTGAGGCAGGAGAATCGCTTGAACCTGGGAGGCGGAGGTTGTGGTGAGCCAAGATCATGCCATTGCACCCCAGCCTGGGAGACAGAGCAAGACTTCGTCTCAAAAAAAAAAAAAAAAAAAAAAAAAGCCAGGTGTAGTGGTGTGGCGCCTGAAGTGTCAACTGCTTGGTGGGAGGTTGAGGTGGGAGGAGGATGGCTTGAGCCCAGGAGTTCGAGTTGCTGTGAGCTGTGATCGTGCTACCGTATCCTAGCCTTATGTGACAGAGTGAGTCCCTGTCTCTTAAAAAAAATAATAATAAAAATATGAAAAGACCTAGCTGAGCTTACAAATACAGAATAGAAACATAAAATGATCAGAAGGTCTGTGGGCCTCCTGGGCTCTGGGTCTGAAAGGTTGTGGCAGCCTCGGAATTTGGCTCTTATAAGTATTTAGTAATAGTTTTCTGCTCATAATGGGGGTCCTGGGTTAGTCTTACGGCCTAATGCCAGGCTGGTTGGTATCTTTTGTTTCTGCAAGAAAGCTAAAACAATAACTGCCATTAAGCACTGACTGAAACCAAGGCTTATTTCTAGGTTTGGTCCTAAAGAGGTGGGAGAATCCAGTTACATGGCCTTTGACCAGGAAATGAATGAAATCCCTACTAGTTTAATGAATGAGTGTTTGTAACTCCAGTATCAACCATGGGGCAGGAGCCCACCACTGTCAGTATGAGGTCTTAGGGGCTGAAGGACAAAGTGAAGAAAGTAAGTAGAGTTGCTTGAGAGGGAAAGAGTGAATGAGGACAAGGCTGGGGATTGGTGGAGAGGAAGCAGCAGATAGGGTGAGAGAGAAAATGAACCTACCATTCAAATGAACCTGAAATGTAAACTCCCTCTCACACACATACAAAAAAAAAAAAAAAAACCCACAGAGAAATTTAATACTAGGGAGGATTTCCACAAACTCAACCATCAGAAGATAAACTCACTTCAGATTGAAATGGAAATAAATGAGCAAACGTCTTGAAAATAAATGTGTTTAGAATTTTCTAAGAGAGAATGGAAGAACAAAAATGGAAAACAAATTCAGAAATAAGAATATCTGCCTATGAAAGAGCCAAGTAGAATATTGGAAATAAAAATACAGTTACTAAAATTTAAAACTTAAGTGGTTAAACTCTAGATCAGACAAAGAGAGAATTGATGAAGAGTAATTTTGTGTCTTCTGTTTGCTAATAGAATTTTGTTCAGGGTAGCAATATGCCCAGGATCAAAAACTAAATCTTCTAGCGGAACCCTCTTGTAGCTACTGAGATATACACAGAAGTTTCCTGGAAGGACTTTTGGAAAAGCTCTTTAAAATGGGATAGACTTTTAAAGAGCTTGACCTTTAAAGGTCATAAAGGGATGGCTTGACCCTTTGCCAGTTCCTCAGTGTCAGAGGTGGAGCAGTCATACGATGACTATGAGTTGGCAAACATATGTCCAGTGTAACGTTTGAGGAAGAAGGAGCCTGGGTCCTTGCTGGCCTATGGAGCTGTTAGGCTAGTCCTGGACTGACTCCTCTATTTTTTTTAAGCCACTGTTTAGTAGCTGAATGTAATTAACTGATGTACTGAAGAATTTCACAGATAAAAACTATAAAAGAATCCTTCAGAAAGGCTCTGGTATACATCTAATAGGAGTTCTAGAGAAGAGAGAGGAAGAGAAAAGAGAAATAATATCTGAAAAAATAATAGCTGAACATTTTCTAGAAGTGAAGACAAAATGAGTGTTTAGATGTGGCAATGTGTTTATTAAGTAAAATGTGATACACTCGGGATAAGAGGATAGAGACATCAAATAATCTTAAAATTTATTAGGAAAATTTAACAATAGCCACTAAAATTAGAGGAGGAAAAGAGAATATAGAAGACTTTGTAACGCTAAAATAAGGCAAGAAGAATTGAGAAAAAGGAGCAAAATAACATGTTAAATTTTCACAAATTATAGTGATAGTAATAAATCCGAATATATCAGTAATCATAATGATTGTGATAGTCAGATGTTATTTTAAATACTATTTGCTGTTCATAAGAGACATAATTAAAACTTACTCTTAGAAGGTTGAAGGTGAAATGATGAAAGAATATATACTCATCAAATAGCAATCAAAAGAAAACTGGTGTGGTTATATTAATAGCATATGAGACATTTATATGAAAGTTTATGTGCAACAAAGGACTTGTATTCAGAATATGTAAGGAACTTTTGCAACTAAGTAACAAAAAGACAAACCCATTAAAAAACTGGGCCAAAGATTTGAAGAGACCTGTCACCAAAGCAGATATACAGGTAACAAACACATGAAAAGATCTTCAACCTCAGTCATTAGGGAAATGCAAATAAAAATAATAGTGAGATACGGCACACCACTAGAATGGCTGAAATTAAAAGACTGATGAATAACAAGTTTGGCAAAGATGCGGAGCAACTGGAACATTTATACATCATGGTAGGAATGAAGTTACTTTGCAAAACAGTTATTCATTTTTTGTAAAATTAAACGTGTGCTTTTCAAATAACCCAGTAATTCTGTTTCTAGTTTTTATCCAAAAGAAATGAACATATGTTCTTTAAAAGACTTGTACATGAATGTTCATAGCAGCTTTATTCATAATGGCTAAAAACTAGAAACAACTTAAATGTTCACTGACTTGTGAAGTGATAAACAAATGTGATATATCTATACCAGGAAATACTGCTAAGCGAAAAAAAAAAAAGGGAAAGAACTGCTGATACAAGAACAAGGATAAATCTTAACAGCATAATTCTGAGTGAAAGAAGCCAGATACAAAAGTCTATTTATTGAATTATTCAATTTATATGAAATTCTGAAAAAGGCAAAAAATTGTAGTGATAGAAAACAGATCAGTGATTGCCAGGGCATGGTGGGGAGGGGGCTGACTGTAAAGGAGCACAGAGGGAAGTTTGGGGGCCATGGGGTTGCACACTGTATTTATTCATTTATAAAAACTCATGAAATTGGTTACTTAGTGAATTAAAAAAAAATCAAGGCCAGGCATGGCACAGTGGCTCACACCTGTAATCCTAGCACTTTGGGAGGCTGAGGCAGGAGAATTGTTTGAGTCTAGGAGTTCAAGACCAGCCTGGGCAACATAAATGGGACTCTGTCTCTACAAAAAAATAAAAAATTAGCCAGGAACAATGGCAGACACTTGTAGTTCTAGCTACTCAGGAAGCTAAGGCGGGAGGATCACTTGAACCCGTAAGGTTGAGGCTGCATTGAGCCATGATCACGCCATTGTACTCCAGCCTGGGTGAAGAGTGGCCTGTTTCAAAAAAATACAACAAAAACCAGTGAATTTTATTTTAGGTTATACCTCAGTAAGACTGATCCCCAAAAGGACTTTTTTGTGTGTGTGTTTGAGACAGAGTCTCGCTCTGTCACCCAGGCTGGAGTGCAGTGGCACGATCTCAGCTCACTGCAGCCTCCACCTCCCGGATTCAAGCAGTTCTCCTGCCTCAGCCTCCCAAGTAGCTGGGCCAAAAGGACTTTAATACAAAAAGCATTAGTAAGGATAAAGAGACTCATTACAAAATGATAAAAGGAACATTTTACCATGAATATTTAATAATTCCAAAGTTATATATATGTAACAATATAATTTCAACATCTGTAATACAGAAATTAAAATACTCAGGGAAGTTGACAAATTAACTTACAGTGAGAGATTTACAGATCTGTCTCAGTATTTGACATTATATGATTCTCTGTACTTTTCAATGTCAAGCATTCCAAAATAAAATATTTAAAAGATTATGCTAAAACAGTCAGTATCTATTCTTCATTTCAATAATATTCTTTATTTTGACACAGACTCATTCAGTTGCAATGATTTGTTACTAATGAAAAATGGTTATGTTGTATCACAATTTAATATTGTGAAAATTATTTAATTTTAATGAATCTTTTTAATATGATTCTCTTTTCTGGAAGTATTTTGTTTCTGCCGCTTGGTTCAATCTTCAGTTGGCACAGAAACCTAATGTAAGTTTCCATCTGATTTGCCAAGCTGTGACGTAACAAAGTGAGATACCAGACAAAAAGATGTAAGTGGTTCCATGACTATAAAAAGACTGCTTCCTCATCAAAGCTATATAGGTTGAGTTGTTGGAATTTGGGGGAGAATTTCTTTTTTTGTTTGAGACGGAGTCTCGCACTGTCGCCTGGACTGGTATGCAGTGACGCGATCTTAGCTTGCTGCAACCTCCGCCCCCTGGGTTCAAGCGATTCTCCTGCCTCAGCCTCCCAAGTAGCTGGGATTACAGGAGCCCGTGACCACACCCGGCTAATTTTTTGTATTTTTAGTAGAGACAGGGTTTCACTATGTTGATCAGGCTCGTCTCGAACTCCTGACCTCGTGATCCGCCCGCCTCGGCCTCCCAAAGTGCTGGGATTACAGGCGTGAGCCACCACGCCTGGCCGAGAATTTCTTTAAGGAGCTATTTTTGTGCTGTGAATTCCTGCCACCGCTCCAATAGGAATGGGGGAGGTTTTTGCCTCTTTTCTCAAGCCTAGTAAAGAGATTTGAATTGGACTGAAGAGGACTTGTTAAGAGTTCCGTGCAGTAAGGGGGACATAGTGGACTGGTATCCTGCTTCCTGACCTGCAAGTCCTGAGGACAAGAGGTGCTACCCAGCTGCTGGTGATAGAGCAAAAGCACAGCTAATGTGTTGGGATCATTGTGTACTCCTTGGGTGTGTTCATGTGTGACCCATTGGCAGATGGAGGGGGACAAGGAGGGAGAGAGAAAAAATAAAAAATAACTATTTTTAAAAATTCAGTTGTTCGTCTTGTGATTGCCTTTTGCTTTTTGACTAGGATTTTTTTTTTTAGTGGTTCTGGTTTTCTCCCCTCCTCTTCTTCAGATAGAAGAAGTGAAGCGACGGCAATACTCCCTTGCTTTCAGCTCAGCAGGAGCCCAAGCTCAGACCTATCATGTCAGCTTCGAGACTTTGGCCGAGTACCAGCGATGGCAACGGCAAGCATCCAAGGTGAAAAGTAATGGGATGTTCTGATGTGGAGATAAGAATAGAGAACCCTAGGCCGGGCGTGGTGGCTCACGTCTGTAATCCCAGCACTTTGGGAGGCCGAGGTGGACGGATCACCTGAGGTTGGGAGTTCGAGACCAGTCTGACCAACATGGTGAAACCCTGTCTCTACTAAAATACAAAAAATTAGCTGGGTGTGGTGGCATGCACCTGTAGTCCCAGCTACTCGGAAGGCTGAGGCAGGCGAATCGCTTGAATCCGGGAGGTAGAGGTTGCAGTGAGCCGACATCGCGCCACTGCACTCCAGCCTGATGACAGAGCAAGACTCTATCTCAAAAAAAAAAAAAAAAAAAGAGTACCTCAAGAGAAATGTATTTTGAAACTGATGGCCGGGTGCAGTGGCTCATGCATGTAATCCTAGCACTTTGGGAGGCTGGGGCAGGTGGATCACCTGAGGTCGGGAGTTTCAGACCAGCCTGACCAACATGGAGAAACCCCGTCTCTACTAAAAATACAAAATTAGCGGGGTGTAGTGGCACATGCCTGTAATCCCAGCTACTTGGGATGCTGAGCTGCAGGAGAATCGCTTGAACCCAGGAGGCGGAGATTGCAGTGAGCCAAGATCATTCCATTGCACTCCAGCCCGGGCAACAAGAGCAAAAGTCCGTCTGAAAAAAAAACAAAAGACAAGAAAAGAAACTGAACTTATTCCCAAGATAGCAAATTATAATTTTTAATTTCCTTTCTAGGCCTTTTCTGAGTATATAATGAGTAAAATCATGGAATTCCACCAGGTCTTTAACTTATTTATATGTGCATAGTACAAAATGCTGTCAAAAATGTTTGCAGGTGCATTTTCCTCTGTACTGTCTGTGGGAGTTAGGGCCTTAGAAGGAATTAAGACACAAAGAGATTTGACCTTTGAAGGAATTGAGATACAATGAGATTTAAATGACCTTCCCTCAACCGTAATAGTCAGTGATAGATGGATTCATTCCATAACTTGGGTCCCAGTGCTTCTTGGTCTGCATATGTTCAGAACAGCCTTGGTGAATTACTTCAAATGTGCAGTTATTGATGGGACAGTGACCTCTAATGCTGCCACAAACCATTATTCCTATATGCCAAGGATAATTAGTCTTTCAACATAATTTCTGCACTTTAGCCTTTGAAAAGCAATAAAGTGTATTGTGATTTCCAAATTCTCTTTTTCTTCTAGCCATCTTTGCAGGATTTTGTATAAGAGATTGTTATAGTATAAGGACATGCCATCAAAACATGAATGACTTTTCTTTTCCTTTTTTTTTTTGGAGACAGAGTCTCACTGTCACCCAGGCTGGAGTGCAGTGGTATAGTCTTGGCTCACTACAACCTTTGTCTCCTGGGTTCAAGCAGTTCTCCTGCCTCAGCCTCTTGAGTAGCTGGGATTACAGGTGTGCGCCATCACGCCCAGCTAATCTGTGTATTTTTAGTAGAGACAGGGTTTCACCATGTTGGCCAGGCTGGTCTCGAACTCCTGACCTCAGGTGATCCGCCCGCCTTGGCCTCCCACAGTGCTGGATTATGGTGTGAGCCACCACGCCTAGCCATGAATGACTTTTCTAGTGATATATTGTTTCTTTTTTTAGATCAATTTTTATAACCCATATTATATTAGCATACTATTATAGAACTATCAAGCTTGTTTTGATTTTATTGACTATTTTACAGTTATATTGTGTTGGCTATAAAATCTGGCTATAAAACTAGTCCCAGTTTTAAGTACCTATTCCATTCTTCTGCCCTTTTAAAGAGAAGTTAATATTTTTTGAGTGTCTTTTGCATGTTTAGCAGTGTGCTGTGTGCTTGGTTATTTACTTTTATCCTCAAAACAGGTGAAGAAACTGCTGATAAGTAGCAGAGCTAGTGTGGCTACAGAAGGCCATGTCTTTTCATATCACACTGCCTCTTAAAGTTTTTTCCATTTATTTCGAATCATCTTAAGATAACTTCTTGCGACCGGGTGCTGTGACTCACGCCTGTAATCCCAGCACTTTGGGAGGTTGAGGTGGGTGGATTACCTGAGGTCAGGAGTTCGAAACCAGCCTGGCCAACATGGTGAAACCCCGTCTCTACTAAAAATACAAAAATTAGCCTGGCATGGTGGCACAGGAGAATTGCTTGAGCCCAGGAGACGGAGGATGCAGTAAGCTGAGATCGTGCCACTGCACTCCAGCCTGGCTGACAGAGCAAGACTCTGTCCCAAAAAAAAAAAAAAAAACCCAAAAACAAAACAAACAAAAAAGATTACTTCTTGCATGAAGTGTTAACTTTCCATCTTTAATGATATGTGTTTTTTTTTAACCTTGTACTTATAGAGACTTTATAATTTATACCCTTGTTTTTCAAGCAGCTTATGGTTTTAGGAAAAAGTAAAAATTAACTGGTATTTATAAATGAATAATTGGATCTTATTGCCTTTTTTTTCCTATCTTTTTAATTAGCGTCTTTTTGTGTAAATGCCATTCCATTCTTTGCTGGGTGATAGACATCCAGTACTAGCTCAGAAGGCTCTTCTCTTTGACATTATTCAGGTGGTGTCCCAGCGAATCAGTACCGTGGATCTCTCGTGTTACAGCCTCGAGGAGGTTCCTGAGCATCTCTTCTATAGTCAAGATATTACCTACCTCAACTTGCGACACAACTTCATGCAGTTAGAAAGACCCGGAGGCCTCGATACACTCTACAAGTATGTGGAGAATGGGTTTCCAGACTAACCTGTTAAAACCAACTCATAATCAGTATCTTATGGCTTCTACCTGCTACCATTGTATGTATATTCTAAAATTTCCCCTCCCTTTTGAAGAGGAAGTAAAAATGTTTATTCACAGAGTTCTCCTACCTGCCCTTTCCCCCCATAAAACAGAAGATTGATGTAAATGTTCTGTGAGCTTCTGTTGATCTGGGTAATCTTTTCATGTGAATCATTGACACCGATGTATGATCTGCTGCCAAGTTACATCAGGAGATTTAGTATACGGGAAATTTTTGAATTAGAAGTATAAAATTTCAGTAACTTAAAGGAGATAGGCCTAATTATAAGAATTTCACTCTGAGAGACAAGGCTCTATCTTCTCTTTGTACCTTCCACTGCCAACTCTTATGCGTTTAGTCAGCTGTGAAGCTTCTCTGTTCTAATACAGGAACCATTTTAGCCCTACAGTACTATGACCTACTTGTTATTCCATGTCCTTTATTAAAATATATACCCCATTCCCACACTCCACTCATCCCACCTCATTCCTCCACTTAAAAATGGACGCAGTGAATAAATATGTGTTGTAAGTAATTGTCTGGGCTTCTGGAGGAGAAGGGAGAAATTGGAAATTAAAGCATTCAAAGTGATTTAAATTAGATGGTGACTAAAAAGATAATATACATTAAAATGACATATTTTACGTACTTCCTTAATAGCTAATAATTCTAATGTCCAGAAAATGTTGTTTTTTTAATCTCATCTGATAATTGTTTTAGAAAGTGTTTCAAGTATAAGCCTCTGTTTAGTAATGAGGTAGTTATTTTAGTAATATTGGCATGTAAAAATGAAAACAAGCAATAATTTTAAGGAAGTTGGTTTCTAGCATTTCTTTGTGAGTTGCTATGAAAAAGAATTAGTCCAGTTTGAGGGCTGTATCATAAATTCTGAATTTAAAGCACCAAGCCAAAGGAATAATCAGTAATCAAGGTTAGGTCATCCGGAAATCAGAAGTTGAAAATTTGGAAGAGAAGCGTTACAGTGAGGTACCAGGGATTCAAATCTAAAAGTAGGTGATAGATCATCATCATGGAGAACATCTCAGCCTTACCATCTTGCACTTGTATAATAACGAAGTATCCTACTCCCCAGTGGAATTACCAGAGTCTCTCATAAAAAGTTCTTAGTAATGAAACCTTTAACATCTTAATTATAATGCAGTGGATATCAAGAAGAAACCCAGGAGATCCATTTTATAACAATGCTATCTCTGGGTAAGACAATATAGATACTTTTACTTCCATGAACAAAATAGAAGCACTAAAAATTATTTTGTGTTGTGTATCAGGTCACATAATGGTAAAATGCTGTCACATTTGTATTTTCAAGCTCTAACTGGTTTATTCATTTTATGTGACATTTTAGCCAACATAATTTCAGTATGAAAGTAGAAGTTGCTTATAAATGGGATTTGATCTACCTATTTGTTAGCTATTGCTCTGTCTATGAGTTGATTAATTCTTGCAAGGATTTTGTATATTACATGTAGAAATTTAATAATGGAAAAAGATTTCAAGCATATCAAGTATGAAGAAATACAAAAGAATTGTACCAGCAAGAGCTGTTCTTCAAGATTGTCTACCTTTTTTCTTTTTTTTTTTTGAGACAGAGTCTCACTCTGTGGCCCAGGCTGGAGTGCAGTGGCGCAATGTCGGCTCACTGCAAGCTCCGCCTCCCGGGTTGATGCCATTCTCCTCCCTCAGCCTCCCAAGTAGCTGGGACTACAGGTGTCTGCCACCACGCCCGGCTAATTTTTTCTGTTTTTTAGTAGAGATGGGGTTTCACCAAGTTAGCCAGAATGGTCTCGATCTCCTAACCTCGTGATCCACCTGCCTCGGCCTTCCAAAGTGCTGGGATTACAGGTATAAGCCACTGCATCCGGCCAAGATTGTCTTCCTTTTTAAGGAGAAAAGAGAGCTCCTGTAATGCTAGACGTGGTTTCCTTCATCACATGGACTGTGAATTAGTCATCTTGGTGTCCTCTGTCCCCACTCAGTGTTTGATATGCAGCGAGTGCTCAATAAGTATTTTTGGAATAAATTCTATTATAGACATTTAAAATAGATATCAAAGGCCGTTGATGTCCCTTGTAAAGATACAGTAATAGATGTATTGAAATGCAATACCCATTTTTGCCTTTGCTCTTTAGATTTTCTCAACTGAAGGGCCTGAACTTGTCCCATAATAAACTTGGGTTGTTTCCTATATTGTTATGCGAGATCTCTACCCTGACTGAGCTCAACCTTTCCTGTAATGGATTTCATGACCTACCAAGTCAAATTGGCAATCTGCTAAAGTAAGTAACTTTTACTAGATTCCTCTTTTCCCTTGCAGAATAAGGAACTTGCCTGGGGTTTGGAATGAAGGTAGTATCTTGAACTCTTGCAGTGAACTATATCATGTACTACTTAGGATTCTAGTCAGCAGCAGTTTTTGACCTCAGAGATATACCTGCCCATAGCAGTGACTGATCCCTCAGCTTCAACAGCAGCGGTCTTAACTCTTTTAATGTTGGAGGGACCATTTGTTTAAGTTGTGTGTAAATCATCTATTAAGTCTGCATAGATGGAGAGTTAGGACACTTTACTATTTTGGGATTGATAATAAATTAGTGACATAAATCAGAATCCCTAACTCTGATTCTGTGCATTCCAGTGAAACCTTTCATAAAGTAGACTTGTTTTGTTTTCTTCCTATAGTCTTCAAACCCTCTGTCTTGATGGCAACTTTCTGACTACTTTACCTGAAGAATTGGGAAATCTACAACAGCTTTCCTCCTTGGGAATTTCCTTCAACAACTTTAGTCAAATTCCTGAGGTTTATGAGAAACTCACTATGTTAGATAGAGTGGTTATGGCAGGAAATTGCCTGGAAGTCCTGAACTTAGGGGTGCTGAATAGGATGAACCATATCAAGCATGTGGATTTAAGGTAAGGTTATTCTTTACCACACCTTCCTTTAAATTGACTCTGGTGGACCTTTATGTCTTCTGTTTATGAAGATTTGTTTAAAACATTAGGGTTTTTAAAATTTTGTTGTTGTTTTGAGACAAGGTCTCACTTTGTCACCCAAGCTGGCATACAGTGGCACGATCTCGGCCCACTGCAGTCTTGACCTCCCGTTCTCAGGCGATTCTCCCACCTCAGCCTCCCGAGTAGTTGGGACTTCAGGTGCGCACCACGAGGCCTGGCTAATTTTTTTCTACTTTTAGTAGAGATGAGGTTTCACCATGTTGTGCAGGCAGGTCTCGAACTCCTGGACTCGAGCAGTCCACCCACCTCAGCCTCCCAAAGTGCTGGGATTACAGCCACCGCACCTGGCCCATAACTTTAGGTTTTTTGAATAGTGTAGAAATATATGTTTTCAAAGGTATAGTAAGACTTTATTTATCACTCAGTAGCAGAGAGATTAAGGATCAGGTAGTTGTACCATGTGATAGAGACTATCAAATTGCCTTTGACAAAGATTGTTCTCACTTACCCTCCCATCAGTGTATATTTTTTATTTTAAAAATTTTTTATAGAGATGGGGTCTTGCTGTGTTGCCCAGGCTGGTCTTGAACTCCCTGGCTCAAGTAATCCTCCTGCCTTGGCCTCCTAAAGTGTTGGGATTACAGGTGTGAGCCAGTGTGCCCGACCCCTCCACCATTTTATGAGAATTCCCATTTTCTCATATCTTTGTCAGTATTGGATTTTAGCATTTCTTTTTATTTATCATCAGTCTAGTAGGTTGAAAAAAGTATTTCATTGTTTTAATCAACGTTTATTTACATAGCAGTGAGGTTGAACATCTTTTTATATGTATATTAGTAGTTTGTAGATTTCCATAAATGACCATTTTTCTGTTGAGTCATTGGGTTTCTTCTTGATACCCATTGTATTACAATTAAAATGTTAAGGGTTTCATTACTAAGAACTTTTTATGAGAGTTTTATTTTCTAGTCATAATATTTTCCTAAAGGAAGCTGGTAAAAAGACACCTACTGGATGTTCTGTTATTTACAGTAAGCCATTGATGTAGCTTGTAAAGACAGTAAGAGAGTTTTTTTTTTTTTTTAAACCACACTGGAGACTTAAGAGAGAGATTTATAGAAATACAGGAAAGTGAGAATAGACCTGCATAAATTAAATCATACACCTGTGTAGAAAAAACCCAGAGGTCATTTTCTATAATTTGCCTTTGAACTCTTCCATATATATATATATATATATATATATATATATATATATATGTGCAGATTATTTCCTTGTCTGTTAATTAATTTTATGTTTGAACCTTAGCTCTAGAGATAGAGCAGGCATAGCAACAGGAAGAAGTATGGCTCCATCCTTATACTCTGGACATGGTACTGTTGTGACTGCTTTGCTACTCACTGACTCAAAAGGTTGTGTTCATCTTCCTGTTCCTTTGTCCTACTTAGTGCCCACCTGACATTATTAGGTATTTGGATATAAGTGTTTAACTGTTCGTAGATATGGCCTCTTTTTTCCTTCTCTTTATTAATTTGTATACGTATTTGCCAATTTGGATTGTCTAACTTAGCTGTACCTTGAGTTATTCATCAACTAATTATTTATATAGTACCTTGCAAAATGAGGCGAGTAGTGAAATTCTTAAGTTGTTTAGGAAACAGAGAAAGGGGGCCGGGCACGGTGGCTCATGCCTGTAATCCCAGCACTTTGGGAGGCCGAGGCAGGCAGATCATCTGAGGTTAGGAGTTCAAGCCTGGCCAACATGGTGAAACCCCAGCTCTACTAAAAATACAAAAAATTAGCCTGGCATGGTGGGGGTGATTCTAATCCCAGCAACTTGGGAGGCTGAAGCAGGAGAATCGCTTTAACCTGGGAGGCAGAGGTTGCAGTGAACCGAGATCACGCCATTGCACTCCAGCCTGCGCAACACAGTGAAACTCCATCTCAAAAAAAAAAAGTAAACAGAGAAAGGGATCATACCTGTCCTATTTTTTATTTTTATTCTGGTAAGCACATTTAATAGACTCTTATTTATGATTATTTTCTTGTTTCTGCGTATTAAGGATGAACCATTTGAAAACCATGGTTATTGAAAATCTGGAGGGAAATAAACACATCACCCACGTGGATCTGCGGGACAACCGACTGACTGACTTGGATCTTAGCTCCTTATGCAGCTTGGAACAGCTGCACTGTGGGCGGAATCAGCTGAGGGAGCTAACACTCAGTGGCTTTTCCCTTCGGACCCTCTATGCCAGTTCCAACAGTGAGTTTTCTCTGCAGCCTTTTGTTTTTTCTCTTTCAGCTGTTGTCAGTGCTTTCTGAGAACAGTGGCACCTGTGGTGTTCCTCAGCCACTCTGCAGGATGGGGTTTGTGGCTCATTGAGGCAAAGCTTTATCTCTTCACTTTGCTGTCAATACTTAAGTGGTTGCAGTGTGCATAAAAAGACATGGCAGGATACTTTGAGCTTTACTAATTGAGCATAATAAGAGGCATTCCACAGAATAGTGGTGGTGGGGAGGTGGGCAAGCATGTTCAAAACAGAGCATCAATAATAGTCTAAAACAGGTTGGCAAACTATACCCCAGGACTGCATCTGGCCTGCCACCTCTTTTTTTATGGCCCATACGGAATGGTTTTTACATTTTTCTAATGGTTGGGTAAAAAAAAAAGTCAAAAGGAGAATTTTGTGGCCAATCATGGGGGCTCATGCCTGTAATCCCAGCACTTTGGGAGGCTGAGGTGGGCTGATCACCTGAGCTCAGGAGTTCGAGATTAGCCTGGGCAACATGGTGAAACCCCATTTCTACAAAAAATACAAAAGTTAGCCAGCATGGTGGCAAACCTGTGGTCCCAGCTACTCAGGAGGCTGAGATGGGAGGATCACTTGAGCCTGGAAGGCAGAGGTTACAGTGAGCTGAGACCGTGCCATTGCATGTTCTCATGAGAGAACTGGGTGAGACTTGTGAGACCCCATCTCAAAAAAAGAAAGAAGAATTTTGTGACATGTGAAAATTACTATGAAATTCAAGTTTCTATGTTTCTGAATGAAGTTGTACTGGAATGCAGCCACAGTGGTTTGCTTGCATATTGTTTATACATTCTTGCTCTTGTGCTACAGTGGCAGAATTGAATAGTAGTAAGAGAGACTGTGATATGGTCCGCAAAGCCTAAAATGTTTACTATTTAGCCTTTTACAGAAAAAGTTTGCCAATTCGTGGTTTAAAAGCTTGTGTAGCCTCAGTGCTAGAATGAGAAGCCACTGATTTCAATAGTGATTTGCTCTAAGAATATTTTTCAATGAAAAGGTCCTCATATTTGTCGAGGCCATTCTTTTTATGGAAAGTTCTTTACCTTTGTTTACTTTTGATATGTGTTTAAGGAAGGAAAGGAAAATAGGTTAAATTTTACTGTCAGAAAAATGCAAATGTAAATAATAACATTTTATACTCATCACATTTAAAAAAAGGTAATTCTGAGTGTTTCCAGAGGCGAGGAGAAGCATCTTCCTGAGCACTCACACACTGCCAGTGAGAGGTGACTGGTAAAACCACCCCAGAGAGTAATGTGACAGTGTTAGAGATGTCGAGACACACACATACCATATTCTAGAAGTTTCCTGATTGGGATATATCCCAAAGACACCCACATGTGCACAAGGAGATGTATAACAGATTGTTTATCACTTTTTGTGAGCATGAAAAAGTAGGATTTTGAGACGGAGTCTAGCTCTGTTGCCCAGGCTGGAGTGCAGTTGCCTGGTCTCAGCTCACTGCAACCTCTGCTGCCCAGGTTCAAGCGATTCTCTTCTCTTAGCCTCCTGAGTAGCTGGGATTACAGGAGTGTGCCACCATGCCCATCTAATTTTTGTATTTTTAGTAGAGACATGGTTTCACCATATTGGCCTTGCTGTTCTTGAACTCCTAACCTCTAGTTAGCTGCCCACCTCAGCCTCCCAAAGGGTTGGGATTACAGGTGTGAGCCATTACACCCGGCCTAAAAGTAGGATTATTAATAGGAAAATGGGCAAATCGGTAGTGATATATTCATGCAATAGAATATTGCACAGCAGTGAAAATGAATGTACTAAAGCTTTGCATGGTAATATGGATAAATTGCACACTTTTTTTTGAGCAAGGAAAAGTGCATAATTAAATGTATATTGTGATAGTTATATCAAAATTTAAAACACTCACAGAAATATTGTTTTCTTCGTTATAAATATGCCATAACTATGAAAGAATACATGAGAGTGATGAAAACCATATTCAGGATGATGTTTACTCTTGGTATGTGTGGTATTTTAATTCTTTAAAAAAAAAAAAAAAAGTCTGGGCCTGGCACAGTGGCTCAAGCCCGTAATCCCAACACTTTGGAGGCCTAGGTGGGCAGATCACCTGAGGTCAGGAGTTCAAGACCAGCCTGGCTATTATGGTGAAACCCCATCTCTACTAAAAATACAAAAAATTAGCTGGGCATGGTGGCGCGTGCCTGTAATCCCAGCTATTCGGGAGGCTAAGGCAGGAGAATTGCTTGAACCCCGGAGGTGGAGGTTGCAGTGAGCCAAGGTCATGCCATTACACTCCAGCTTGGGCAACAAGAGCAAAGCTCCATCTCAAAAAAAAAAAAAAAAGTCTGCCACATATAAAGCAGAATGTAGGTTTGTTAAAAGCTATATGATAGGTGAAAGAGGGTTCATTATTTTATGCTCTTTATTTTTCTGTATCTGTAAACTAGATTATACAGATAAAAGTTGAGGACTTCTGTTTGCGTTGCCTTTTATTATGTTATAGAAGCTTCAAATTGTAGCTTAGATTAATTGCTTGGTCAGAAGAGTGTTAAAACTGGTGAGTGTTGACTTATGCTGTTTATAGATGCCTGACATTGTAGTAAGTCCTAGCTGTGGAGATTTTTGTTATCAGGCCCATCCCTATCCTTAATGTGTCTAAACAGTGAATTCCTGGCCCTACTGGAAAAGACCTCATCAACAGGCACACAGTCCTAAATATTTACTCTTTGTAAATATTTAAGTATGTACAGATAAATGAAATATTTTAATAGTATTTAAATACTTAAATACATGAAAAAGTCACCAGGATTCTATCACAGCAGTTAACTGAACAGGGCTTGTTTGAGGTCTGCTACTCCGTTTACAAAATCCTTAAATTCTACAACCTGGAAGAATTCACATAAAAACTTGCAGTTTTGATGCCTCAAAGTCAAGAACTCTGCTTTACAAAAAGAAGTTATCTAAATGTGATCAGTTAATATAGGGAAAGCACTGAACTTGACTAGTCATCAGGGATATGCAAATTGAAACTCCTGCGTGGCACCACTATACACCTACCAGAATGACTAGAATGGAAAGGCCTAAAAATCCCAGGGGCAGCTGTTGGAGTGTAAATTGGTACAACCACTTTGGAAAACTGTTCAGTAGTATCTGCTAAGGTGAACAGAAACATACCCTGTACCCAGCAGTGCCTCTTCTAGGCTTACGTTCAATATAAGGACTTATATTAGTCCACAAAAGACACGGACAAATATGTTCACAGAAGTACTATTCATAGTAACTGCAGACTGGAAAAGACTTAACATGTCATCAACTCTAAAATGGGCAAATAAATTGTGGTATATTCACATAAAATAATTTTTTACAGGCATGAGAATGAATGAGCTATAATCATATGCAACTGTATAAACAAATCCTGTAAGCATATTGTGGAGTGAATGAAGCCAGACAAGTAAATTATACATACTGTGTGCATATATTTATGTAGATAGGCAGAAATAATTATACATACTGCATGCATATGTTTACATAGATAGGCAAAAGTAATTATACATACCGCATGCATATATTTATGTAGACAGGTAAAAGTAATTTGGTACTTGGAGTCAGGACTCCTTGAGGGGAAGTGACTGGAAAGGGAAACATGGGGCAGTTCCCAGGGAGCTGGTAATGTTCTGTTTCTTGATCCGGGTGTTGGTTCCACTAGTGTGTTCAGTTTGTGAAAATTTACTGAATTGTTGCACTCTTCTGTATTTTTGTTATACTTCAATTAAAAGTTAAAATATTGCCAGTAAAAGTCTAATTATTTTTATCAAGTTAAAAAGCTAAGTAGTTACTGTTAACATTTAACTACTGCTTAATATTGTATAAAGGCAGTGCAGTACACAGGATCCTTCAATTAGCTGTTACATTTGTTTTTCAAGACAAATTGGGATCAGTTAGTCAAAGTGAGTTTTCAGTAGTTTTTGTCTTTAGCTCATCTTGGTAGAATACATCAGTTTTCTCTCTGGTGATTTCACTAAGCTACTTTTCCATTGTCAGCTCTCAGTTACTTTCTTTTTTAGAGGATGTCACTAACACCTGTTTGTTTTTGGATTAGGGCTGACAGCAGTGAACGTCTATCCAGTACCCAGCCTGCTCACTTTCTTGGATCTCTCCCGGTGAGTGTCTTTCATGAGGGTGGCGCTTGCTTCTTACTATTTAAGAGATACATGTGGATTTTTTGGCAGTTTTGATGTACAAGAAATCTAAGTATTTTGAAATACTTGGATAACCTGGAAAAAGGAGAAAGGATGAATGGACGAATAAGTTTAATAGCCTTACTGTATAAAGGAAGGATTCTCTTGAAATAGTAAGGTGTCTGTGAATTACTCTTTCTTAAAGACTATAGATGTAGGATGAGATGCAAACAAGGAAGACCTGTTATCTTCAAGGCACTGATTCCCGTTTTGTCAGTTGGAATCAGATAATTCTTGATTTTTAGATAGTGGGTGTTTGTTTGTTTGTTTGAGACGGAGTCTTGCTCTGTCGGCCAGGCTGGAGTGCAGTGGCGTGATCTCGGCTCGCTGCAAGCTCTGCCTCCCGGGTTCACGTCATTCTCCTGCCTCAGCCTCCCGAGTAGCTGGGACTAAAGGCGCCCACCACCACGCCTGGCTAATTTTTTGTTTTTTTAGTAGAGATGGGGTTTCACTGCATTAGCCAGGATGGTCTGGATCTCCTGACCTTGTGATCTGCCTGCCTTGGCCTTCCAAAGTGCTGGGATTACAGGCGTGAGCCACCGAGCCCAGCCAGATAGTGGGTTTTTAAAATATTATTTAATTTTTTTGTACTCCTATAACTCATGTTGGTCTTATTTTTGAAGGGACATTAATTATATTCAGGATTTTATTACTTTTTATTCATTTATAACCACTGTTGGGCATTCTGGGTTCAGCGGTAGAGTTTTGCAGTCTAGTGGCAAGATGAACAATCAAACAAGCAGTGACAGGGCAGCATCCTAAGTGCTGTGAGTACAGGGTGCCCAAAGCAGATCAAAGGGGCAGTGGGCAGGGTCCTATTTGGTCAGGGTTGTTGTGAAGACTGAGTGAGATGATAAATGCAAAATGCATAAGATAGTACCTGACGTGTAGTCATCTCAAGAAATACTAACTGTTGTAGCCAGGTTTCTTTTTGTTGATTTCGTTACTTTATCATTATCATTTTAAGCTAATGTTTTAGATTCCCTTCCATTTCTTCCTGCTTATCTTCCCAGCAAAACCCCAGCATGGATCAGTACTAAAATTTTACCTTTTCCGTTGAGCTTGATCATTGCCGAAGAAAATCACATCCAAGTAGACACCACTACAAACTCAAAATTTCCAACCTCATCTGGAGCTTATTGGTTCTTTGTCTTGCCAGCTCCTTCCAGTGTCCTCAGCATCTACCTCCCTCAGTGTCCCCCTCCCCAGTCTCCTCCATGCTGGAACTTAGCTTCCTACTTGATTGGGAAAATAGAGGCCATTGTGGGCAATTTCCCTCAGCTTCCAAACACCCACCTTGCTTGAATTTATATAGATGCGTATTCATTCTCAGCTTCTCTCCTCTGTTCATGGCCAGTCCAGCTGTCTGTGCCTGTGACTCCTCCACTCCCACTGCCCTGGACCTTGCACTGTTCGTCGTCATTATTGTCCTCCTCTCTCCCCCTCCTCTTCCCCTCCTCTCGTGTGTGTGTGTGTGTGTGTGTGTGTTTTCAGCCTCTTTTTTCTTAGTCTGTACACATACTTTGTCTCTTCTGTCATAACAAAGTTCCCTTTACCTCACAATCCCCCTAACTATTTTCTTAATTCCTTTCTTCCCCCTTTTGTCCAAATTTCTCAAGAATTATGTGCATTTGTTGGCTTAGTTTCTTCAGTCCCCATCTGCTTATCCCTCTAACAGCTCAGTTTAGTTCTGCTCTTATTGGAACTTTTCTGTGTTGACACAGTTAATTTTGCTCTCTTTTCTCCAAACATGCTTTTTCCTTGGCTAGCTAATACAGTCTGATTTTTTTTCATGCCACTTTGGCCATGTTTCTTTTGCATACCCTTCTTCCTCAGCTAGCCCTTTAAAGGTCGATTATCCCCAAGGTTCTGTCCTTGGTCTGCTATACTTCATTGGACGTGACCTCATTTACTGCAGTTATTTCAGCTACACTCAGATCTCCAGCCCAGGCCGTCTCCTCCGGGTGCTCCAGCATCACCAAGCTGCTTGTTATTCCCCATACACATCATATGTTTCTTCTCTTGCCTCTGTGCTCTAGCTCATGTTGCCACCCTGTGCTTGGAATGTGCTCCTCACCTCAGGCCTTTGTACAACATCTTCATATTCTAACCCACATATTTCTTAGAGAGCTTGTTTTGATCCATTTTAGGTAAAGGGTTTCCTTCACTAAGGTATAGCAATATGTGTGTTTCTCTTACATAGCGCTGCTTCATTCTGCCTCATTATATCGCTTGATAAACCTGTAGATACCTTGAGGCCTAGAGAAGCTGTCACATCTGAAAAAAAATTCTCTTGACTAAATATCTGCCTAGTGCTCTACTAATTATTTGAGCTCACATTCTAAATGGTTTGAAACTTTTCCCCCACTAGTTATCTTTTGCTTCTACTGTCTCACTTGTATTCATTCTGTTAATTTTCCCTGGAATTTGCTTCTCTTCTCACCCAGTCATTACCTGTGGAAGTCTTAACTCATCTTTGAAGGTTTGTTAATTATAATTCCTTGTCTTTCCCTCATCCCATCCCACCACAAGTGTGCTTTTCTATTGCAGAAAGCCTTTTTATCTTCTTTGAGCATGCAACATAATTGATCCAGTATTATACATTTTCAGGTACTTGTCTCTCCTCTCCCTTCTAATTCAGCAGCATTCAATGAGCACCTACTATATTCCAGGCAGTGTTCCAAGGGATGCCTTGGAGACAGTGTTCCTGCCCTCAAGGGCTCACAGGCTGGTTAATGGATACATTATAGCCTACTGAAATGAGTTCCACTTGTCATCTTAAATGGTGCCATTTAATTATTTATTTTCTGCAGAAACCTGCTAGAGTGTGTCCCTGACTGGGCCTGTGAAGCAAAGAAGATAGAAGTATTAGATGTGAGCTATAATCTTCTCACAGAGGTTCCCGTGAGGTATGTGTGCCTGGATGCATATATTATGTATATACTAACATTTACGTGTGTGCGTATTTAAATTTTTTTCTAGATTTGGGTTGCCTTTTATTTGTTCAGTGTGTTGAGTACCTGCTGAGCATGAGGCAGTGTGATGTGCTGTAAGGAACATAGTAAAGGCTAAAGCATGGGCTTGGCTTGCAAGGAACTTAATGAGAAGATAGTGTAACATATGTGGATAACTGTGATGAAATAAATACACTAAGAGTTGCTGCCATAGGTTGGTGACATGATAGTAATAATAGTTAATTTTTATAGGATGAGCTATTATAAGCTGAGCAATGTTCTAAGAACATCACTTTTATGATCTTACCTAATCCTTTAAAAACCTTATCATATATTTAATAGGTGCTGTTATCTTCATCTTAGAAATGAGGAATGTAAAGCTTAGAGCAGTTAGGTAACTTGTTGAAGGTTACACTTAACCAGGAAGTGACGGGAGCTGGCATTTGAAGGTAGTCTTTTTTTTTTGGAGACAGGGTCTCATTCTGTCACCCAGGCTGGAGTGTAGTGGCACAGTCACTCCTCACTGCAGCATCAACCTGCTGGGCTCAGGTGATTCTCTGTCCTCAGCTCCCCCTCAGTAGCTGGGACTATGGGTGCACACCACCACACCCAGCTAATTTTTGTATTTTTAGTAGAGACGGGGCTTTGCTATATTGGCCACACTGGTCTCAAACTCCTGGGCTCAAGCAATGGGCCCATCTCAGCCTCCCAAAGTGTTGAGATTACAGGCGTGAGCCACCACACCTGGCCTTGGATGTAGTCGTTTTTACTCCAGAGCCTTCACTCTTTTTTTTTTTTTTTTTTTTTTTTTTTTGAGACAGAGTCTCGCTCTATCGCCCAGGCTGGAGTGCAGTGGCGCGATCTCGGCTCACTGCAAGCTCTGCCTCCTGAGTTCACACCATCCTCCTGCCTCAGCTTCCGGAGTAGCTGGGACTACAGGCACATGCTGCCACGCCCGGCTAAATTTTTTTTTGTATTTTTAGTAGAGAACGGGGTTTCACCGTGTTAGCCAGGATGGTCTCGATCTCCTGACTTTGTGATCTGCCCGCCTCTGCCTCCCAAAGTGCTGGGATTACAGGCATGAGCCACCACCCCCGGCCAGAGCCTTCACTCTTAATCACTACACTGTATAAATTAAATGGAGAAAATCAGAAGAAATTTGAATAATTAGGGAATGTTTCATGGAGAAGATGGCATTTGAATTGACCTTTACTAGATGATGGGATTTTTCTAAGTGGTGGGAGAAAGAGAGTGGGGCTTGGTGAAGGCGGCAGGGAATGATACATTCCAAAGCATTGAGGTATAAAATGTTATTTTCTATGGAGTCTTTAAAATTAAACTAGAGGCGTTTAACATACTAAATATGAACACAATCTTTGGAGTCAAACCTTAATTCAAGTCCAGACTTTACCATTTACTATGCAGTGTGAAATCTTAGGCAAATCAAAGTTACTGAACCTTTCTGAATTAACTTCATTGTTAAGTGGCTTAGCACATTTTAAGCACTCCATAAATAGTAGTTTTTATTGTAATGAAATGTTATGAATTTATTCACAAGATGTGTTAATATTAATATACTGAATTTTTGGTGCTGCTTAGACTTAAAATCTAAATTGATTTATTCTAGAAATTGCCTTTTTAGTATAGATCTCCTCTGTGCTGTTTGCCTTCATTAATTCACCTTTTCTCAGAATGACCTTAATGACTTCCTGGTGGGTGGTAGGTAAACATATGGTCATAGCTGCTTTCTTGGCTCAGGCACTTGTCAGTGAGTATACAATCTAGGAGAATATGTTTCTATAAGTTAACTAATTTCAGTTAAATAGGCTAGGACAGCCTCAGAAAGAATGATTTAAGTAAGTTTTTAATGTGTTTGTTTGTATGCTCCCCCCTTAGAATTCTGAGTAGCTTGAGTCTTAGAAAACTGATGCTGGGACACAATCATGTGCAAAACCTTCCAACACTGGTAGAGCACATCCCCCTCGAGGTGCTGGATCTTCAGCATAATGCACTCACGAGGCTGCCAGACACCCTCTTCTCCAAGGCCTTAAAGTAAGTATCATAGGATTTTTTTCGGAAGAGCAGAATCATTGGCTAAACAGACTGCAGTGACTTATCATTGGAGTGACCTTTGGAACTGTATTTACAGAGCGTTTACCTAATAGTCCAACTATGAGTGGAGACTTATTTGCAATTTTTATGAAACAAAATATGACACTGTTTTATGAGGCAGTAACTCATAGTTGAAATAACTGTTAAATCCTTAAAGAGGTTTCTGTGTTGTAAACAATTTCAGACAGGTTGAGAAGATTCAGGCTTTCATCTCTGAAAATGAATATAGTTATGATATTTAAAGAGAAATTACAACATTCTGCTGTGGCTTCTTTGGGCAATTTTGAGCTTTTGCATTGGAGAGAAAAGGACGTACCACTAAAGTTAATTTGGTTTTTGCTCCTAGCTTTACCAAACCGCCTTTGAATTACAGTCTTTATGTGCAAACCTTTTTGTGTACTTTTTGAAAACTGTATTTACAGATAATGTCCTTCCAGAAGGTGTCATTTGCCTTCTCACTATAAATTAACAAATAGATGACATGTCTTCCTATTTTAGGCCTGTAATCAGGTTTACCTAATGTGTACATCACCTTTAAGTGAAAACTAGTTTTGTGGAGTTTATTTGTTTTTTGTGGGGTTTGTTTTGTTTGTTTTTTGCTTTTAGAGACATGGTTTCACTCTGTCACTCAGGCTGGAGTGCAGTGGTGCAATCATAGCTCACTGCAGCCTTGACCTCCTGGGTCCAAGTGATCCTTCCTCCTCAGCCTACTAAGTAGTTGGGACCACAGGGATGCACCACCACACCTGGCTAATTTTATTTTTTGTAGAGACACAGTTTCACCGTTTTGTTCAGGCTGGTCTCAAACTCCTGGACTCAAGTGATCTGCCTGTCTTGGCCTCTCAAAGTGTTGGGATTAACAGGCATGAGCCACTGCACCCAACCTGACAACTAGTTTTTTTCTTTTTCTTTTCTTTTTTTTTAATACGGAATGGTTCACAAATTTGCCTGTCATCCTTGCTCAGGGTCCATGCTAATCTTCTCTATATCGTTCCAATTTTAGTACATGTGCTGCCAAAGCAAGCACTGAAAACTAGTTTTTATTATATTTTTCTACAACGTGGAGAAAGCAATATTGTCTTCAATTTAGAAATGGAGAAAACAGAGGTGAGCAGAAGTAAATGAATAGGAGACGTAAAAAACTGTTTAGCCCACAGTTGTCTGGCTTGTTCTCTCTTTAGCAGCTTATACATCTCTTAATGTATAATACAGTTGATTGGATAGTCTTCAAAATAAAATCTTTGGAAATTCTAAAACGTATTTAAAGGAAGTTTTCTTTATGTAACATTTAATGGAGTATTGATGCAGTTGTTAATCTACAAATGTTTGTTAGCAATGCATAACGCTGCATTTGGTCCTTATGGTAGTCTGAATGAAATTAGTTTACAACCTTAGAATCTTTAGTGAGTAACTTAGCTGTAGCGAACTGTCAGTGGTATTTATTTAATACAAACTCTGGAAAGAGCTTTGTTGAGACCACAGCACAAGCAGACACACAGTACCTGCCATTAGCTTAAAAGCTAATTCGTTATGTAAAACTTATATTTCAATATAAAAAGTGAATCAGGGATTATGGATCATACAACATGAAGAAGACCTGAGAACACACAAGTTTAGTAATAATAGCTGCCTTTTATTGAGAATGTTCTGTATATACTAAACACTATGTTAGCAAATTTTAAAATTATACCATGTTTTATCTACTAGACTGGCAAAGATTAATGGATTTGTAATATTCAGTGTTGACAAAGGTGTGACAAACTGGCATTCTTAATAGTCTTCTTGTGGAAGTATAGTTTATTTTTTTTTGAAATGCAGTCTAGCTGTGTCGCCAGGCTGGAGTGCGGTGGCACGATCTCAGCTCACTGCAACCTCCGCCTCCTGGGTTCAAGCGATTTCTCCTGCCTCAGCCTCCCAAGTAGCTGGGATTACAGCCATGTGCCGCCACACTCAGCTTTTTTTTTGTATTTTTAGTAGAGATGAGGTTTCACCATGTTGGCCAGGATGTTAACCATCTCCTGACCTCGTGATCCACCCACCTTGGCCTCCCAAAGTGCTGGGATTACAGGCGTGAGCCACCTCGCCCAGCCGGAAGTATAATTTCATATACTCTTTCAAGAGCTCAGTTTGGCAATATATTAAATCTCTAAAAAATGTATATCCTTTGATCCCACAAATTCTGTTTTTAGGAATGTACCCTAAGGAAGTAATTGGTTAAGGATACAAAGATGCTCATTACAGTGTCTATAATAGCATGTGTATAGAAATGGAAACAGCCTATATGTTCTTTATTAGGGGATTATGGAATTGGCTGAATACATAATGATGCTATTAAAACCAGACAAAAAAATTTTTTTTTTCTTCTTTGAGATGGAGTCTCACTCTGTTGCCAGGCTGGAGTGCAGTGGCACGATCTCGGCTCACTGCAACCTCAGCCTCCTGGGTTCAAGCAATTCTCCTGCCTCAGCCTCCCGAGTAGCTGGGACTACAGGAGTGCACCACCACACCCAGCTAATTTTTGTATTTTTTTTTTAGTAGAGACGGGGTTTCACCATGGTGGCCAGGATGGTCTTGATCTCTTGACCTTGTAGTCTGCCCACCTCAGCCTCCCAAAGTGCTGGGATTATAGGCGTGAGCCACTGCGCCTGGCCCAGACAAAAGTTTTTCTAAATGGTGTCTTCACAGTTCAAAAACATGTGAACATGATATTCAGCAACATCCTTTCAGTAGGCAGTTTGAGAGTAAAAGATGAAGTTAGGTTAGAATCAGGCACTCCAGAAGCCTGGGAAAACAACCAGGCTTGTACTTTTTCCTCTCTACTTGGTTTGCATGAGTTGAGTAAAAGGAACTTTGGGTTGGATAGGATCAATTAGAG
The DNA here is from genome assembly GCF_000001405.40 of Homo sapiens. Taxonomy (NCBI): domain Eukaryota; kingdom Metazoa; phylum Chordata; class Mammalia; order Primates; family Hominidae; genus Homo; species Homo sapiens. The sequence goes on along the minus strand of NC_000016.10, from coordinate 71,664,242 downwards.
AAAAACTACGTGGAGATTTTTTTTTTTTTCCCATTTGGAAGCTTAGAATGGCAGCATTCCATACTGAGGTGACATGATGGTTTCTATATAGGAAGGCAGCAAATAAACTTAAAGGAGGTGATGATCTGTGTGTGTTCTGTCAGTCTCAGATACTTGAATGCATCTGCAAATAGTCTGGAGTCTTTACCATCCGCCTGCACTGGAGAGGAGAGTTTGAGTATGCTGCAGCTGCTTTATCTGACCAACAATCTCCTGACGGATCAGTGCATACCTGTCCTGGTAGGGCACCTGCACCTGCGAATCTTGCACCTTGCAAACAATCAGTTACAGACCTTTCCTGCAAGGTAAAATGAATGCAAACTTTGATCATTTCAAATACACAACATTAATTCTATATTTGTCAGAAAAAATATAGCCATCTGACTATGACTCTTTGTTTACGTTCACTGACTTACAGATGCTATGATTTCACTAGTTGAGTGGCAAAATCTCATCTTAATAGTTAGTACCCTGTTAAGTATTGGTAACCAGGAAAATTGGTTAAAATATGTTTAATTTTTAGTTGTGACTTCTTAATTATGGTCTAATAGTCAATCTAGAAAAGTACAGGCTTATGAAACAGATTCTGAAGACAATTTTTTCTTTTCTCTTGTCAGCACTGTTTTGTAAAATACTGTTATCTATTTATTCATAATACAAAAATGGAATGCTTACTATATGTCAAGTATTGTGAACAGTTACAGTCTCTGTCCTCTAGGAATGTATAGTCAAATTGGGAAAATAAACAAGTGGATGGGCAGTTGCAGTGCAGTCTAAGAAAGGCAGGGTGTTTGGCTGGGAGTGGTGGCTCACGCCTGTAATCCCAACACTTTGGGAGGCCAAGGCGGGCGGATCACAAGTTCGTGAGTTCGAGACCAGCCTGGCCCATATGGTGAAACCCCATCTCTACTAAAACTACAAAATATTAGCCGTACGTGGTGGCACATGCCTGTAATCACAGCTACTCGAGAGGCTCAGGCAGGAGAATTGCTTGAACCCAGAAGGCGGAGGTTGCAGTGAGCCAAGATTGCACCACTGCACTCCAGCCTGGGCGACAGAGTGAGACTGTGTCTCAAAAAAATAACTAAGTAAATAAAATAAATAAATAGAAAGGCAGGCTGTTAAAGACGATATGCATACATTGCCGGTCACACTGCACAGAGCCTGGGGATGGGGCTAGGCTCCCTGGAGGAAGAGATGAATAGTAGTTAGCCAGGCTATACCTATAAGAAGACATAAGAAAGATGTTTAATGCTGTGAAAGTTTGAGACAGTGTCAGTGGATAAGTAAATACCTTTCAAAGTACATTTGGTTAAAAAAAAAACAACTTTAGAACTTTTTTTTTAAGAGATGGGATCTCATTACGTTGGCCAGGCTGGTCTCAAACTCCTGGGCTGAAGTGATTCTCCTACCTCAGCCTCTCAAGTACCTGAAACTGCAGACACATGCCACCATGACCAGCTAAAACCTGGAAAATTTAACACCAGAAAAATCTATGCCATGAAGGTAGTCATTAAAAATAATATTTTCAAAAACTAAGAATGTGAGGCAATGACATTTGATATTAATAATTTTGGATGAAATTATATGTATGTAAATTATAAAATTATAATTTTTATGAACATTTACCATTTACAACATGAGATAGAGCTTCAGAAGACATACAGGAGAAACTTGATTGGAGTTCAGGTGATTCTCCTGCCTCAACCTTCCAAGGAGATGGGACTACAGGCATGCACCACCATACCCAACTTATTTATTTATTTATTTATTTGAGATGGAGTCTTGCTCTGTTGGCCAGGCTGGAGTGCTGTGGCGTGGTCTTGGCTCACTGCAACCTCTGCCTCCCAGGTTCAAGTGATTCTCCTGCCTCAGCCTCCCAAGTAGCTGGGATTATAAGCATGTGCCACCACACCTGGCTAATTTTTTGTATTTTTGTAGAGACAGGGTTTCACCATATTGGCCAGACTAGTCTCGAACTCCTGGCCTCGTGATCCGCCCACCTTGGCCCCCCAAAGTACTGGGATTACAGGTGTGAGCCACTGCGCCCGGCCCGCACCCGACTAACCTTTTACTTGTAGAGGCCGGGCGTGGCCGCTCATGCCTGTAATCCCAGCACTTTGGCAGGCCGAGGCGGGCGGATCACGAGGTCAAGAAATCAAGACCATTCTGGCCAACATGGTGAAACCCCGTCTCTACTAAAAATACAAAAATTAGCCAGGTGTGGTGGTGGGCGCCTGTAATCCCAGCCACTTGGGAGGCTGAGGCAGGAGAATCGCTTGAACCCCGGAGGCAGAGGTTGCAGTGAGCCAAGATCGTATCACTGCAACTCCAACCTGGCAACGGAGCAAGACTCCATCTCAAAAAAAACAAAACAAAACAAAACAAACTTGTGTAGGTGGGATCTCGCTGTGTTGTCCAGGCTGGTCTTGAACTCCTGGCCTCAAGTGATCATCTCACCTTAGCCTGCCAAAATGCTGGGATTATAGGTGTGAACCACTGTGCCTGGTCAGCCTCCTTGAAAGAATTAAAACAATGACTTTTTACTTTTACATTTTTTTTTAATGACTTCTAAAATGAATGCAGAATCTTAATTTCAGGGTGTGGTAGCTCTCTTGAAATTTTATCAGATTAACCTAATTGACCTCAAATATGTTCATATAAAGTGAAAATAATAGACCACTGGAAGCTGTTGGATGGTACCAGGCATAATGCTGTAAAACCTAATTTGATGACACTTTTATTGTTGGAGGGGTCAAAAGCAGGTTGATATAAAACTTAAAACATATCAAAGAAAATGAAAATAAGAAGTTAGTAATAAAGACAAGAATTAGGCCTGGCACGGTGGCTCACGCCTGTAATCCCAGCACTTTGGGAAGCTGAGTTGGGTGGATCACGTGAGATCAGGAGTTTAAGACCAGCCTGGGCAACATGGTGAAACCCTGTCTCTACTAAAAATACAAAAATCAGCTGAGTGTGGTGTTGTGTGCCTGCCTGTAATCCCAGCTACTCAGGAGGCCAAGGCATGAGAATCGCTTCAACCTGGGAGGTGGAGGTTCCAGTGAACTGAGATTGCGCCATTGCACTGCAGCCTGGGCAACAGAGCGGGACCCTATCTCAAAAAAAAAAAAAAAAAGACAAAGACAAGAATTAACATCACAAAAAATAGAGTAATCTGAATATATATAATAAAACTGAATGGAATTCAGGAACAACATATTTTTAAAAATGTGTGTTCTGTACTAAATAATAAATCCACTATCAGTTCATTTCCTGAGCAGTGTTGTAATTGTATAGGCACAATAGAAATCTTGTTTGTTTCTTTTGAACTATTTTCAGAATCTAGCACAGTTCTGGGTACTCAGAAACTGATTGAGGAGGCTGCATTTCTATTTACAAGTCAGAAAAATCCAGGCAGGATAAGGGAAAAAAGCACGAGATTTGGACATGGGAACACTTTTAAAATATATTGTTAAATAAAATCATAAATACAATGTATAGGCCGGGCGCAGTGGCTCACGCCTGTAATCCCAGCACTTTGGGAGGCCGAGGTGGGCAGATCACGAGGTCAGGAGATCGAGACCATCCATCTCTACTAAAAATACAAAAAATTAGCCGGGCATGGTGGCGGGTGCCTGTAGTCCCAGCTACTTGGGAGGCTGAGACAGGAGAATGGTGTGAACCCAGGAGGCAGAGGTTGCAGCGAGCCAAGATTGCGCCACTGCACTCCAGCCTGGGCAACAGAGCAAGACTCCATCTCAAAAAAAAAAAAAAAAAAAAAATACAGTGTATATAATATAGTACCTTTTTTTTTTTTTTTTTTTTTTTTTTGAGACAAGGTCTTGTGTCACCCAGGCTGGTGTGCAGTGGTGCAGTAATAACTCACTGCAGCCTCAAACTCCTGGGCTCAAGCGACTGACCTGCCTTAGCCTCTGAAAGTACTGGGATTACAAGTGTGAGCCACCACACCTACCTGGCCTATAATACCATTTTTTAATTTGAAAAGTGTAGTTTCATGCCTTAAGAAAGACGAGAATACTATCTACTAAAATGTTATCAGAGATTATTTAATTTATTTTAATGAAGTAGCATTAAAAGATTTTTTTTCCTGTTTGTCTCTATTTTTCAGTTTTTTTCAGTGAGTATATATTATTTTTATCAGAAAAAATAATTGTAATTTACAAAGCTTAGTTATTTAAAAATATGAAATTTCTAGGAGTAGAAATTATTTATGATATGTTATATGAAAAAGGCAAGATATAAAATTTTTGTAAAACAAATATATGAAACATTTGATAGGAAATTCAGCAAAATGATAAAAGTGATTCTTTCAGATTGCTGGTATTGGTGATGTATTTCTTTATTTTTCACTTTCTCTCCATGTTAACAGCAGTTTATTATTTTTGTAATTTTTAAACCAATAAATCAAAATAAATTAGAACTATTTGTAATAACCTGAAGGTGTTAGTCTCACTTAAGTTATTTTGCTTACCATGTAGAAAGCTTTGCTCAGTCATGGAACAGTGTGAATCACTTGCCTCACAGCACAGTGCTGTGTGTATAATAAGAACTTGATAAATGTTTAGTGGAGATGAGTTAATGTCATGAATGGGTAAGTATAGAAATTTAAAACTGTAAAGAATCTTAGTGATGGGCCGGGTGCGGTGGCTCATGCCTATAATACCAGCACTTTGGGAGGCTGAGGTGGGCAGATCACCTGAGGTTGGGAGTTTGAGACCATCCTGGCCAACATGGAGAAACCCTGTCTCTACTAAAAATACACAATTAGCCGGGCGTGGTGGCGCATGCCTGTAATCCCAGCTACTCGGGAGGCTGAGGCAGGAGAATTGCTTGAATCCAGGAGGCAGAGATTGTGGTGAGCTGAAATCAGGCCATTGCACTCCAGCCTGGGCAACAAGAGTGAAACTCCATCTCAAAAAAAAAAAAAAAAAAAAATCTTTGTGATGATTTAGTACAACCTCATTTTTCATTTTTTACAGCTGAGGGTATTAAAGACTGCTGACATTGACTTACTTAGTATTTTGCCGCTAGTTAGTGGTAAAGCAAGCATCAAGACTAATCCCCCAACTTGAGGCCACTCCTTTTCTAGCCACTTTTTGTACATTAGGTAACAGGAAGATGTTCCTGCCCACAAGATCCAACAGCCCTTGAAACACACTGAGGCAGATCAGGCTTAGTTATAGCAGGAGTAGTTATCTTCTTGAGCCATTGCCTTTCCTGGTATTCCTGGTATCGGTTTCATTTCTCACCAGTCATCTGGCAGTGGACCGTGTCGGCCTTCTGTACTCTGTGGCTGCTGTAGAATAGCACTTCCTTGGCAGCTGCTCAGTCTTGGTGCATTATAGTATTCTGTTGTTTCTTTTTCAGCAAACTAAATAAATTGGAGCAATTGGAGGAACTGAACCTAAGTGGCAACAAGCTTAAAACCATTCCCACAACCATAGCAAACTGTAAAAGGCTGCACACCCTTGTTGCACACTCCAACAACATCAGCATTTTCCCAGAAATACTGCAGTTGCCTCAGATCCAGGTACTTCTGTGTGCTGGAATGATGTCCTTATTGGGGGAAATGGCAGGAGAGTGAATGACATTATTTTCCTTTTATAAAGAAGAAGAAAGGAGTGTGAATGAGATTATTCTTATAAGGAAAAATATTATTGTCTTCTTATGTGCTCCAGTTTGGGACCAGAATTTATGTAATGGATTCCTGGGAAGAAATTAAGTTCCTCTTTGGGGATATAGTAAGAGATTGGACACTTGGGAGTAAAGAACTAAGTCTCTGTGATGTATTTTCTTTTGATTTCTCAATTTTTTCTTAGTTTGTAGACCTAAGTTGCAACGACTTGACAGAAATCCTGATTCCAGAGGCTTTGCCTGCTACATTACAAGACCTTGACCTGACTGGAAATACAAATCTGGTTCTGGAACACAAGACACTGGACATATTTAGGTAGGAAAAAATTTGAAATGGAATCTCTATGTGCTCTTAGCCCACCAGCCATGTGTAGGTCTTCCTTAGTACTGTGGAGATCTTGATTAATTAAAAGAACAGAATGAAGTTAGGCTATAAAGCCCCTAGGTTCTCTTCTTTGATTAAGTTATGAATAGATGTTCTATCCAGTAGTCAACCTGTTTATATTAGGACTACTCCATGGCTACTACCCCCCAACATACTGAATATTTTCACAACAGGCATAGATGTTTTAGGTGGCACAGATTATATAATATCTAAGAGACAATACAAGTTCATCCATTGTACCAAGACTTCATTGTATCAAAATACTTAACATAAATAGATGGTTGGCTAAAACATAGAAATCTTTGTTGTGCTTAGTTTTTTATTGAAACTCCTACCCCTTTGATCCTCCTACCCCTTTCCTTTCTCTCCCCTCCTTCTTTGCCAGTAGTTCAGCATACTACTTTCATCAGTCTCTCTGGAAATGAATCTTAGTCAGTCCATAGATTATTTTATTAAAAGATAATATTATTGGCCGTGTGCGGTGGCTCACGCCTGTAATCCCAGCACTTTGGGAGGCCAAGGTGGGTGGATCACGAGGTCAGGAGATCGAGACCATCCTGGCTAGCATGGTGAAACCCCGTCTCTACTAAAAATACAAAAAATTAGCCGGGCGAGGTGGCGGGCGCCTGTAGTCCCAGCTACTCAGGAGGCTGAGGCAGGAGAATGGCGTGAACCCGGGAGGCGGAGCTTGTAATGAGCAGAGATCACGCCACTGCACTCCAGCCTGGGCGACACAGCGAGACTCCTTCTCAAAAAAGAGAAAAAAAAAAAGATAATATTATTGTTGGCCGGGCGTGGTGGCTCACGCCTGTAATTCCAGCACTTTGAGGGGCCAAGGTGGGTGGATCACCTGAGGTCAGGAGTTTGAGACCAGCCTGGTCAACATGACAAAACTCCATCCCTATTAAAAATACAAAAATTAGCCGGGAGCGGTGGCTCACACCTGTAATCCCAGCACTTTGGGAGGCCGAGGCGGGCGGATCACTTGAGGTCAGGAGTTCGAGACCAGCCTGGCCAACATGGTGAAACCCCGTCTCTACTAAAAATACAGAAATTAGCTGGTTGTTACGGCAGGTGCCTGTAATCCCAGCTACTTGGGAGGTTGAGGCAGGAGAATCGTTTGAACTCAGGAAGCGAAGGTTGCAGTGAGCCGAGATTGCGCCACTGCACTCCAGCCTGGGCAACAGAGGGAGATCGTCTCAAAAAAATAAATAAATAAAATAGAATAAAATAAAGAAATACAAAAATTAGCCGGGCATGGTGGCATACACCTGTAATCTCAGCTGCTTAGGAGGCTGAGGCAGGAGAATTGCTTGAACCGGGAGGCAGCAGTTGCAGTGAGCTGAGGTCACACCACTGCACTCCAGCCTGGGTGACAAGAGGGAGACTCCATCTCAAAAAAAAAAAAAGAATACTATTGTTGGGATAGTTTTTGTAAAATACAGAAGAATATATGGTTTAATCTTCCTTCACCTCCCACAGCCATATCACAACCCTGAAAATTGATCAGAAACCTTTGCCAACCACAGATTCTACAGTTACGTCAACCTTCTGGAGCCATGGACTGGCTGAGATGGCAGGGCAGAGAAATAAGTGAGTATATTGGCCATGGAGACTGAGAAAGAAAAAAGGCAGCCCCTGGCATCTGAGAACTGGCCTGATGCTCATAATAGCTAGGCCATGTTGTTCTGTTGTACACAGACAAATCATAGAACATCAGCGTCAGATAAGATCCCTTTGGGATCATGATAACGTTTTAAGACAAAAACAATACTAATGTGTAGTCAACAGAATACCAAACACCCCCTTTCATGGCTAAGATGGGTAGATGCTACTTTCTTTACCAGTTACAGCTTTATCCTTCTGCTAATTTTCCTTCCCTATAGATAAGTTTTATACCCAGCAATAGAATGGCCTCACTTTCTGATGACACCCAGTCTAGTATGATCCTCTTCCTTAGACCCTCCCCAAAGTGACCAAACCAAAGTCCAAACCCTATACTGGGTTCTTTTCAGCAAGACTTACCTGTATACCCCGGGGTTCCATGGGGTGCACTCTCATTTGCTATAAGGGGTAATAAACTCAACTTTTTCAACCATAGGTGTGCTCTGGTGGTCTTTGACTGATAGGCCTTGACAAAGCTAATCCTTAGTCACTACTAAGAGAAAGTGCTTTATCTTACCAGCCTTTGGCAGCATTGCAAAGCTAATATGTACTGCCCATGAATGCGACTGTTTCCCCTTTCCTTAGGACATTAGCTCTTTCAGATGTTGCTTAATTATCATGTCTAGGGACTTTTCTTACGTGTAGATTACGATTTGCTAGTAGTCTTTGCCACCTTTAATTAATACTTACTTTTTAAAAGAATGCTCCTGGCCAGGCGCGGTGGCTCACACCTGTAATCCCAGGACTTTGGGAGGCCAAGGTGGGCGGATCATGAGGTCAGGAGATCAAGACCATCCTGGCTAACATCTCTACTAAAAATACAAAAAAATTAGCCCAGCGTGGTGGCAGGCACCTGTAGTCCCAGCTTCTCGGGAGGCTGAGGCAGGAGAATGGCGTGAACCTGGGAGGTGGAGCTTGCAGTGAGGCAAGATCATGCCACTGCACTCCAGCCTGGGTGACAGTGCAAGACTCCCTCTCAAAAAAAAAAAAAAAAAGAATGCTCCCTGGAGAATAATATTTTACCAGTAACTTTTCTGTTTTCTGTTTTCATGTTTCTATTATAGGCTGTGTGTCTCAGCACTTGCTATGGATAGCTTTGCAGAGGGGGTGGGAGCTGTGTATGGCATGTTTGATGGAGACCGAAATGAGGAGCTCCCGCGCCTGCTGCAGTGTACGATGGCAGATGTGCTTTTAGAAGAGGTACAGCAGTCAACTAATGACACAGTTTTCATGGCTAACACCTTCTTGGTATCTCACAGGTAAGCAGGTGGGTTGAAAAATCCCTAACTCAGTTCTACTTTTGGAAAATATATTTTTCTAAACCAGAAGGTCAGGGTCTAAATTATGGATACAGGATCAAGGAGAGAACTCACGTTGTTGTCTTCTATGATCATTCTCTATATGAGCATGGAGTGCGGGGACTTCGGCTCTTTCAAAAGCCTGTGGGGGTCATCTGTTTTCTCTGTTGAATCCAAAGGCTGCTGAGGATCTGGGAAGCCCAGAATTTATGTGCAAAATGTTGTGTGTGTATATATATGTGGTTGTACATTTTGAGGAGGAAGGTGGTCAGCTTTCATAAGATTGTCCAAGCAGTCAGTGACCTACAAAACAGTTAACCAAATACTTATCAGATTGATAACGTTTAGAATGCCTCTTTCTGGGGTTTTACCAAACTAATCTTCTAAGTAAAGTATAAGCCACTTAAGGGCAAAAACCATATACAGATGCTCCTCAACTTAGAATAGGGTTACACCCTGATAAGGATGTAAGCCTGACATCATAAGTTGAAAATGTGGTAAGTAGAAACTACATTTAATACACCTAACCTAACGAACATCATGGCTTCACCTAGCCTACGTTAAGTGTGCTCAGAACGCTTACCCCATTAGCTTATAGTTGGGCAAAATCATGTGGTGACACAGGGCACTGTATTGGTTGTTTACCCTTGTGATCAAGTGGCTGGCTGGGAGCTATGGGTCGCTACCTCTGCCCAGCATCATGAGAGAACATCGTACCACATGTCACTAGCCCAGGAAAAGATCAAAATACAAAGTACAGTTTCTACTAAATGCATACAGTATTGCTTTTGCACCATCGTGAAGTCAAAAAATCTTAAGTTGAACCATCATAAGTTGAGGACATCTGTATAACCTAACTGTAATGGAGCATTTGCATGTCAGGTGGACCGATAAAGGATAGGAACAACTGAGAGGTTGTTTGTCAACTTGTATAATCCAGGTTGAAATGGAACAGCTTGGAGCTTGAACTAGTTTTTTTTTTTTTTTTTTTTTTTTCTTTTTTGAGACGGAGTCTTCTTGCTCTGTCCCCCAGGCTGGAGTGCAGTAGTGCAATCTCGGCTCACTGCAAGCTCCGTCTCCCGGGTTCACGCCATTCTCCTGCCTCAGCCTCCCGAGTAGCTGGGACTACAGGTGCCCGCCACCTCACCCGGCTAATTTTTTGTATTTTTAGTAGAGATGGGTTTTCACCGTGTTAGCCAGGATGGTCTCGATCTCCTGACCTCGTGATCTGCCCACCTCGGCCTCCCAAAGTGCTGGGATTACAGGCGTGAGCCACTGCACCAGGCTAATTTTTTGTATTTTTAGTAGGGATGGGGTTTCACCGTGTTAGCCAGGATGGGCTTGAATTAGTTTTATCTGTCATAACACAAAGCAAAGTGTTAGGAAGAAGTCAGTTTTTCAGTAGTATAATTGAGCTAGAGACTTTGCAAAAATAAAGGGTTTAGGAAAGGGAACTCCATTTATGAAGCAACTCAAGCCAGGAATTGTAGCAAGTATTTTCCATGCTATATATTTTATCAGAGAAATTTCCTGGAGAAATGGCTTGCTGAGTGTCTGTAGCCAGAAAATGGCAGAGCTGAGATTTGAAACTAGGTCTTTCTGCTAGTGTCTGTTCCTCGTTAACATTGTTTCCAAGTACAGACGCGTGGATGCCCTGCATATGGGGGAAATGCAAGAATCATGGTCCTTCCCTCGAGGAACTTAGAACCTAAGTGAGTGGTTCTCAAAGTGTTGTTCTAGGAACAGCAGCCTCTCAGCCTCACCAGAAATTGCTTAAAGTATAGTTTATTGGGCCAGCCTCTTACCCACTGATTCAGAAACTCTGGGCCTAGGGCCCAGCAGTCCCTGTTCTGACAAGCCCTCAGGGGATTCTGATGTGTTAAAGTTTGAGAGCCCCTGAATTAGGAAGTCTTTGATCAGACACAAAAGCTATGGAGAAAGATGCAAAAGGGAGATTATCTCCCTTTTGTAAAACCTTTTCCTCAGCGAGAGTGGAAGGCAGAACTGTCTCCACCACCATCAGCCACAGCAAGTCTGCATTTAGGTGGATAAGGGTAAGGCTGGTTCACGATCACATGGTAAAAAAAAAAAAAAAAAAAAAGAAGGGATGTACGTGCAGGACCACCACTTTCTTCTAAAACTAGCCACCACGTCTTCTTTTCCTTTTCTTTCTGAACAGGAAATTAGGAATGGCTGGCCAGAAGTTGGGCTCCTCCGCTCTCCTGTGCTACATCCGCCCTGACACTGCCGATCCAGCAAGTAGCTTTAGCTTGACTGTAGCCAATGTTGGCACGTGCCAAGCAGTCCTGTGCCGAGGTGGGAAGCCAGTGCCCCTCTCTAAAGTCTTCAGCCTGGAGCAGGACCCAGAGGAGGCTCAAAGGGTGAAGGACCAAAAAGCCATCATCACAGAGGTGTGTTCCGCTCCCCGCCAGTCACTTCTGCTCCCCAAATCAGTGGAGGCTGCTTTGTGTAGAGGTGATGAAGGCCCATTTTCTTCCTATCATGCCCTGTAAATTGTATCCAATCCAGATAAAAGTTCAATGCAGATGGTTTCAGCAACAGTACTGGAGGAAAATCTGATCAGTTAGTGACTAGCACAAAGAAAAAGCAAAGTGAATTAGAAATACAAAATCCTAATTTGTGATCCTGTATATTGATAGCTGGGTTGTAAGATGGATGTTAAATATCTGCCTTAGCTAATTTCCAGCTCATCTGGTTTGTTATTCCAAATAGAAGAAAGAGTTCTCTAGTTTGACATCCCCATTCTGAAATGCAAAGTTTCAAAATGTTTTGTGTTTATACTCTATGTGGTGTAGTATGCTCTGGTGTTCTCTTTTGATAATGAAACATCAGTATTTCTACTGTTTTATAGCTTTTCTCCTTTTTTAGAAATTAACATTTTTGCTTTCAGAAGAACTTTAGCAATTACTTGTGAACATTGTTTATCACAAAGTGGAATTCCGTGATGAATTCCGTTCAGATCTTTTGAGAACTGTAAATTGGATTGTTTGTTTCTGTATTGTTGAGTTTTAAGAGTCTTTGTATATTTTGGAAACAAGTTCTTTATCAGATACCTGTTTTGCAAATATTTTCTCCCAGTCTGGGGCTTGTCTTTCCATTCTTTTAACAGTGTTTTTTTGCAGAGCTTTTAGTTTTAATGAAGGCCCACCTGTCAGTTTTTATCTCATGGATCGTGCTTTTGGTATTGTATCTAAAACTCATCGCCAAACCCAAGGTCACCTAGATTTTCTTCTGTGTTATCTTCTAGAAGTTTAGTTTTGTGTTTTACATTTTGGTCCATGGTCTGTTTTGAGTTAATATTTGTGAAAAGTGTAAGCTCTGTATCTATATTCATGTTTTGCATGTAGGTGTCCTCTTGTTCCAGGACCATTTGTTGAAAAGACTATCCTTTGTATGGTCTTTGCTCTTTGATTTTCAGAGATCAGTTGACTGTATTTGTGTGGGTCCATTTCTGGGCTGTTTTGTCAGAATTCTATATTAGAGTTCATCTAAGGAAACAAAATCAAAAACCATCATTTTTATGTGATTGATACTATTAGAATTCTGGAAGTATGAGGCATTAGTTTTGGGAAGCTCTTTCAGTCAAAACAAATGAAAGATAAAAGATAGTGTTTTAAATTTTTAGTTATTTTATTTTTATTTTTTTTAGAGACAAGGTCTTGCTGTGTTATCCAGTTTGGACTTGAACTCCTGGATTAAGTGATCCTCCTGCTTTAGCCTCCTGAGTAGCTGGGACTATAGGCACATGCCACTGCGCCTGGCTTCAGATAACTTTTTGTTTGACTAGTCTTTTTATAGAATTTGGATAATGTTTAGATTTTTCTTTTCTTTTTTTTTTTTTGAGGCAGAATTTCGTTCTTATTGCCTAGGCTGGAGTGCAATGGCGTGATCTTGGCTCACCACAATCTCCACCTCCCAGGTTCAAGCGATTCTCCTGCCTCAGCCTCCCGAGTAGCTGGGACTATAGGCATGCGCCACTATACCTGGCTAATTTTGTGTTTTTAGTAGAGATGGGGTTTTTCCATGTTGGTCAGGCTGGTATCCAACTCCCATCTCAGGTGATCCGTCCACCTCGGCCTCCCAAAGTGCTAGGATTACAGGCGTGAGCCACCGTCCCTGGCCAATGTTTAGATTTTTCTTAGGGGATTGTAGACAAGTAGGAAGTATTTTTATAAATGTTATTTTAGCCACAAGCATTTATTGTTTGTCCATTATTTGCCAAACACCATACCTTTATTATTTTCCTTAATCTTAACAGTAACTCCCATGAATTGTTGGGCCCTAGCCCCAGAGTTTCTAATTCAGTGGGTAGTTGTTAAACTCCCATTTTCATTTTACAGATGAAGAAAGTACAGTTTAGAGTTTATGACAAATTCTGGCGAATAAGCTCAGGTCTTCTCCCAGAGGGTGATTGCAACTGTGATATTAATTTATTGATGACTTTAGAGTTTTGTTTTGTATTTTTTTCGTTTCTTGAAATCAGTACAACAAAGTGTCTGGCTTGTGAGCATTCCCAACCTGCAAGCAGGGTTACTCTGTTTCCTCTAAGTTTTGAATTACAGGGATTTTGATTTGATCGCTATTTATTCTTGATACAGTCCCCAGAGCATAGGTAAATTATGCTGCACATCTCAGACTCCCCTTTTTTAGGCTGAATAACCTTAGAGATTATTTGATGCCTTAACTGCCAAGATTGTCTTTGCCATTGGTATCTTTTCAGTCCCAGCTGACATCCCTTTAAGTGAGAAATCACTTTTAGTGACCTTTCTGTTTCATCCTCTCTGAGAGTACTAGTGATAGAGAATTAATGATAGTTCTGCTTACTGTTTTTCTGTCATGTTTCTCTATTTATAGACATACTGAGGCCTGTTCTTCATGTTAAAGCAAACATCTTTTGGGATGGTGGTGCCTTTTAGTCACTTATTTTTACTTGGCTCTATAGTAACCATATAATATTTTGTCTTTTAGGACTTCTCTACATTTATTTGTGTGCATCCATTTAAAATTATACTAATCCATAGGAAAAATCATATATAAATTGTTTTATTATAGTTCCCTAAGCACTGTGATCTAGAAAGATAAGTTGGCTCTCATCGTTGCTTGTTTCTCAGAATTTGTGTCCTGCTCTTCTGTAGGACAACAAAGTGAATGGGGTAACCTGCTGTACCCGGATGCTGGGCTGTACATACCTCTACCCTTGGATCCTCCCCAAGCCCCACATATCTTCCACTCCGCTGACCATTCAAGATGAGTTGCTGATTCTGGGAAACAAAGCATTGTGGGAACACTTGTCCTACACAGAAGCTGTCAATGCTGTACGTCACGTACAAGACCCATTAGCAGCTGCTAAGAAGCTGTGCACATTAGCGCAGAGCTATGGCTGTCAGGACAATGTAGGGGCGATGGTAGTTTATTTGAATATTGGTGAGGAAGGCTGCACTTGTGAAATGAATGGGCTCACCCTCCCAGGTCCTGTGGGATTTGCTTCAACCACCACTATCAAGGATGCCCCTAAGCCAGCCACTCCATCCTCTAGCAGTGGGATTGCCTCTGAGTTCAGCAGTGAGATGTCCACCTCAGAGGTGAGCAGTGAAGTGGGGTCCACTGCTTCTGATGAGCATAATGCTGGGGGCCTGGACACTGCCTTGCTTCCGAGGCCAGAGCGGCGCTGCAGCCTCCACCCAACACCCACCTCTGGGCTGTTTCAGCGCCAGCCTTCTTCTGCTACCTTCTCCAGTAACCAGTCTGACAACGGCCTGGACAGTGATGATGACCAGCCCGTTGAGGGGGTCATAACCAATGGCAGCAAGGTAGAGGTGGAAGTAGACATCCACTGCTGCAGGGGGAGGGATCTGGAGAACTCACCCCCTCTCATAGAGAGTTCTCCTACCCTGTGTTCTGAGGAACATGCTAGAGGGTCGTGTTTTGGGATCCGAAGACAGAACAGTGTGAATAGTGGCATGCTCCTGCCAATGAGCAAGGACAGGATGGAGTTACAGAAGTCTCCCTCCACCTCCTGCCTCTATGGGAAGAAACTCTCCAATGGCTCTATTGTGCCCCTAGAGGACAGCCTGAACCTCATTGAAGTGGCCACAGAAGTGCCCAAGAGGAAAACTGGCTATTTTGCTGCCCCCACTCAGATGGAACCAGAGGACCAGTTTGTTGTGCCTCATGACCTGGAAGAAGAAGTGAAGGAACAAATGAAACAGCACCAGGACAGCCGGCTCGAGCCTGAGCCCCATGAAGAGGATCGGACCGAGCCCCCGGAGGAGTTCGACACAGCACTATGACTGCCCCACTGGGCACAGTGTGGGAGGAGGCTGTGCAGGGTTGGGGTAGGGACTTGCTAGAGGCATTCTGCCTCTACATTTCTTTTTGTTTGTTCGTTTTTTTTTTGTTTGTTTGTTTTGAGACGGAGTCTTGCTCAGTCGCTCAGGCTGGAGTGCAATGGTGGGGTCTCGGGTCACTGCAGCCTCTGTCCCTGGGTTCAAGCCATTCTCCTGTCTCAGCCTCCCGAGTAGCTGGGATTACAGGCACCTGCCATTATGCCCGGCTAAGTTTTATTTTTTTTTTTTAGAGACGGGGTTTCACCATGTTGGCCAGGCTGGTGTTGAACTCTTGACCTCAGGTGATCCACCCTCCTCTGCCTCCCAAAGTGCTGTGATTACAGGCCTCAGCCACCATGCCCAGCCCTGCGTCTACATTTCTAAACCATAGCTGTGTGGGGTTGAACTCGGAGCCAAAAAGTGTGAGAGCCATCAGGGGCTGGCTCTGGATAAACTGGTAGCCACTATCAGTGTTAAGTTTCACATTTAACCTGCATTGGAATTCCCAGGGGTACTGGGAAGAAAGCAGCTGTTCTGTATCAGTCCTACCACCTGCCATTAACCCTTTCTCTCCTAGGATCATTTTGAGAATTTGCCTGCCTGGGCAGGAAAGGGACTATTTCTGTGGAGGAAAAAAGTGAAGATTGATTCTCTTTACTAGTTGCTGCTGATGGATCTCTGTGACAGAGAAATCACCTTATCTCAGACTAATGGGGTGTGATGTGACTAGTCACATGGCTTTTCATTCTTCTCTACGAGAATACAGCCTATCAAAATGATGTCTGTTGGAAATGTAGAACCAATCAAACAGATAATTTATGTATGTAATGTAATGAGAGCACTTTTCATTGACTGTGAACTTTTTATTTTTGAATCTGCACTCGAGCCAATCTTCTTAGAGGCAGCCCGGCACCTTCATCCATAGGCAGAGAGAGAACTGGGTGTTGGAGACTTATTCGAGGGTATAGGAAGGGCCCTGTGAAGTTGATTTAACTTTTGGATGTCAGACTGTGAAAGCTCCTGAGAAACTTGGGGTAATAGGATCTTCTTTTGGGGATGAAAATGGGGAAGGCGTGAGGACCTAGACTACTTCTCCCTAGATCAGAAAAAGAGAATTACCCCTTGACAAATATGATACCTGCTAGGTATTTCCCAGGGAAATTTAGGGATTGGCGTCTTTCCCTAGCATGTGGAGGAATTGGCAGACAGCTTCCTAAGGGCGGGGAGCGGGGGCCCAAGGCTGACACTGCTTGCATCCACGTGACCTTAAGTTATGGCAGATGACTCTGAAACGGACTGAGGCCAATGAGAACAGATGGATGGAGCACTCAGGTTAGACTTGTTCCTTCTCCTATGCTGGAGGAGAGGGATGGTTCTCTAGAATGTTGGAGGTGAGTTGAGAGCTCGCCTCTTGAATGTTGAACAGTGTACTCTTCTGAAAACTGCATATTCACTTTATGTGGTTTCAGAATACTGGGCTCAATACTAACATAAGAAAGACACTTCATTGAGAAATTCTTAAGCTTACAGAAAACCTATACTCTTTGCACATTCCACATAACCCTAGCAAAATGCAGTTTCTTCATACTTCTGTCACTTTTTCCATTGGAAGATTTGCTTAGGAAAATTAATTCCTATTTATTCCCACAAAATGTTGGCATTGCTTGATTTTACCCAATGGGGAATGTGCTTTGAATTTTTGGAACACTTTTACAATTAAAAATAAAGTAGGGCCATTTTTAATTTGTTTCATCAGAAACTATGTTAAAGAGAGGGTTAAATATAAATATATTTTCGTGTGTATTTTTGGGAAGATTTTTGTTCAAAGCAATAGTCAAAATCAGATGACCTGTCCATAATAATTATGTGTCTTCATCTTCTCAGAGGCCCCATGCTCATATGCACGTGTCATTGGGATACACTCTTGGGGGATTTGGTACACTCTAATGGATGTCTAATGTTCAACCCCTCGAGAATCTGAACTTGAGTCCCCAGATTGTCAAACTACTGGTCAGCTATTGAGAATTTTAGAACTCAGGTCTTTGATTTGAAGTAGGGAACATAGTGGCTCACACAGAGTTTAGGTGCTGTTAGAAAGATGGGAACAAGAGTGTTTTGCCACCTTATTTTTATATGGGAAATTTTTTTTAATGAAGAAAAAATGAAAATGAAATAACAGGATGATAGTGATGAGTGATGTAAAACATCTTACTTAGATGGCAGAACCTTCGGGTTGTAGAATAGTGATGTCTAAAAATTAAAGTTATTTTGGGAATACACCACTTTAATAGTATAGTCTTATAAAAATTATTCATTATGGTGAACCCTTCTTGTCTGCTATTCGTTTCCCAACCTACTTATTGGAACCACCTCAAAACCCAGTTCTGAAATGACCTTACCAAAAGTAAATGTATTTATTTTTTAGTCAGCAGAACTCTGTAATTCCAAATGTTGTTCTGTGTGGTAGAATTTTTTTTCAGGAACCATTAGGTTGTATTGAAAATCTTTGTTATAGGCGATACCAAAACTGATTATTCTTTTTTGCAGTCTGCTTTAATTCATGTCCTTCTGCAGTTGCTCTGTATTAAAACAGGGTAAAAAGGCCATAGCCCATTATGAAAAATATAATACAAAACTCTTTGACCTATGAGGTAACTTACAGACATTGTGTTTTCTAAACAGGCTGTCAGTGAAAGCCCGTATCTGTCTCCAGGTGAATGTAATTTACTTCCGAGTACTTTACCCAGAGGATGTGTTCCCCAGGTGGGCAGAGTACAGTTGATCTCTAGCACAGACAGAGATTCTGGCCTCTGCATATTCTCAGGTCTCTGTGTGTACCTCCCATTGAGTAGAGAAGCTTAAGATAATTTCTGAGAGAAGAACACTGCTGATTGTGGGAGCAGTTTAGGAGTCCATGGAAGAAAGAAAAATACATGTGTCTTGGCAGCCATGGTGTATTTTTGTCCAAATGGATTGGAAGGATATTTGAATATTTGAATGTTGGTATGACATAAAGCTGCAGTGCACTATAGAGTCAAGTCATTGAATTACCACTCCTGATACAGGGCTTTATTGTACTACTGTGAAGTGTATGTGTGCAATACATTGGTGAGTTCATTTACTGGTGTACGGAAGAGCCAGCAGGAGCAGCGTGGTCATTGCTGGGTGCTATTACAGTTGCTTGTAGTGAGTGCTGTTTTCCAGGAGATGGAGCCAGTTGGGTGTGGCAGATCTACTGAATATCAAATGATGCTCTTCTTCCCATGTAGACCTTCAGCAAAAGCCGGTACTTGGAAGCCACAGGCTCACCTTCTCTATCTATCCAATAATTATTAATGAAGAGACCTCCATAAGGGAGCAGCTGGCTGTTATCGATAAATGTACCAATTATTAAATAATTAGTCTCCAAGCCATTCAGTGATGTCTTCAGCATCACTATAGGACTGTCTAGTGTCACTTTTTACTTCCTTCTGGGTGGAGGCTTTCCGACTCCCAATCATGAAGGCAAGTTAATCTTTCCAGTTAGTGACTTTTGCCCCATAGTTGGGGTAAGCACTTCCTAGATTGAGAAAAAGCAGCTACAGTCAATCCTGCTCTGTTTGCCTCATTTGGTGATCAGTCAGTCACACATAAGTTCCTTGTATTCTAAATTTCATGCACTTCTCCCAGATGCTATAGGGTTTTCTCTCACTGTTGCCAGTGGATGTCATCCAGACAGTGGGCTCATATCTTACGGTTTTGTGCAATCATTGTCGTATTGTAGTCTTAAGACTCATTATAGTGTATTTTTGATATTTTTGAAATGTGTTAAATTTTTTAATTCAATAATATGAGCCAGAGCATGTTGCAGCAAATCTATTGTTTGTAAAAATAACAATAACAATAATAAATAAAATAAAGTGGAATCTTTTTCATGGCTTTGTTTTAAAATGGAGTGCTTGTTATTTCATAAGTATTTTAGCATGAAGCTATAATTTTCTCTCCTAACTTGTTTGTAGAATTGGGTTCTTAACCAAAAGCACCTGCAGGATTTTCCTGGGGAAGATAAGTGAGAACAAACACATGAAACCACATTCCCTGACACTGCAAAGCTATGAGTTAAGGCAAGAATAAATATTTTTGATCTGCTTTTAAGCTGAAATGGCAATACAGATTTTTACTTTATGAAACACTATATTTTGCCTTGGTTTATATGCTTACAGAAATCACAACGCCAGGAAAAAGGAAAAAATCAGGAAACACCGTCCTTATTGACATGCAAATTAGTTGACTAGCAGAAACTCAACTGTAAACAATCCACAGTTCTGTCTAAATGACAGCTGACGACACCATGGAAAAGCCGGTCACATTTTTCTTGACAGCTTTGGTGTAAGAAGGAACTTCAGAGTCTTGGCTCATGAGCTCCAGTTAAGCCTCTAAATTGTCGCTGGCCTACCCCCACTCCTGTGGGTGTCTCCCATAATCTCTGGGCTTTCAAGCAATATTAGCTACCTCTCATTGATTGATTGATTGATTGAGACAGGGTCTTGCTCTGTTGCCCAGGCTGGAGTGCAGTGGTGTGATTTTGGCTCATTGCAACCTCTACCTCCCATGCTAGCATGATCCTCCCACCTTAGCCTCCTGAGTAGCCAGGGCTACAGGCAGGCATCATCACACCCAGCTAATTTTTGTATTTTTTGTAGAGACATGGTTTTGCCATGTTGCCCAGGCTGGTCTCGAACCCCTGGGCTCAAGGGATCTGCCTGCCTTGGCTTCTCAAGGTGCTGGGATTACAGGCATGAGCCACTGCACACTGCCTGCTACCTCTCATTTTAAATAAAGGTCAAGATAAAGTCATTTTGGAAGTTTCCTCTTCATCTACCAGAAGGAACATTTATTTATTTATTTAAGATGATATCTTGCTCTGTCACCCAGGCTGGAAGTGCAGTGGTGTGATCTTGGCTCAGTGCAACCTCTGCCTCCTGGCTTCAAGCTATTCTGCTGCCTCAGCCTCCCAAGTAGCTGGGACTAGCGCTGCCACACCTAGCAAATTTTTTGTATTTTTAGTGCAGACAGGGTTTCACTGTTACCCAGGTGGGTCTTGAACTCCTGAGCTCAGGCAGTCCACCCGCCTCGGCCTCCCAAAGTGCTGAGGTGGCATGAGCCACCGCGCCCGGCCATTTATTTATTTATTTTTTTGAGACGGAATCTCGCTCTGTCGTCCAGGCTGGAGTGCAATGGTGCGATCCCAGCTCACTGCAACCCCTGCCTCGCAGGTTCAAGCGATTCTCCTGCCTCAGCCTCCCAAGTAGGTGGGATTATAGGCATGCGCCACCATGCCTGGCTAATTTTTGTATTTTTAGTAGAGACGGGGTTTCACCATGTTGGCCAGGCTGGTCTCAAAACTCCTGACCTCAGGTGATCCACCTGCCTCGGCCTCCCAAAGTGCTGGGATTACAGGCATGAGCCACCACACCTGGCCAGAAATGGTTCAACAACCATTTATTGAGCACCTTCAACATGCTTTTATACCTCAGTTCCACGAGACACACACCTCCCTAGGCCAGCATGGCAGAAATGAATCAATGTCATGCTATATAAATTCCCCGGTACACCAAAGGCCACAAGAGTATGTTAGTATGTTAGAACACATTCCAGTGTGTGATTCAGTGGGGCTGAGTTTTGCCTCTGCTCCTTAAAAGTTTTGTGACTTCAGGCAGTTACTTAACCTCTCTAAGGCTGTTTTTCTCATTAAATGTTAATACTAATATCTTTTATCAAAGGTCTTCTTTATCACAGTACTGTACATACCTGGCACACAGTGGGCATTAACTCTTTCATAAACCACCTAACCTTGAAGCTTGTCTCCTTATCGGTAAAGTGTGAACAATACACGTTGGCCTGTCTGACTGACAAGTGGTAGTAAGAGAAGACTTGCTAAAGCATCGTGAATGTTATAAAGCCGTAAGATGTGGGAGTGTTGTTACAGTGATGGCTCCATTCCCTTGAGAGGAGCTGCCTCTCCGGAGCAGTACTGGCGCTGGGCCTGGGCACAAGGTTGGGGTCAGATAGGCCAAAGTCTCCATTTTATCAACCAAAGGACCCAGACGTGGGCAAGGATCTAATAAGGACCTATTTCGGGGAATACATGCTAGGTGAGAATAGTGGCTGGGGTTGGTGGTATTTCTCTGGAGGGTAGGTGGAGAGTGGGTCGCTTGATTCTGGCTGCAGTTATACTTCTCATCTACCACTGAGTGAAAATTGTGTGGGACTCTAGCCACTGCCTTGGGCTAAGGGTGATGGAGTGGAGACACTTTTCTGAGGCACCACAACTTTTTTTTTTTTTTTGAGACGGAGTCTCACTCTGTCACCCAGGCTGGAGTGCAGTGGCGCGATCTCAGCCCATTGCAACCTCTGCCTCCCCGGTTCAAGCAGTTCTCTGCCTCAGCCTCCCACGCAGCTGGGATTACAGGTGCCTGCCACCAGGCCGGCTAATTTTTTTTGTATTTTTTGTAGAGACAGGGTTTCACCATTTTGGCCAGGCTGGTCTTGAACTCTTGACCTGGTGATCCACCTGCCTTGGCCTCCCAAAGTGCTGGGATTACATGTGTGAGCCACCGTGCCCGGCCAAGACACCACAACTTTTAACCTAGCGATGTAGATCTCCAGTTGATTATTTTCCAAGCTTTATTTTTATAAAAGTATAATCTAGATCTTTTCCGCTTAGGTAGGAGGCTTAGCTTCGATCCTTTGTCCTGAACAGGTTCCATAAGAATTCACTACTAAAAAGCAAGAGGACAATTAGCAAAAAGACCATAACGAGAATGTATATTTCTAGTTGCATCTGATTTGAACTAATATATTTGGGGCAAGCTGTAAAGTATAAGAATAGGTATAAAACACGTAAGATTAAAATTACTAAAAGAACTTTATTTTTAAGATTCAGTGTTAGTGATCTGTTACATTATGAGAACAGTCCAGGGTAATGAGATTACTATCTACCTTTGAAGACCTACTCTATGGAGCACTGTCAGGGAATGCAGAAATGAAAAAGCCTCCAGTATGCTTCAGGGTCTAATAAAATCTACTGTCCTATCTTTTTTGTTGTAGTTGTTGTTTTTGAGACAGAGCCTCGCTCTGTTACCCAGGCTGGAGTGCAGTGACGTGGAGTGGAGTTTGCTCACTGCAACCTCTGCCTCCCAGGTTCAAGTGATTCTTGTGGTTTAGCCTCCTGAGTAACTGGGATTACAGGCGTTCACCACCAAGCCCAGATGATTTTTTGTATTTTTTTGAGACGGAGTCTCGCTCTTGTTGCCCAGGCTGGAGTGCAATGGTCTTGGCTCACTGCAACCTCTGCCTCCCGGGTTTAAGAGATTCTCCTGCCTCAGCCTCCAGAGTAGCTGGAATTACAGGTGCCTGCCACCACGCCCAGCTAATTTTTGTATTTTTAGTAGAGATGGGGTTTCACCATGTTTGCCAGACTGGTTTCAAACACCTGACCTCAGGTGATCTGCCTGCCTTGGCCTCCTAAAGTGCTGGGATTACAGGCGTGAGCCACCATGCCCGGCGATTTTTTGTATTTTTAGTAGAGACAGGGTTTCGCTATGTGAGCCAGGCTGGACTCAATCTGCTGACCTCAAGCGATCCGCCCACCTCAGCCTCCCAAAGTGCTGGGATTACAGGCATGAGCCACCATGCCCGTCCTCAATTCTTTAACTTTGCCTCAGTCCAAAGAGAGCATTTATAAAGTCAAGTGTGTGAAAACCATAGTTGTCTAATGCGGAGTTTTAAAAGACCTGTCTTTTTGAGAGAAACAATGTGCGTTCACATTTAGGTTCCGGAAGATCTCAAAGAGTTCCAGACCACAGATATTCCGGTGCATCACTGTAACTTCCGGGCTGTTCTCGGCTGCCTTTGTAGCGCTTCTGTTCTCGGTAGCTACGCAGGGCCAGCACCACGCTGGCGCCGTACATGATCACGAGAAGACAAGCAAAGGTGGCTGCTGCTCCGTCGGTGCCTGCCAGCTGGCAGTCCATCCAGGTGAGACCCTTGCGGGCATAGAGCCTCTCTCTTGTTTTGCAAGTGTCGGTGCTATTGATCTGCAGAGCCACGTGGAGGTAAACACCAATGCCTGTGCAGTAGCCCACTGCCGCTAGGAGGCTGAAGGCGGCCTCCGTGAGGAGCCACTTCCCTGACAACATTGTTCGACTCTTGGCTCCTTGGAGTAAAACACCCATGGTGAGGACCCCCAGACCCAGAGAAACAGCCACGCCACCGTATATCAGGGGCGAGCGGAGGATCGTGTACTGCTGGTCCAGCTGCCGAACCTGCTCTAGCTCAGTGCCCTCGAACGGTGAGTAGTAGTTGTTCCCAAAGCCACCGCCGCTGGAAAAGCTGGCACTGAATCCGGCAAGGACAAAGTAGGAGGCCACGATGCATATGAGAACCATCCCATTCAAGACCACCTCCACTATCTGCACCACACCTAGGAGAAGAGAGATTCGGGCTTTAACACTGACATTACTCACCCAGGCCAAGCCAGAGACATACCACAGGCCACCTGATTTTAAGGACGTGGTTGATTCAATGTCAACTTTTTTTTTTTTTTTTGAGACGGTGTCACTCTGTCATCCAGGCTGGAGTGCAATGGTGTGATTGGCTCACTGCAACCTCCACCTCCTGGCTTCAAGCGATTCTCCTGCCTCAGCCTCCTGAGTAGCTGGAACTACAGGCACGCACCACCCTGCCTGGCTAATTTTTGTATTTTTAGTAGAGACGGGGTTTCACCATGTTGGCCAGGCTGGTCTCAAACTCCTGACCTCAAGTGATCCACCTGCCTTGGCCTCC
This sequence comes from Homo sapiens, assembly GCF_000001405.40. Lineage (NCBI taxonomy): Eukaryota > Metazoa > Chordata > Mammalia > Primates > Hominidae > Homo > Homo sapiens. Next base: position 71,640,027 of record NC_000016.10, on the reverse strand, counting down.
CAAAGTCCTGAGATTACAGGCGTAAGCCACCTCACCCAGCCTCAACATCAGTATATTTAATTTGCTTTTTGTTTTTGTTTTGTTTTCAATCTATGTTTGAAAAATCAAATTACCACTCTGAAAACAAAGACGTGGACATAAATATTCATTGTAGCTTTATTTATAATAGCCAAATATTGGAAACAACCCCAGTGTCCTTCAGTGGGTGACTCTGGTTACACAAACGGGTACACCCATACCATGGACTACCCTACTCAGCGATAAAAAGGGATGAACTCCTAGGCTGGGTGCAGTGGCTCACGCCTGTAATCTCAGCACTTTGGGAGGCTGAGGCGGGCAGATCACTTGAGGTCAGGAGTTGGAGACCAGCCTGACCAACATGGTGAAACCCCATCTCTACTAAAAATACAAAAATTAGCCGGGTGTGGCAGCACGTGCCTGTAGTTCCAGCTACTCTGGAGGCTGAGGCAGGAGAATTGCTTGAACCCAGGAGGCAGAGGTTTCAGTGAGCCGAGATCATGCCACTGCACTCCAGTCTGGGTGACAAAGCGAGACTCCATCTCAAAAAAAAAAAAAAAAAAGGAATGAAATCCTGATACATGCAATGACTTGAATGAATCTCAAGGGAATTATGATGAGTGAAAAAGAACCAGTCTTGGCTGGGCGCAATGGCTCATGCCTGTAATCCCAGCACTTTGGGAGGCCGAGGCGGGCAGATCACCTGAGGTCAGGAGTTCATGACCAGCCTGGACAACGTGGTGAAACCCCAGCTCTACTAAAAATACAAAATTAGCCAGGTGTGGTGGCAGGCGCCTGTAATCCCACCCACTTGGAAGGCTGAGGCATGAGAATTACTTGAACCCGGAAGGCAGAGGTTGCAATGAGCCGAGATTGCGCCATTGTATTCTAGCCTGGGCGACAAGAGTGAAACTCTGTCTCAAAAAAAAAAAAAAAAAAAAAAAAAAAAGAACCAGTCTGAAAAAGTTACATACCGTGTGATTTCATGTATGTAACAGTCTCAAAAGGACAAAATTATAGAGAAGCCCAGATTGGTGATCAACAGGGGACAGGAATGAGTAGGGATGGGGGAGGAAGGAAGAAGATGGATGTGACTATGAAGACTTAGCACAGGGATGTCCAGGGTGAGGGAACAGTTCTGGATTGCATCATGGTGCTGCTCACACAAATCTACACATGAGATAAAACGGCTTAGAACTACAAACACATACATATGTGTGCAGGTAAAAGGGGGAAACCTAAATGAGCTCTGTAGATTGTGACTTTCCTGGTCTTGATATTGTACTAGTTATGCAGTATATTATCATTGGAGAAAACTGGGTTAAGGATACACAGGAGTACTCTGCACTGTTTTTGTGACTTCTTGCAAATCTATATTTCAAAACGAAAAGTTTCTAAAAAATTGAAATGACATAAGATATAAACTGAGAAATTTCACTCATACCGTCTCTTCAATGTTGCCAACCGCTTTCATTGGTTTCAATATAATTGTCCAGTGTTCCTTTATGCAAATAAAAAGCACATTTAAATCTGCATTTCATTCCCTTCCCTGCATTTTTCCACAAAAGTAAGTGTACCATGTACACTGTTCTGCATCTTGATTTTTTCATTTACTGTATCTTCCAGATGTTTTCAGATCAGTTCCTACAAGAGGAGCCACATTTTGTTAAGTGGCCTTCGACTTCATTGTATGGATGGATTTGTCTATTCAACCAGGACCTTACTGATAGATATTTGGACTGAAAGGAACCCACAAATGGCACGAGGCAGAGGAAGCCAACAGGCCAACAGACTGAAGATCTTCTTGTCCGAGGTCAGCTTTTATTTGTTACTGACAGAGGCCCCAAATCCTTCTTAGGTGTCCTTCTGGGAGAGGGTCTCCTGCCATTCCCGTGGTGTTCAGGGATGAGCATGAAGAGAAATACAAATGAACCGAGAGCAGGACCACCAGGTTCAAGTCCCCGCTTTTTACTGCCTTGTCATCTTGGCCAAGCCATTCAGTCCTTCTAAGCCTCAGACAATATGACAAATGAAGCTAAGTCTGCCAATCTTCACCCACAGGGATGTGGGGAGGCTCAAATGAAAGCAACCGTGTGATACTGTGGGAAGTTAACAACAACAACAAAAAAGCAAGTATGTGAAAATACTCTAAAAATAAAATAATGTACAAATGGATAGTGACGCTACTCAGTAATGTTTCCAAAATGGAAGGGGATTGGTGAGAAACATAATAAAGAATGGGATAAATTTAAGAAGAGTGTGGTTTCCCAGAAATCAGGACAACCCTCTAACACACTAGGGGGTACCATGATGTTTATAATCAGGGCAGTGAAAGACTCTAAAGTACTTAGGCAACAGCTACTCAGCTTGCTAATCCTATCTCCTGCTGGGCCCACACAAATTCCTAGCGGTCCACAGGGACATAGTAGTTGAGGGCTCTGATAGTTGAGAAGTTACATTCCTCTAATTTAAAACTGAAAATAACGTCAGACTAAAACTGCCCACTCATCACTCCGGCACAGTAAGCTGCTGGTTTACACTCTCCCTACAGCAGAGCAAGTGAATTGACCCAGACATCATTTTAATTCATGGGGGTTAGTGGACCCTACACCTTTCTCTCCCTTGGTTTTCCTTCTTCATGGACGTTAATATTTCGCCCCCTGAAGGAAAACAGAAATACTATACTGAAAATACTGAAATTCCTCTGGGACGGATTCAAAACCCAGGCAGCATCTATCTGTTAGGCTACAATGGAATAAATCTAGATCTTGTCAATCACCTGTTGACTGCGCCAACTGACAGGAATAATGGTCTTCTGCTGGGTCCAATGATATTCGGACTGTTGAAGGAATATGGCCAGGGAATATTATCCCAGGTTCCAGCCAGGGTTGGCCTGGCTTAGCTATCAATATCAAGGCAGGCTCAAGTATTTCCAAGCATGCTTTTAGTGCAGAAAGACACATGGGGCAGGGGAAGGGGAAAAGGGTGGCGAGCAGAGCTAGCAGTTTATCTCTATGGTGGGATGGGACACGTCTCCGGAAAGACAGCAGAGGGTTTGGTAGAGGGAAGCAGAGATCCTGAAACGACATGAGATCTTTGTTGTAAATAACGTCTTTCTGGGTCTGGCGTGGTGGCTCACGCCTATAATCCCAGCACTTTGGGAGGCTGAGGTGGGTGGATCACTTGAGCCCAGGAGTTCGAGATGAGCCTGGGCAACATGGTGAAACCCCATCTCTACTAAAAATAAACAAATTAGCCAGGCACAGTGGCACGGGCCTGTAGTTCCAGTGACTCGGGAGGCTAAGGTGGGAGGACAGCTTAAGCCTGGGAGGCAGAGGTTGCAGTAAGCTGAGATCCCACCACTGCACTCCAGCCTGGGTGACAGAGCCAGATCCTGTCTCAAAAATAAGAAATAAAAAAATAAAAAAAGTCTTTCTGGGTGAGGCTGTTTTTGTGGCTGATCATTTAATAATCTGCTTAACTATATATCCATACCTGCCTTTGAACTTTAAATGTGGTCCTGAAAAAAACTGAGGAGAGCAAGTCAACTTTTTTACTTTTTATTTTTCTAAAATTAATACATGTGCAGTCAAGCCATGTATAAATGAAAAGTCCCCTTCTCTTCAAAAGCAAAACTTAATACTTTCTGATGTTATTCTTCAAGAAATTTTCCAATCATATACAAGCATGTATATATATATTTCCTTTTCTAAACTCAAATGGAACTCACCTTTTAAATGTGAAAAATTGTCTGTATTTAAGAGAATATTATAAATGTATTGTAAAGAGGACATCAACTCCAAATTAAAATTCTTTGGATTTTTTATTGGATTCACATAAAGCAAAGAACTTACTCACTTGGACCGAGAATATATTGTAATGTTCCATAAGTCATAACTTAAGGACCGAGAATATATTGCAATGTTCCATAAGTCATAATTTAATGTGCAGTAAGAACCCATGAAGTTGTCTGACCAAAAGTAACACTCTTCTGTTGGGAAAGATTTTACATCCTTTTATTCTGGATGAATCCTGAATTCTAGATGTTGGGTTTAATGCTTCACACAATGGCACATTTACAAGAGGTACAAAACACTTATTGAGCTTTCAGGGCCACTGTAAGGGGCTTGCAGAATAGCCTCTTTGCAACCCAGAGAATTAATCTGATTCCTCTTTCCTCAGCCCACGCCTACCTCCAACTTCAATTTTACAGGAGTAGTTTCCCAAGAGTCCCCACCCCCTCCATTTGCAGAATTAAGGAAGTGGAAGGACTGGAGAGTTCAGTGTGGAAAAACGTGTGGAGTAATCTGCTTGAGACAACTGTGTTTTAGAAAAATTCAGGCTGAAGTGTGGTCTCATGTCTATGTGGCTCTCCATGAACTTTTTTTTTTTTTGGTATTTTGGCAATACGGTCTTGGTCTGTTGCTCAGGCTAGAGTGTAGTGGGACAATCATAGCGCACTGCAAACTTGAACTCCTGGGTTCAAGCAATCCTCCTACCTCAGCCTCCCAAAGCTCTGGGATTACAGGTGTGAGCCACTGTGCCCAGGAACTTTGAAGGTAAGGTTCATCAAATTCTCTTGGTGACCTCCCTTTACTGAATGAAGAGGTGCACTCTGTTGTAGTACATGCTTTTTCCTTGTGGCTCTTGGGGTCCAGTTTTTTTGCTTTTTTTTTTTTTTGAGATGGAGTCTCGCTCTGTCACCTGGGCTGGAGTGCAGTGGCGGGATCTCGGCTCACTGCAATCTCCGCCTCCCAGATTCAAGCGATTCTCCTGCCTCAGCCTCCCAAGTAGCTGGGATTACAGGCGCCCGCCACCACGCCTGGCTAATTTTTTTGTATTTTAGTAGAGACGGGGGCTCACCATGTTGGCCAAGCTGGTCTCGAGCTCCTGACCTCAAGTGATCCACCCACCTCAGCCTCCCAAAGTGCTGGGGTTACAGGTGTGAGCCGCCGAGGCCGGCCATTTTTTTGCTTTTTGAAAAATAATTTTGATTGGTCCCTCACTCACAGAGGACTCCAGAAGCCAGGGTCTGTTGCATCCATGAACACCGCTCCATGCGACTGGGAGCTCCGCCCACCACACCAACGCTGGCTCGCTGCTTTTCCAGCACTGGAAACTTCCACAACAAGGGATTCTTGGGAAAGGCAGTGGCTCAGACTACCTTCCACCACCACTTGCATCTGTCAGAGCGTTTTAGAAACCCTTAAAATTCAAACATTTCTGCTGGCTTCTCTTTTAGCTTCCTAACTTTTCGGTAGCCCTTTATGGCCAGGACAGCCCCCAGGGCAAAGACCACAATGCCCAGGGCAGCAAAGATTCCAGCTCCTATATCTGCTCCGTGGAAACTGCAGCCGAAACCGCTGTAGCCTTTGCTTTGGTACAGCGCCTGCCTCTCTTTACACACAGGAGAGCCATAGGCAGCAGAGAGGTAGTGGAAGTAGAAGTACAAGGCCGGGATGTACCCCCCCGCGATGAGCATGTCCAACAAGCCTTCGGTCACCAGCAACAGTGGACAATGCCACGGGACCCGCAGGACACCCATGGCAACGAAGAGGCAGCAGAGGGCTGTGAGGGCTCCACTACAGGCCATTGCCACAGTGACCATGGGCAGCTTTAGCTGGTAGAACTGGACATCCAGTTGCTGGGCCTTCTCCCCGTCAGCACCATCAAAGCCACTGTAAGCCCCTCCGAACTGATAGTAGTAAATGCCCCCCAAGCTGGTGATGCCCGTGTAGCCCCCTGTGGAACTGTAAGACACAGAGCTGCAGGCCAGGATCAGCAAGTTCAGGAGAACCTCCAGCATTTGGCAGCAGGCTGCAAAAAAAGGGTGTTACCATTTTTGAGTGATGCTGTTTGGCACCAGGAGACTCTTCCACCTGAGGCCCACCTTCCGCGCAGGGCTCAGACCCCTGAAGGCTTCTGGCCCTGTGGAAGACCCGAGGCCAAAGCAGCGCGATTAAAACTAGGGGGCAGTAGGGAACTGTGGTCTCCAGAAATGGTGCCAGAAATACTATGGACTCAGAGGGGTGACTCTCAAAAGAGCAAAGCGGTGTGCCCTGAGAGAGCGGCAGGAGGATGATGGGAGAGATCAGGCCAGTGAGCAGGAACAAAGCCATCCTGGATGGAAGGGCAAGAACATTCCACCTCCCACCACCAGAAAGATGAAACAAGGCCGGGCGAGGTGGCTCACGCCTGTAATCCCAGCACATTGGGAAGCCAAGGTGGGAGGGCTGCTTGAGCCCAGGAGTTTGAGACTAACCTGGGCAACATAGTGATACCCCATCTCTAATTTAAAAAAAAAAAAAAAAAAAAGACTGGGTATGGTGGCTCACGCCTGTAATCCCAGCACTTTGGGAGGCCAAGGCAGGTGGATCATTTGAGGTCAGGAGTTTGAGACCAGCCTGGCCAACATGGTGGTACCCTGTCTTTACTAAAAAATACAAAAATTAGCCAGGCATGGTGGTAAGCACCTGTAGTCCCAGCTACTTGGGAGGCTGAGGTAGGAGAATCACTTGAACCCGAGAGGTGGAGGTTACAGTGAACTGAGATCGCGCCACTGCATTCTAGCCTGGGCGACACTCCGTCTCAAAAAACAAAAGCAAACACAAACAACAACACAAAAAACTAAACAAGTTGTCTCTTCTTTTTTGAGACAAGGTCTCTGTCACCTAGGCTGGAGTACAGTGGCACAATCACAGCTCACTATAGCCTTGACCTCCCAGGCTCAAGCAATCATCCTGCCTCAGCCTCCCACATAGCTGGGACTACAAATGCATGAACCTGGGCCTGGCTAATTTTTGTATTTTCTCGTGATAAAGGTCTTGCTGTGTTGCCTAGGCTGGTCTCAAATTCCTTGCTTCAGGCGATCCTCCTGCCTTGGCCTCCCAAAGTGCTGGGATTACAGGCGTGAGCCACTGCACTGGTCGTTATCTCCTCTTTATATATGTTCTGTGGTGAATACAATTTGTAAGGGGAGAGTTCTCCAAGTTTGAAGAAAATCACAGAGCTTAAACAATATAATAATTCAGAAAAAAAGCGTGGAAGTTATACATCAAAATGTTAACTGTGGTTCGTGTATTAGAAATAAGAAAAATTGGCCAGGCGCGGTGGCTCACGCCTGTAATCCCAGCATTTTGGGAGGCCGAGGCAGGCAGATCACCTGCGGTCACGAGTTCTAGACCAGCCTGGCCAACATGGTGAAACCCTGTCTCTACTAAAAATACAAAAATTAGCCAGGTGTGGTGGTGCATGCCTGTAATCTCAGCTCCTCAGGAGGCTGAGGTGGAAGAATCGCTTGAACCCAGGAGGCGGAGTTTGCAGTGAGCTGAGATTGCACCACTGTACCCCAGCCTGGGTGACAGAGTGAGGCTCTGCCTCAAAAAAAAGATAAATAAATAAATAAAAAATAAAAAAAAAAAGAAATAGGAAAAATTAAGTTAATTAAACCCTTAATGCTTACTGAATTAAAAAGTTGTTTTATTGTTCTTAGACTTTAACTTATAAGTATGTCTTAAAGTTTAATGCTGTTTTATTTAGTTCCCTAAAGAGTGTATCTGGGCTGTGATATTTTCCCAGAGCTGGATTCTTCCCGGTCCCTTGGCTTCTTTATCTTGGACAAAGAAAACTGGCTGCTTTCCTTAAAATCAACGTTAGTGAAATATAACTTATATGCAACAAAATGACCCACATTAAGCTTACAGCTTGATGCGTTTTGACAAATTTATGTACCATGTAACCATAATCAAGACACAGAACATTCTCATTAGCCTAGAAATTTCCTTAGTGACGCTTTGCAGTCAATCCCTCACTTTCCTTGTCAGCAAACCACTGATCAGCCCTCTCTCATTAGAAACTAGTTCTGCCTTGTGTTGTATGAAAGGAAAGAAGGTTAGAAACTAGTTCTGCCTTTTCTAGAATATCATGTTAATGGAATAATACGGTTATGTCCTTTTGTGTGTGTGGTTTCTTTTGCTCAACATCATATAAGCTGGGTGCTGCTGAGCTGGAAATTGTACATGCTGCCAACGTCGGCCTGTCAACATCCTGCCTGATGTTTGATAACCAGATTTAATGCCTGGTTCCAGTTGGTCTATTCATGAAACCACAGCTACACATTGTCTAAATGAAATGATGATGCTCTCTCAAGTGCGATCTTTACACTGTATAATTTTCCCCCAGAATGCAAACAACATTATTGTTTTCTTTCTTTTTTTTACAGACAGGGTCTCACTCTGTCACCATTTTATTTATGAAAGTTATATGGCCAGGCGTGGTGGCTCATGCCTGTAATCCTAGCACTTTGGGAGGCCAAGGCGGGCAGATCACGAGGTCAGGAGTTCAAGACCGGCCTGGCCAACATGGTAAAACCCTGTCTCTACTAAAAATACAACAATTAGCTGGGCATGGTGGCACGCGCTACCTCCCAGCCACTCGGGAGGCTGAGGCAGGAGAATTGCTTCAACTGGCACCCGGGAGGCAGAGGTTGCAGTGAGCCGAGATCATGCCACTGCACTCCAGCCTGGGCTACAGAGCAAGACTCTCAAAAAAAAAAAGACAGTTATACTTACTTATAACAACAACAAAAAAAGAAAATGTAGAGTTAAGAAAACATGCAATGTAACAATTGCCTGTAATACAACCAATTTAAAAAAATCACTGTGAATATTATATTTTTTCCTGAACTTTATTTGTATCTTCATAACTTTTGTTTTTTTCTCTCATTAAGAACACAGTCCTCTGGATATCTTACTGTACTTCTCTGAAGCTCAGGAGCTGCTGACAGAATTACAGGCTGTGAGGTTGTGCCAATATCTGCAACTAGAGTAATGATCCTTGTACCTGCATTGCCTAGAGCACTTTCCTCAAAGTTCCTATAATCCTATAATCATATGCATCTTTGGAATTATCCTGAGATTACATTTTCAGGTATGAGCTCCATAAGTTCTCTCCCTTAGGCTGGAACGTTTTCTCCCTTAGTCATAGTAAACCAAGAACTATTTCTCACCAAATCATGTGAACTATAAGCTCTCACCCAGACAAACCAGATTTTCTTCATTGCTGGCAAGGCCAAGACCGCTAGAATGGGAACCTGGGGACGCCACATTTGGGGTGGATACATGATAGGCTGGAAGTGTTTTTCAGACTGTGGGTCCTAAATAACTATGGTTTTTAAAAAATGATTTTGTTCTTAATGAACGGGATAGAAAATATCAGAATATTTGGTATATAATAGGGTCAGTATGGTTTCACAACATTTTTGTTTCTGTGTGTGTGTGAACTCGGTCTTAATGTAAAAAATGTATATACGTAACAACCTTGTGAATATATTATGTGTGTGTATATATATATATACATATATTTTATTATTTTTGTTTTTTTTTTTAAGACGTAGTTTCGCTCTTGTTGCCCAGGCTAGAGTGCAATGGCGAAATCTTGGCTCACTGCAACCTCCGCCTCCCGGGTTCAAGCGATTCTCCTGCCTTAGCCTCCTAAGTAGCTGGGATTACAGGCATGAGCCACCACCCCGGCTAATTTTATATTTTTAGTAGAGACAGGGTTTCTCCATGTTAGTCAGGCTGGTCTTGAACTCCCGACCTCAGGTGATCCACCCACCTTGGCCTCCCAAAGTGCTGGGATTACAGGCGTGAGCCATCGTGCCTGGCCTTATTATTTTAAAAATTTTTTAAATTTTTAATATTTTTGAGATGGAGTCTTACTCTGTCACCCAGGCTGGAGTGCAGTGACGTGATCTCTGCTCACTGCAACCTCCTCCTCCCAGGTTCAAGCAATTCTCCTCCTCACCACGTTGGCCAGGCTGGTCTCGAACCCCTGACCTCAAGTGATCCACCCACCTTGACCTCCCAGAGTGCTGGGATTACAGGCGTAAGCCACTACGCCAGCCTTTTTCCCTTTTTTTTTTTTTTTTAAACTAGAGATGGGGTATTGCTATGTTGCCCAAGTTGGTCTCAAACTCCTGGGCTCAAGTGATCCTCCCTCCTGGGCCTTCCAAAGTGCTGAGATTACAGGCATGAGCCACTGTGCCTGGCCTCAGTCAATAAAGTTTAAAAGCCATTGATCAAATGTTGGGCGTCAGATCTTCAAGGAGAACAGGTGCTGCAACTTGGCTGCCCACGCCAGGTGACTTTCCCTCTCTGTTAATTCAGCTGCCTCGCCAGAAGATCCCTCCTCTGACAGCTGGCAGCTCATAGCCAGTTCCACCTACAGGCCTCTGCACTTCCACCTGGAGTCTGAAAGCTGCAAACATGGCTGCTTGCCTTTGCAAACCCAGGGCATGTTTAAGGAGAAGCACAGGAAATCTAGCAGCACTTTTGAGACGTTCCTCCTTTTTTTTTTTTTTTTTTTTTAAGAAAACAAGAACCTCACAAGTACAGAAATGAAAATGCTAGGAACCCACAAGGGAATCTGCTTAAATTTTTGCTTCACCAGCTCAGACCATCCCTTCCAGAACCACCAGTGACAGTAAATGATCAAACAGCCTGCAAAACGGCTCACCTCTCCCAGTGCACAAGTATTTGCATTTGTGGCATTCCAGGAGTCCTTCCGCCTCTGACTGGTAATATTCCACCTCCTCTCGTCCAGGCCTGGGGGTCGAGGGCAGATATCTCTCCGAAGGGGGTTCACTATAACCAAAAAGCATACATGGTCATTAGGGGGTGTCTCATTCAATAGCGTTCAGGATTAGAACTCTTGACTCCTCGTGCTGGGCCCAAATATTAGCAGAACAGAAATAGAATTTGTCCCGGTATTTTAAACTCCAGAGAATTCTCTGGTTTAGTGGCCCCACGGGACATCCAAATACTTGGCCCAGCTCCACTAACCACGTGACAGATGCTGTGATTGGTACCGCTGATGGTTTGTCTGCCCCTGGGAGCTGTCTCACCAGGTAGCTGCGAGCTGCCTTCCTGTGAGTGCAAGTTCTCAGTTCAGCATGCACCAGGCCTCTTCAAAACCAGTTTGCATTCACATGACTCTGATGCCCAGGCAGGCATTCTCTTCCTCCCTTTGTTACTTTGGAAAGTGTTGAGTCAGCAATAACTCTCCAGGAGCATGGGAGCTGCAGACCACGGATTTTGACATCATCACATCATTTCCTCCTCTGGCAGCCCTAGCATTTTCTGTCCCTTCTCTCCTTGCTTTATGCAGCACATCCTGGGCTTTGTCCAAGATTCAACAGGGGGCTGCATTCTACTTGCCAGGCTCCCACAGTCTTTCTAGAACATCATGTCTCTCTTAGGTTTGAAATTTTTCAAACTTTTAGCATGCACAGGAGGCCCCTGTTCATCTCTCTACACTCACAACCTCATGCTCGCAGACCCAGCCATACTGAACTACCCCCTTCCCCTCAAAAGATGACTGCTTTTCCATGCCTCTGGGTTACTACAGAAGCTATTCTTCTCCTTGGGACACCTTTCCTCTTCCTCCTCAGTCTTCCTTTTTTTTTTTTTGTTTTGAGATGGAGTCTCACTCTGTCACCCAGGCTGGAGTGCAGTGTCGAGATCTCAGCTCACTGCAACCTCCGCCTCCCAGGTTCAAGCAGTCCTCCCACCTCAGCCTCCCGAGTAGCTGAGATTACAGGCGTGCGCCACCGCGCTCTGCTAATTTTTTTGTATGTTTAGTAGAGATGGGGTTTCGCAGTGTTGGCCAGGCTGGTCTCGAACTCCTTACCTCCAATGATCTGCCCGCTTCGGCCTCCCAAAGTTCTGGGATTACAGGTGTGAGCCACCGCGTCCGGCTCGGACAGTGGTTTTTAAAGAAACCTAAAAATGCAGCTCTGAATTCTCCCAGGTCCTGCAGTTGCAAGTGCAATGGGCTTTAGTCAGGGAAACAACAGCTGTTTCCCTGGGCGAAGCTTTGACTGTATCTGGGCGCACCCTTTGTTATGCTAGTTAGTTTTAGATAATGTAACATAAACTCAGGATAGGAGCTCTCCCGCTGTGTGGACATAGCAGGGAGACAGACTGGACTCAGCCTCCAAGTCCCTGGGAGAGGGGAGCCTGACTCCTCCCTAGAGGAGAGGCCAGGTGTCAAAAACCAGAAGCAGTCGTCACCTCGGACCTGTCTCCTGTTGGAGCTGGCAGGGGAGATATCCCATCTGCTCACAGTTCACCGTGTGGGGCACATTATCTGGGTATTCAATGGATGGAAAAAACACCAGGTCCCTAGGAGGCGGTGTGGGGACCAGGTCCCCTCTTGTCTTCCCTTCCCCCCCCACCCTCCCCTAGCTCACAGAGTCTTCCAGTACACCCTGAACCTTTCTCCTTACAAGGGGCCTATGGGAATTCTGTGCAAGGCAGAGATGGCAAAGTTTTTTCATTAGGAGGGTGCGGTCTCAAGCAGCCGTGGGATTCGAATGACGCTGCCTAGAGAGACCTCACTGGCAAAAGGGAAAACAAACCTGTACCCTTCAGTGGGAGAATTTTACGTAGACTTTGTTCTTTGGTTAAAAATGTAGCGTCTCCCATCTGACTTTTTTTTTTTTTTTTGAGACGGAGTCTCGCTTTGTCGCCCAGGCTGGAGTGCAGTGGTGCGATCTCGGCTCACTGCAACCTCCGCCTCCCGGGTTCAAGCGATTCTCCCTCCTCAGCCTCCCAAGTAGCTGGGATTACAGGCATCTGCCATCACGCCTGGCTAAGTTTTTGTATTTTTAGTAAAGACGGGGTTTCACCATGTTGGCCAGGCTGGTCTCGAACTCCTGGCCTCAGGTGATCCGCCCGCCTCGGCCTCCCAAAGTGTTGGGATTACAGGCATGAGCCACCGCGCCGGCCCACCTGTTTCTGAAGGCACCTATTCCTGGGAGGGGTAACACATTAAACTATTAACTCTTCATCGGGCTTCCCAAGTGGGCGGCCCGGCCACAAGGAAGGGGACTTTGGAGTCGGGAAGGGCTGGCTCTGGAACACGGGACAAGGGTCTGAACCCCAAGGCGCAGTCCTGTGACCATGCGGGCCGGGCCGGGGAGGAGCCTGGGGTGAACCCCACCCGCCTGGTCTCCTCCCACCCCTCCCTCTCGGGTCCCGGGGCCTCTCTTTCTCTTCTCCAGGTCCTCCAGCCCAGCCACTGCTCACAGGGGTGGTTTTTGCTTTGTTAGTTGGGTTCAGGCCACGAGAAGGGGGAACCCTAAAGTTTTCCTTCCCTGCCAGGTCGCCTCTGAGAGCGCAGAAGGGAGAAACGGCATTTGTTCATTTAAACGGGCTCCTAGGACGAGAACCCGGGGACGCCAGGGCCTCGCGGGCCGGCCTGGGCCACAGGTGTCCCCGGCGCGGAGGTCGCAGCGCCCCGGCCCCTCTCACCTTTCGGGTCTGCGGCGCCCGGGGTCTCCCTTCCTCTGCGGCTGCGGCGGCTCCGGGGCTTCCCAGGGCGCGGGCCCAGGAGGCGCGGCTGCGTCCCAGGTCAGTCCCCGGGCTCCGTCCCGCGTCCGGCTTTGGCGCGGTTTTTCCCAAACTCCGTGTTCACCTGCGCGAGGGCCCGCGTCCCTGTGTGTGTCCCGGCGGGGGCCTCGGTCCGGGTCTCTTTCCCTCTCTCTCTCCCTCTCCCGGTCCCGGTTCCGGTCGCGGTTCCCGTCCCTCTCCTGGTCTCTCTCCGGGTCCCGGTCCCCGTCCCTTCGCCGGTTCCCGTCGCTGCTTCGCTTCCTGCGCGGGTCCCCGGGTCGGTCCCGCGGTCGATCGTGGGTGCGGCCTTGGTCTGGGTGGGGGCGCCGTCCCGGGTCCCGCTCTCTCGGCCGGGCCCGGGGCTCGCGAGCCCCCGACGGATCTTCCATGGCCGGGTTCCGTGTCCCCGCCCGGGAGCGACCTGAGGGCAACAACCAACAAGTTTCTTGGGCAGGTGGCCAAGCCCGGGGGCGGGGCGGGCACTCACCTGTGCGCATGCGCGCTAGTCCGGGAGCTCACCTGAGAACGGGCGCCCTCAGGGGGCGGCCTGAGCGCGTCTGGGGCCCGGGCGGGAGGGGTGCCTGTGTGCTGGGTGGGGGCTGGGGTGCTGCTGCTGGAAACCCGGGCGGGGCGACCCACAGCCGCACCTTTCTGCCCCGAAGTAACCCCTTGGTGACCCCACGAGGTGGGCGGCCTAAGGGAGCCAACTGTGGCCACCTCCCCTGGCTCAACTTACACTGCAACTTGGATTTACCTTCCCAGAGGTACCCATCCTCTCACTCACTCAGCCAGACACTCATTCATTCACCCAATCACCCACTACCCGCTCATCCATTCACCCACCCATCCACCCACTCACCCACCCATCCACCCACTCACCCACCCATCCACCATCCATCCACCCATCCACCCACTCACCCACCCGTCCAACCATCCACCCATTCAACCACTCACCCATCCATACACCCGTCTATCCACCTATCCACCTACTCACCTACCCATCTAACCATCCACCCATCCATCCATCTATCCACCCACTCACCCACCCATCCACCACCCATCTACCCGCCCACTCACCTGCCCATCCGCCCACCCACCCACCCTCCATCCATCCATCCACCCATCCACCCACTCACCCACCCATCCACCCACCCATCTACCATCCGCCCACTCACCCACTCACCTGCCCATCCATCCACCCACTCACCTAACCATCCACTCTCACCCACCCATCCACCATCCATCCACCCACCCATTCACTCATCCACCCATCCACCCACCCACTCACCCACCCATCTACCAACTCACCCATCCATCCACCCATTCATCCACCCACTCACCCATCCAGCCACCCACCCACGCATCCACCCATCCACCATTCATCCACTCACCCATTCATCCATCCATCTGGCCACTAACCTACCCACACATCCACCCAGTCACCCACCTTCCACTTCTCCCTCCACCCATCCACTGTCCCTCTTTCTCCCTTCTCCTGTTTTCCTTATAACACCTATGTTGTAAGGGGCTTGCAGCCAGTTCATCTATCACAATAGTCCTGGGCTTACAAATAGCCCTGTTTTTTAAAATGGGGACTTACACAAAATTGGCAGCTTTTAATTCTGCCAAGTAAGGATATTACAAAATATATACAATTGCCATCTGGTAATTAATTCTTTCAGCAAATATGTATGAGCACCTGCTTTAGCAGGTACTGGAGATATAGTGGAAAATTTGCTTGCAGGGTGATTGCATTCTAGTGTGTCAGGAAAAGGGAAAACAGGTAGTAAACAAAGAAGACAGTGTCTAAAGTTTAATGGGAAGGGCAGGTTTCCTCATATAGACCTGGGAAGATGTCGTTTGAATTGAGTTCTGGATGACAAGAAGGCTGAGAAAATGTCCCAGAAAGAGAGAAGGTTGAGGAACGCGGGAGCTGGACAAGGAGGTCCCTGGGAGTAGAGTTGGTGGGCATGAATTGAGGCTGGAGAAGTGGACCAGGCAGATGGTGTAGACGACAGTGTGCATTTTTATTCTAAACAATGGGAGAACATTGAAGATTTTGAGGAGGAGAGTAAACCTTTCTGATTGATATTTTTGAAAGACCACTCTGGCTTCTGTGAGGAGGGTGGATGATGGAGGCCCAGAGTAGAGGGAAGAGATGAGTTACAAAGCTGCTGCTGAAGGAGTCCAGGTGAGGGTGACGGTGGCCATGGAGACAGTGACAAGTTGACAGATCCAGGTTGTAGTTTTGGGGAAGAATTTACAGTATGGATCAGATGTGGGGAAATGAGGGGAGGGGAGGAGTGACCAGGTGAATGGTGGGGTTTTTCACTGAGACGGGGGAGACTGGACAGAACCAGATTTGCGGGGAAATTAGAGAGTTCCATTTTGGACATGGTAAATTTGAGATGGCTATAATTCATCCAAGTGTAGATGTCTAGTTGCAGTTGAATATATGAGTCTGAAATATGGGGAGAGGATTGGGCTGGAGATGCTCTGTGGGAGTAGAGAAAGGAGGAAAGTAGAATGGAGAAGAGGCCTTAGGCAGAGTCCCTAGGGAATTCTAACTTTTAGAGCTAAGACTCAAGAGGATTAAGAAGTGATGAGTGAGTAGAAGGAAAAAGAAGAGGGTGGGGGTGACAAGACATCAACCTCCAACCCACAGAAGTGCTACTGTGACCCCTGAAGCCTTTCTTCCCAGAGTGGAGAGGATGGGGCCAAATTCTAGGACCTTCCACAAATCTTTATTGAGCAAAGCCCTGTTCTGAACCCGGGACAACTATGGATGCAGAGGAAGCCTGGTAAACAAGCAGACACAGGATGGTTTGTGGAACAGCATAGCCCTTCCTCTCTTCGACCTTCGCTCTTGACTTCTGCAGACCTCTTTCAGAATAAACAAACCCTCAAACCAGCTTGCCTTTTAGTTTCATTTCTCTTTGTTTTGTGTCTTTATACACAAATTATTATCATTTTGCCACATTTGTTCCATCTCTCTATATATGGATGAAAACTTTAAAAAATGAAACATGTGTGCTAAATTCCAGACACATGGCTCTTCCCCTAAATACTTCAACATATTTTTCCAAAGAATAACTTCCTCCTACACAGCCACATTACAGTGACCACAATCCAGAAATTTAGCATTGATATTATGTTATCGAATATATACTCTATAACCCAATTCCCCTATTATTCCAATAATGTCCTTTATATGTACTCCCTCCCCACTTAAAATCTGAGGATTCAATTAAGGACTATTCATGATATGTGAATAATGCATTGTCACATCATCATCATCATGTCTGTTTAGTCTCCCTTAAGTCTCCTTCAATCTGTAACAGTTTCCCAACATTTTTTTTCTCTTTCACAGCATTGACTTTTTTTTTTTTTTTTTTTTTTTTTTTTTTTTGAGACGAGTCTCGCTCTGTTGCCAGGCTGGAGTGCAGTGGCGCCATCTCAGCTCACTGCAACCTCTGCCTCCTGGGTTCAAGCTATTCTCTGCCTCAGCCTCCCGAGTAGCTGGGATTACAGGCATGCACCACTACGCCCAGCTAATTTTTGTATTTTTAGTAGAGATGGGATTTCACCATGTTGGTCAGGCTGGTCTCGGACTCTGGGCTTAAGTGATCTGCCTACCTTTGCCTCCCAAAGTGCTGGGATTATAGGCATGAACCACTGTGCCAGGCCACACAGCACTGATTTTTTAGGAGAGTTTAGTCCAGTTATTTTTTTTTTTTTCAGACTGACTCTCATTTTGAGCTTGTCTTATGGTTTCCTTATGATTATATTTATGTTCAATATTTTTGGCAGGCAGATTAAAATAGGTGATGTTGTATCCTTCTTGGTACATCCTATCAGGAGGCACAAGATGTCAGTTTGTCCCATTATTGGTGATGTCAAATTGATCACTTGGGCAAGGTGGTGTCTGCTATATTCTCCATTTTAAAAGTACTTCCACTTTTATATTTAATAACTTTGAGACAATGTGTTTCCCCACAACCTTTCTTGCCTGAATCAATTATTGCAATGATAGTTGCAAAGTCATGGTTTCTAATTCTATGAATTCTTCTAAATTTATTAATTTGTTGACATTCTCCTGTAAAGAAGAATTTTCCCTCTTATCCAGCTGATCATCCCACAGAAACAATTTGAAAACCACACCCAAAATTTGGTTCCAAAACTGAGACAGATGCCCAAAACATACCATGAAGGAATAAAAATATTTATTAGTGCCATAATGAGGCTTTCTGGGGAGAGCAGAGCAGGTTTCCAAGTAGGTCTGAAATGGTTTGAGAAAGCAGGAAGGGGTGACTGGCTTTGGGGTTTTATTGTGGTTAGAGAGTAGCACTAGGGTGAGGGTTCTTGTCAGTTTCCTGTCTGTGCCAAGGGCATACCTGGGTTTTCTTATTAGTTCACCACATGTGGGATAAAAAGGCAGGAGCAGAATGAGGCTTCAAAGCTGTTGGGAGTTAGACATAAAAAATGGAGGCAAACTATTATCTCTGTAGACTCATTTTTTCCCTAATAATGCATTGTAATCCATTAATTCTGTTTGTTTTTCTGATATTTAAAATTGCCCCAATTTGGCCAGTGGGAGTCCCTTGAAGCTGCCTTCTCTGTTCTTTTGACATCAGAAGAATTACCCTAGGCCAGGCATGGTGGCTTATGCCTGTAATCCTAGCACTTTGGGAGGCTGAGGCAGGCGGATCACGTGAGGTAAGGAGTTCGAGACCAACCTGGGCCAATATGGTGAAACCAAATCTCTACTAAAAATACAAAATTTAGCCAGGTGTGGTGGCGCGTGCCTGTGATCCCAGATACTTGGGAGGCTGAGGCAGGAGAATCACTTGAACCTGGGAGGCGGAAGTTGCAGTGAGCAGAGATTGCACCACTGCATTCCAGCCTGGGCAACAGAGTGAGACTCCATCTCAAAAAAAAAAAAAAAAAGAATTACCCTGATACACCTATCAGTTTTTGTGACTTCATTTTGTCGCTGAATTGCTGATATGGTTTGGATGTTGGTCCCCTCCAAATTTCAGGATGAAATGTGATTCCCAGTGTTGGAGGTGGGGCCTGGTGGGAGGTGATTGGATCATGAGGGCGGATCCCTCATGAATGGCTTAGCACCATTCCATTGTTGATAAGTGAGTTGTTGCTCTGTGTTCACAAGAGATCCATCTGGTCATTTAAAAGAGTGTGGTATCTCCTCCCACCCTTGCTCCCTCTCTCGACATGTTAGGTGCCTGCTCACCCTTCACCTTCCATCATGACTGGAAGCTTCCGAAGGCCCTCACAAGAAGCAGATGCTGGCAACACACTTCCTGTAGAGCCTGTAGAAACGTGAGCCAATTAAGCCTCTTTTCTTTATAAATTACCCAGCCTCAGGTATTTCCTTAAAGCAATGCAAGAACCGACTGACATAACTGCTTTGCCTCCTGGTCTAACCTACCTCTCCCCTGAAGTTCCCACTTCCCTGGATGCTCCCTCGAGTGGAGAATACTCATTCTGGAGCCCTGCATAGGTGCATTCTGCTTGCTTCCATATGCAGAGTGATTCTCTTTCCTTTGAGGCTTGTCATAGTTAGGTTATAAGTTTGGCTGGATGGGCTAGAGACTCAACATAAAAGTATCTTAAACAAGATAGTTATTTCTCTCTTGGAAATGACTGATCTGGTGGCTCTGCTCTGTGACATTGTCAGAAGTCCACACCCCTTCTAGCTTCTTTTTCTGCTACCCTTTAGATATTGCCCTCATCTACGTGGTCCAGGATGGCCAACACCATGTCTACACTACAGTCTGCAGGGAGGGAGGAAGAAAGGGGACCAGGAAGGGCTTTCCTTCTGTAAGAATGAGACCCACAAGTTGCAGATATTAATTCTTCTCAATTCTTGTTGACCAAGATGGTAACATGACCATGTATAAGTGCAAAGGAAGCTGGGAAGTGTGGCCATATACCCAGCTAAAAACTTGGCGTTTTTATAAGAGTAAGGGGGATGCTATGGTCTGAATGTGTGCCCCTACAATTCATATGTTGAAACTCAATCGCCAATGTGATAGTATTAAGAGGTGGGGCCTTCAGGAGGTGATTAAGTCACGAGGGGAGAGCCCTTGTGAATAGGATTCATGCTCTTATTAAAAAGTTTGAAAGGAGCTCCTGTGTCCCTCCACTGTGTGAAGATGCAGCATTTGTCTCTTCTGCCATGAGAGAATGCAGCCCTTCACCAGTCATTGAATCTGCCATTTCCATGATCTTGGAGTTCCCAGCCTCCAGAACTGTGAGAAATAAAAGTCTGTCTATAAATTACCCATCTAGGGTATATTCTTAGAGCAGCCCAGTTGGACCAGGACAGGGGAGAATGGAAGTTAGGGAAGAGTCAGAAGTCTTTGTCATTCAAAGTCTGAATCGGTCTTCGGCGATTCATTCACTTTCTACTGTGTTTTGATAATGTCATGAACTGGGCTCCTGGTCCCTTCAGCATTTCATTGAAGACTCACTCCATTCCAAGCCCTGCCATGATCACCATTGTGGCTACAGATACAATATACCAGTCTCTTTTTTGTTGTTGTTTTTGAGACAGAGTTTTGCTGTGTCTCCCAGGCTGGAGTGAAATGGAGCGATCTTGGCTCACTGCAACCTCTGCCTTCTGGTTCAAGTGATTCTCCTGCCTCAGCCTCCCAAGTAGCTGGGATTACAGGCATGTGCCACCATGCCTGGCTAATTTTTGTATTTTTTTTATTAGAGACGGGATTTCACCATGTTGGCCAGGATGGTCTCGAACTCTTGACCTCGTGATCCACCCGCCTCAGACTCCCAAAGTGCTGGGATTACAGGCGTGAGCCACTGCACCCAGCCCTCAACTTCTCTTTTAATTATAAATTTTATTTTTAATTCAATTCTTTCTTCTCATATTTTACTGTAAGCAGTCAAGAGAAACCATGCCACACCTTCAACACTTACTTAGAGATTTCTTCTGCCAAATAGCCTATTTCATTGCTTGCAAGTTTTACCTTCCACAAAACACTATGACATGAACACAATTCAGCCAAGTTCTTTGCCACTCTATAACAAGGATGGCCTTTCCTCCAGTTTATAATAACATGTTTCTCACTGCTGTCGGAGAGCTCATCAGAATGGCCTTGACAGTCTATATTTCCATGAACATCCTGATCACGATTGCTTAGGTAATCTCTTTTTTTTTTTTTTTTCGAGACAGAATCTCGCTCTGTCACCCAGGCTGGAGTGTAGTGGTGCCATCTTGGCTCATTGCAACCTCTGCCTCCTGGGTTCAAGCAATTCTTCTGCCTCAGGCTCCTGAGTAGCTGGGATTACAGATATGTGCCGCCACGGCTGGCTAATTTTTGTATTTTTAGTAGAGACAAGGTTTCACCATGTTGGCCAGGCTGGTCTTGAACTCCTGACCTGATGATCCGCTGGCCTCTGCCACCCAAAGTGCTGGGATTACAGGTGTGAGCCACTGTGCCGGTATGCTTAGGTAATCTCTAAGAAGGTTGAGGTCTCTACAGCTCTCCTCTCCTTCTGATTCCTCACAAGAACTGCCCTTTACAGTATGTTTATGGCAATATAGGATTTTTCTAGTGTGCTCTTCCAAATTCTTCTAACCTCTGGCCATTACCTAGTTCCAAAGCTGCTCCCACATTTTTAGGTATTTGTTACAGCAGCACCCCACTTCTCCTACCAATTTCTGTTCAGTCCATTTGGGCTGCTATAACAAAATACCATAGACTGAATAATTTGTAAATGATAGAAATTTATTTCTCATTAATTCTGGAGACCAGGAAGTCCAAGATCAAGATGCTAGCAGATTTGGTGTCTGATGAAGGCCTGTTCCTCATAGATGATGCCTTCTAAGTGTCCTCACATGGTAAAAGGAGCAAGGAAGCTCCCTTCAACCTCTTTTATAAGAGCACGAATTCCATTCATGAAGGCAGAGCCCTTATGACCTCATCACTTTCCCCGAGGCTCTGTCTCTTGATACTGTCACATTGGGTATTGGGTTCCAACATATGAATTTTGGGGAACACCGATGTTCAGACCATAGCATACCCTTTCCAAGTCAGGTGGCCCTCTTTTGGGTGGCAGGCAATTCCCCAGAGAAGGAACAGCTGTGACTTGCTGTCAGTCAGTGTCATCGTGGCTGGGGGATGGGTATATCAGCAGGAAAAGGGGATCCAGAGCCCCCCTCAACAAACAATCATTGCAATGATTTTCTTGTGAATTGTTCTAGGGTTTGATTCACATAAATATAAGCAGATCAAATCTATATACCCTTCTTTCCGATTCACACGAAAGGTAGCATAGTGTTCTCTGTTCTGTGACTTGCTTTTTTCATGTAATTATCTTGAAGATCTTTTCATATTGGTAAATAAAAAAGGTCCTCATTCTTTTTTTCAAGCTGCATAGTGCCCTGCTGTATGACTGTATCATAACTGATTTAATTAGTGCTCTCTTGATAGACATTTGGATTATTTCTAATCTTTTGCTACTATAAAGCTGTATGATTATTTCTAATCTTTTGCTACTATAAAGCTGTATGAATGACCTTGTGTGTTATTTTGCATTCTCACATGTACATCTGTGGGGTATATCTCCAAAAGTTTAATGTCTAAAAAGTGACCTAGCCATCCAAAGGTGGGAGAATCACTTGAACCTGGGAGGCAGAGGTTGCAGTGAGCTGAGATCACGCCATTTCCCTCCAGACTGGGAGACACAGCAAAACTCTGTCTCAAAAACAAAAAAAAGAGCCTGGTATATTGTATCTGTAGCCTCAATGGTGATCATGGCAGGGCTTGGAATGGGGTGAGTCTTTAATGAAGTGGTGAAGGAACCAGTCTAAAAAGTGACCTAGACATTAATCTTTTTTTTTTTTTTTTTTTTTTTCTGAGACTGAGTCTCACTCTGTCGCCCAGGTTGGAGTGCAGTGCCATGATCAGTGCCATGATCTCGGCTCACTGCAACCTCCACCTCCTGGGTTCAAGTGATTCTCCTGCCTCAGCCTCCCAAGTAGCTGGGACTACAGGCACCCACCACCATACCTGGCTAATTTTTGTATTTTTAGTAGAGACAGGGTTTTGCCATGTTGGCCAGGCTGGTCTTGAACTCCTGACCTCAAGTTATCCACCCACCTCAGCCTCCCAAGACATTAAACTTTTGACAGATTGCCAAATGTCCTTCATAGGAATTATATAGGTTTGTATTCCCATTAGTTATACATGAGAGCGTTTATTTCCCCACAAGTTCATCAACAGCATGTATTACCAAACTTTTGGTTTTTCTCCTAAACTAAATGTCCTTTAAAATCTAGGCAGAGGTAGCCATGTCCCCATAGCTCTTGCACTCTGTACATCGGTGGAAATGTGATTAAAATCACCTTCCCAGTGATTTTAAGAACTATTTTTTTCTGATTATAAAAATAATACACAGGCTAGGCATGGTGGCTCACACTTGTAATCCCAGCACTTTGGGAGGCTGAGGCGGGAGGATTGCTTGAGCCAAGGAGTTCAAAACCAGCCTGGGCAGCATAGGGAGACCCCTGTCTCTACAAAAAATACAAAAATTAGCTGGGTGTGGTGGTGCACACCTCTAGTCCCAGATACTTGGGAGGTTGAGGTGAGAGGATCGCTTGGGCCCAGGAGGTCAAGGCTATAGTGAGCTGTGATGGCACCCCTGCACTCCAGCCTGGGCAATGGAGTGAGACCCTGTCTCAAAATAATGATAATAACAATAATAATACATGTCCACTTGTAGAACATTTGAAAAGTACAGTCTTTAAGCTTGTTATGTTTTGCCTATGTTTAAATATTTGAGAAAAAATTTTATCCACTTAGTCTAAGGATATTTTTCTCTTAATTGCCTAAAAGTCTGCTCACAAGCAGTCAAAATACTTTAAAGAAATCACAACTTTATTATTATTATTTTTTGAGAGGGAGTCTTCGCTCTTGTTGCCCAGGCTGGAGTGCAGTGGTGCGATCTCGGCTCATTGCAACCTCCACCTCCTGGATTCAAGTGATTCTCCTGCCTCAGCCTCCCGAGTAGCTGGGACTACAGGCATGTGCCACCACGCCTGGCTAATTTTTGTATTTTTAGTAGAGGCGGGGTTTCACTATGTTGGCCAGGCTGGTTTCGAACTCCTGACCTCAGGTGACCTGCCTGCCTTGGCCTCTCAAAGCGTTGGGATTACAGGCGTGAGCCACTATACTGGGCCTCTATGTTTATTTTTTAATGTGTCTGTTATTTGACTGTACCTTGTAGAGTAGGCTGCATGAAAGCGGGGACATATCCTGCTCCCTGATAAATCCCCAGGGCCTCGAACTCCAATGGCACGGAAGACACTTGTTCAATGAATAAGTGACTCTTGAATGAATGGAGGGGAGCCACCCGGGGCCATGTCTCCAGGAAGCCGGCTCAAATTCCTCCAGCTAAAAGTGGTCTTTGGCTCTCTTTAACATCCTGACACTTTGTTTATAGGGTTTTTGTGCTTTGCCCTGTAGCTTTTTTTCTCTCTTTTTTTTTTCTTTGAGATGAAGTCTTGCTCTGTTGCCAGGCTGGAGTGCAGTGGCACGATCTTGGCTCACTGCAACCTCCTTCTCCCTGGTTCAAGTGATTCTCCTGCCTCAGCTTCCTGAGTAGCTGGGACTACAGGCGCACGCCACTACGCCCAGCTAATTTTTGTATTTTTAGTAGAGACAGGGTTTTACCATGTTGGCCAGCATGGTCTCGATCTCTTGACCTCGTGGTCTGCCTGCCTCAGCCTCCCAAAAAGTGCTGGGATTACAGGCATGAGCCACCATGCCCAGGCTTTTTTTCTCCTTTTACTGACACCAGCACTGTGAACCCCAAGCCAACATCTCCAAATCACCTGTAAATGCTCCCCTGTCCCCAAATGCACTCAACCAGGATTTGCTGAATAGATATGGGGATAGATAAATATCAGCTGTGGGCTCTTTAAGAGGGTTTGTTGAAACAGGTGGGACCTGAGGATATCTTCCTGGGAGCCTGAGAAATTTACACACTTAAAAGTCTTTTACAGGTCCAGGCTACATCTTAAATTCTCTACAAACCCTCTGTGGCAGATTGTACTTTCTGAGAAAGGCCACGCCAGCTGGGCGCGGTGGCTCACTCCTGTAATCCCAGCACTTTGGCAGGCCGAGGCGGGCAGATCACCTGAGGTCAGGAGTTGGAGACCAGGCTGACCAACATGGAGAAATCCCGTCTCTACTAAAAATGCAAAATTAGCTGGGCATGGTGACACATGCCTGTAATCCCAGCTACCTGGGAGGCTGAGGCAGGAGAATCTGCTTGAACCCGGGAGGCGGAGGTTGCAGTGAGCCGAGATCGTGCCATTGCACTCCAGCCTGGGCAACAAGAGCGAAACTCCATCTCAAAAAAAAAAAAAAAAAGGCCACACCAATATTTCCAGTTTCACATGCTTTTCCAGAACCTTGCTACTGCCCCATCTAGAGGGGAAGTCAGTGTCCCCACCCTGTGAGCCTGCGCAGGCCCTTGTGACTGCCTGGACAAATAGAATCAAAACCGGCTACATCATTTGTGGGTCCCAGTCAAATGAAAATACGGGGCCCTTGTACAAACATTTATTTAGTTATTTGTTTTGAGACAGGGTCTTGCTATGTTGCTCAGGCTGGAGTGCAGTGGTGTGATCACAGCTCACTGTAGCCTCAAACTCCTGGGCTCAAGTGATCCTCCCACTTCAGCCTTCTGAGTAGCTGCGATTACAGGTGTGCATAATCATCATAGCTGGCTAATTTTTTTTTCAGTTTCTTTTGTGGAGATGAGATCTTGCCATGTTTCCCAGACTGATCTTGAACTCCTGGCCTCAAGCGATCCTCCTGCCTCAGCCTCCCAAAGTGCTGGGATTACAGGTGTGAGTCACTGTGCCTGGCCATCAAATATTATTACGAATTTCCAGGGGGTGAGAGCAGAGCATTAAACCAAGCATGGGGCTCTGTGTGACCACACAGGTCACACGCCCATTAAGCTGGTCCTGAATAGAATGCAGTGGAAGTGATGCTGAGTGATTTTTTGGGCTCATCAACAAAGGTGATACAGCTTCTACCTGGCTCTCTCTGAGGCTGCTCTACCTTGGAACCCAGTCACAATAATGTAAGGAATCCCAGGTGACATAAAAAGGCCATGTATAGGTGTTTCGTTGTCTCTAGCTAAGATCTTAGTCTACAGCCAGCATCAGTCTCGAGACATTAGTGAATGAGCTCTCGAAGCTTCCAGCCCCAGCCATCAGGTGACCCCCAGCCTTTGGGTCTCTCTGCTCAGACCCTAGACATTGTGGCACAGAGACAAGCCCTTCCTACTGTGCCCTTTCCAAATTCCCGACCCACAGAATCCATGAGCATAATAAATGGTTGTCTTATACCTCTAAGTTTGGGAGTGATTTGATACTCAGCAAAAGATAACCAGAATATTTCCCACGACTTCAGCTCATACTGGCCTGTCCTTTTTTGAATTGTTGCAATTTTGGCTCAAAACATGCATTTCATCTGCTGTTCTCAAAATTTGAAAGTATACATTTAATTGGCCGGGTGTGGTGGCTCAAGCCTGTAATCCCAGCACTTTGGGAGACTGAGGTGGGTGGATCATTTGAAGTCAGGAGTTTAAGACCAGCCTGGCCAACATAGTGAAACCCCATCTCTACTAAAAAAAAAAAAAGAAAAAAAAATGCAAAAATTAGCCGGGTATGGTGGCCCACGACTTTAGTCCCCAGCTACTCAGAAGGCTGAGGCAGAAGAATCACTTGAACCCAGGAGACAGAGGTTGCAGTGAGCTGAGATGGCACCACTGCACTCCAGCCTGGGTGACAGAGCGAGACTCTGCCTCAAAAAAAAAAAAAAAAAAAATTCAGTACAATAACATGCTATACAGATTTGCAGTCTAGGAGCAATAGGCCATACCATATAGCCTAGGTGCGTTTAGTAGGCTATACCAAGTAGGTACACTCTGTGTATAAATACACTCTATGATGTTCACACGATGACAAAATCACCAAATGATGCATTTCTCAGAACATACCCCTGACATTAAGCAACGCATGACTGTATTTGTGTAGTGTCTGCACCTCTCTCTGGACTGTCAGCTCCCATAGACTATGCCTTTGCCATTATGCCTGGCACCTGGTAGATGCTCAATAAATAATCATTGGGTAAATAACAAGATCTTGCTCTGTCACCAAGGCTGGTGTGTAGTGGCACAATCATGGCTCACTGTAGCCTTGGCCTCCTGGGCCCAAGCGATTCTCCCGCCTCAGCCTCCTGAGTAGCTGGGACTACAGGCATATGCCACCATGTCTGGCTAAGTTTTTTCTTTTCTTTTCTTTTCTTTTCTTTTTTTTTTGTAGAGAGAGATAGGGTCTTGCTATGTTGCCCAGGCTGGTCTGAAACTCCTGGGCTCAAGCGTTACTCCTGCTTCAGCCTCCCAAACTGCTGAGATTATAGGAGTGAACCACCATGCTTGGAAACATTAGTTCTTACAAATTAATTCTATGTACTCAAGGAGATGACAGGGATCTTTTATTTTCTGTTGCAACTTATAACATCATTAGGTACAGTAAAAGTAAAACAATCCACTGGGTGTGGTGGTGCATGCCTGTAATCCCACCTACTTGGGAGGCTGGGGCAGGAGAATCTCTTGAACCAGGTAGGTGGAGGTTGCAGTGAGCCGAGATCATGCCACTGCACTCCAGCCTGAGCAACAGAGTGAGACTCTGTCTCTAATATGTGTAATTTTTGATAAATTAATCAACCACACAAGTAAGGACGGAGTAAGTAAGGTAGTTGAGAGTTAAAGCCTAGTGAACATCTGATGAGTTTATTTTATTTGTGGAAGAGAAGTTTAGGAACCAATCTTCTGACCTCTCTTTTGCCTTAATTAAAAATATAACACCTTTTGGTTATTCTGCTGTTCTTCCAGGAATCTTCGGACAGACATTATGCATACAGTGGAAAGTTACAAAAAGGGAGTTATTTTCTGAGAAAATCCCCCGAGTAAACTTTAACCAAAGCAAAGAGTGTAAGTGGCAGATGACCAAAGAGTAGAGAATAGGAAAGTACTTGTCACTGGTATATTAAAAATAATTTTCCAAAAAAGAAACTCTCGCCCGGATGTGGTGGCTCAAGCCTGTAATCCCAGCACTTTGAGAGGCCGAGACAGGCAGATTGCTTGAGGTCAGGAGTTCGAGACCAGCCTGGCCAACGTTGTGAAACCCTGTCTCTACTAAAAATACAAAAATTAGCCGGGTTTGGTGGCGTGCGCCTGTAATCCCAGCTACTCAGGAGGCTGAGGTAGGAGAATCACTTGAACCCGGGAGGCGGAGGTTGCAGTGAGCCGAGATCGGGCCACTGCACCGCAGCCTGGGAGAGAGAGCGAGACTCCCATCTCAAAAAAAAAAAAAAAAAAGAAAAAAAGAAAGAAACTCTCACATAGATATAAAATGAACATGTTCAAGATTTTCTTTAACTCAATGATCATTGAAGAAATCAAGCAGATATTACAATAGGTTCAAAAAATAGACCCATTTGTAGACCAGGAATAATGAAATAAATGTGCAAATGGAGGCAAACGGATTTTTTTTTTTACAGAGGGTAAGCAAAATCAATTGACTTTCTACTAGACAGAACATAATTTGCATGTTTATAAACAATAATTTTTTTTTTGCATTGCCAGCAATTAGCTATTTTGTAAAATAGCTCAAAGTCAATGAAAGACTAGAGTCAGATACCCTGGAGGAGTATTCTCTAGACAATGAAGTTTTTCACTGAAGTTCAAGTGGAAAGGCATTGGTTTTCCTCCAGCTGGAAAGGTGAGATATTAAACGGTCTGGGAGCTTTGGGGTTTGGGAAAATCTGGGTTTGAGGCTAGTCCGGAGAAGAAGTAGCGCCTCCCGGTGATTCTGATTCAGCAGGCTGGGAACAGAGCCCGGGCATCTGTGTTTTCGAATAGCTCCATCAGGCACCCTAATTAAGAACCGGTGTGTTAATTTAGCACTCAATATTCCATCCTAAAGGAGAATCTAATGTAAGAATAATCCAAATATTTACCTAAGTTTTTCTTTAAACAAATAAACATTTCTATTGATTTTGGGTACAGGCAATGGCATTTGGGGACAGAGCTGACTTTTCCCATTTGGTTTCTTTGAATGGTTTCTTTCAGCCTTCACTTATGAGGGAGGCAGTCCTTAGGTATGTGGATCAAGGGGGAAATCCTTGCACATTCCCCGCGAGATCTTTTGATTCTCTTCCCCACTCAGCACATCCTGTGCTTGCTGTCAGACCCTAGACTCAAGCTCTGGTGGCAGAGGGGACTTCTGGCTGGGTTAGTTCCTACGCAGGCGCTCTAGGTGGGAAAGGGAGCCTGCAGGGGGCCCAGAGCTGGCCAGCAGGGGGCAGCACAGGCTCAGGCTGGGAGGCGCGGGAGCCCATAGGATGCCGTCTTCCTCAGTTTCGAGAATCCCCTCCCCCGACTCAGCCTGGGTGACCAGAGTTCTCTCATCCAGCTGTGAAACAACGCCTGGAGTTCACTATTTAGGTTCACTAAATAGGTTCACTATTTCCTGAACTTCGCCTAATACACAGGTGAGACTGAGCTTGGGAAATCACTCACCCTCCCTCTGCCCAAAATGCAACCCTCTCGCTTGCAAAATGGGGATAATTGTACCTACTTCATAGGCTTAAATAAGTAATATGCATAACACACTGGAGCAGTGCCTAACATATATTTAAACTACACATGTATTAGCTATTCTTTTATTTTATTTAAAATTTTTTTTAGAGACAGGGGTCTTACTATATTGCCCAGGCTGGTCTTGAACTCCTGGGTTCAAGCCATCCTCCTGCCTCAGCCTCCAAAGTCCTGGGATGACAGGTGTGAGCCCCCGCGCCTGGCCTGTATTAGCTATTGTTATTGCATTGCTACCGCTTATCAGGCACTGTGGATGCCACTGTGATGCAAGGAAGAGAAATAAGATAGCCGTGCTGGCTGAGAGCTCACAGCCTCATGAGAGAGGCAGCTAAGTAAATTCTTTGTGACACTGGGAAGAAAAAGATGAGCATGAGATGTGGGCAGGGTATGGAGGCAGAAGTAACCAAAAGTCTTTGGGAGGCTGAGGCAGGCAGATCATCTGAGGTCAGGAGTTCGAGACCAGCCTGGCCAACATGGAGAAACCTTGTCTCTATTAAAAATACAAAAATTAGCTGGGTGTGGTGGTGTGCGCCTGTGGTCCCAGCTACTCGGGAGGCTGAGGTAGGAGAATCACTTGAATCCAGGAGGTGGAGGTT
The DNA here is from genome assembly GCF_000001405.40 of Homo sapiens. Classification (NCBI taxonomy): domain Eukaryota; kingdom Metazoa; phylum Chordata; class Mammalia; order Primates; family Hominidae; genus Homo; species Homo sapiens. The sequence continues at coordinate 71,610,299 of NC_000016.10, read as the reverse complement.
GCAGTGGGCAGAGATCACCCCACTGCACTCCAGCCTGGGCAACAGAGCAAGACTCTCAAAAAAAAAAAAAAAAAGGAACCAAAAGCAACGAAGGAGTGAAGGGAGAGCATTCCCTTCGCCCTCTGAAGGGTTGCTGAAAATTAACTGACAAAAGGCAGATTAATAGGAGAAATAGAAATTTATTAATGTGTCGGAGAGTCTTACAAAATATAAGATCTCAAAGAAAGGGAAGAGGGTTGTATGCCTTTTTTTTTTTTTTTTTGGAGACAGAGTCTCGCTGCCGCCCAGCCTGGAGTACAATAGTGTGATCTTGGCTCACTGCAACCTTCGCCTCCCAGGTTCAAGCAATTCTCCTGCCTCAGCCTCCAAGTAGCTGGGATTACAGGTGTGTGCCACCAAACCTGACTAATTTTTGTATTTTTAGTAGAGAAGAGGTTTCACGATGTTGGCCAGGCTGATCTCAAACTCCTGACCTCAAATGATCCACTCGCCTTGGCCTCCCAAAGTGCTGGGATTACAGGCGTGAGCCACTGCGCCCGGGCTGGGTTGGCGCGCCCAGGCTGGGTTGGATGCTTTTATACCATCTTGAGGTTACAGGAAGAATAGGGGTTGGACTCTGGCACAACAGACTATGGGAGAGGGAAAGGAGCAGGCCTGGCTAGCGAAGGTAGTCTTGTTATGTAGCTAAAGTTTCACAGGTAACCACTCTCAGAGAGAATAGATATGAATGTTTCTTTCAAACCTTTATTTTTTATTTTTATTTTTTGTAGAGATGGCGGGGGGGGGGTCTCACTATGTTGCCCAGGGTGGTCTCGAACTCATGGGCTCAAGTGATCTGCCAGCCTTGGCCTCCCACACAGCTAACCCCTTTCAAACCTTTAAAGGTATTAGACACTTACTTAACCTTCCCTAGATTTGGACAAAGGAGGGCTTCAGAGAAAGCCTGGCTGCATCAAGGCAGATTTTCTCTATAGATAAAAATCTCTCCCACAAAAGACGGCTTTTCAGCTATTCTTGTATTTCCAGTTCTTCTGAATAGCCAGCTTGAAATGTGTCAAAGAAGTATATTTTGGGGCAAAAGTTTTTCGTTTCCTTTAGTGACTTCCAGGAGAGAGAGTGCTTAAGGAGAGTTTTTAGGAATGAGTAGGACTGTAATCCTTCCTTTTTTTTTTTTTTTTTTTGAGATGGAGTCTTGCTCCATGGTCCAGGCTGGAGTGCAGTGGCAGGATCTCAGCTCACTGCAACCTCTGCCTCCCGGGTTCAAGCAATTCTCCTGCCTCAGCCCCCTGAGTAGCTGAGATTACAGGCATGTGTCACCACACCCAGCTAATTTTTGTATTTTTAGTAGAGATGGGGTTTCACCATGTTGGCCAGGCTGGTCTCGAACTCCTGACCTCAAGTGATCCACCTGCCTCAGCCTCCCAAAGAACTGGGATTACAGGCATGAGCCACCACTCCCGGCCCTGTAATCCTTACGTTTGAACCACAAGGGAAGAAGTAAAGGGAAAAAAGGCAGAAGAGGGAGGCAGGGGTCAGATTATAAGAAGCCTGCAAAGCCAGGCATATGCAGTTAGTCATTTCTCCTACTCTTCTCACCCAAGACACAGTCTGACTCCTTCCTGGCAACCTGAAAATGATCTGTCTAAGATCATTGACATCTTCCAAACACAAATGACACGTTTCAATCTTGAACTTACTCAGCTTCTCTGTAATAAAAATTTTACAGCTACCAGTAGCAGCTGACATTCATTGAGAACCTGACATTCACCGAGTATTTTGAGCATCTGTAGTTCATTGAATATTTATTTGACCATCAGTGACTCATTGTTCTCAGGCAATGAGTCACTGATCGTGTATTCTCTCTGGGTCTGTGGTCTCCAAGCAGGTGCACACAACCTCTCAATGTGGTGAAGGGAAAAAATCCTAGACCTCTATTTAATCTGGAAATATTGTCTTTTTGGGAATCTCTTTTTCTGTATCTGATTTATAATGTAAATGGTATGTTAATACAGCAGTTCATAGATATAATTTATAAATACATGTGTTCATGTTGGGGTTAGGTTTGAGAGTACAGGCTGTATGGAGCCACCAGAGATGGCTTTTAATCAGAGAAGTACCTCAGTCAAATTTGTTATAAAAATAACATTCCAGGCCAGGCACGGTGGCTCATGCCTATAATTCCAGCACTTTGGGAGGCCAACGCGGGCGGACCACAAGGTCAGGGGTTTGAGACCAGCCTGGCCAACATGGTGAAACCCCGTCTCTACTAAAAATATGAAAATTAGCCGGGCGTGTTGGCACGCACCTGTAGTCCCAGCTACTCAGGAGGCTGAGGCAGGAGAATCGCTTGAATCTGGGAGGCAGAGGTTGCAGTGAGCCTAGATGGCGCCATTGCACTCCAGCCTGGGCGACACAGCAAGACTCCGTCTCAAAACAAAAAAACCAAAAAGCATTTCAGGCTAAGCGTGGCGGCTCATGCCTGTAACCGCAACACTTCGGGAGGACAGAGCAGAATGATTGCTGGAGACCAGTCTGGGCTACATAGGCAGACCCCTATCTGTTAAAAAAAATTTTTTAGCCGGGTGTGGTGGTGTGTGTCTGTAGTCTCAGCTACTTGGGAGGCTGAGGTGGGATGATCATTTGAGCCCAGGATGTCGAGGCTGCAGTGAGTCATGATTGCACCACTGCACTCCAGTCTGGGCGACAGAGTGAGACTCTATCTCAAAAAAGAAAAATAAAAAATAAATAACATTCCAAAATATTCTGGAGGGAGAGCAGGTCCCAGCTGAGGCCTAGGGAGGGAGAAAAAGTGAACGTGAAAGATATTAAGGGTGATTACCTTAGCAAGAAGGAGCAGGTGATCAATAGCATTAAATGAGAACAGTGAGTTACTGATGATTCAATAATGAACTACAAATGCTGAAAATATTCTCTACCACACTGCGGATCAGAAATTCAAGAGCGGCTTGACTGTGGGTTTGTGAGTCTCCCTCGACATTACAGCCAAGAGGTTGTCAGGGACTGCAGTCATTTAGGCTTTAATGGGGCTTATTCTGTGGAAGGGCTGTGTATGCAAAGTAACCCCCAAACACAGAAGGAGCGGAGAAACTAAAGAACAAGGCAGGTGAATCCAGTTTGTCAGTAGAGGATGAATTATTGGGGAATTTACAGGTGGAAGTGTGGTCTTGGACGGCAGCAACATAGGTAGATCACTGTACCGTTACTTCCCAGAGGGTTTATACGCCAGAGGGAAGGGGTGTACATGCCTGCCGTATAGACGCAATTAAAGGAATTAAAGGCAGCCCTCCAGAACAGGCAAGAATGCTATGTGTGTCACAGCCTATAATTTGCACGATAACTTCAAGGTTGCTTTGGCTTAAAGGGAGGATTTATAGTGAGTACATATTCTTACATAAAGGGCAGTAAACAACGTTGGAATCAGGAGGCACTCCTGGGGACTGGGGTTAATCAGAAGTCAGCATGGTGGATTAGCATCCAAGATGGAGACACCTGAGTCTTCACAGGGCTTGAGGATCTCCTCCAAAGCTGGCTTGCCCAAGGTGAGCCTCTCCACAGGGCTGCTGTGGTGTCAGCATAATATGGCAGCTGCCTTTTCCCAGAGCAAGAGAGCCAAGAGACCAAGATGGAAACTTAATGCCTTTAAAAAAAAAACGATATTTTTTTTGAGATGGAGTTTTTGCTCTGTCTCCCAGGCTGGAGTGCAGTGGCGCAATCTTGGCTCATTGCAACCTCTGCCTCCCAGGTTCAAGTGATTCTCCTGCCTTAGCCTCCCGAGTACTTGGGATTACAGGTGTGCACCACCATGTCTGGCTAATTTTTGTATAATTAGTAGAGACAGGCTTTTGCCATATTGGCCAGGCTGGTCTCGAACTCCTGGCCTCAAGTGATCCACCCGCCTCGGCCTCCCCAAGTTCTGGGATTATGGGTGTGAGCCACCGTGTCCAGCCTGCAATGCCTTTTTTGAGTTTTACCTTGGAAGCCACATGCTATTAGTTCCACAGTATTCTATTGGTCACACAAGCCAGCCCTGGAATGTGGGAGGAACACAGCAAGGTCTAAATTACAGAAGGCAAGGGTCATTGGGACTGTCTTGGAGACTGGTATCCCAAATGGGAATTATAGCTTTTTTTTTTTTTTGAGACAGAGTTTTGCTTTTGTCGCCCAGGCTGGAGTGCAATGGCACGATCTTGGCTCACTGCAACCTCTGCCTCCCAGGTTCAAGCGATTCTCCTGCCTTAGCCTACCCGGTAGCTGGGATTACAGGCGCCTGCCACCATGCCCAGCTAATTTTTGTATTTTTAATAGAGATGGGTTTTCGCCATGTTGGCCAGGCTGGTCTTGAACTCCTGACCTCAGGTGATCCACCCACCTTGGCCTCCCAAAGTGCTGGGATTACAGGCGTGAGCCACTGCACCCGGCCCTTTTTTTTTTTTTTTTTTTGAGATGAAGTTGATGTTGCACTATGTTGCCCAGGTTGGTCTCAAGCAGTTCTCCCGCCTCAGCCTCCCGAGTAGCTGGGATTACAGGCACATGCCATGGCACCCAGCTTTATCACTCTTCTTCTGATATATAATATCCTTAAGAATTTTCCCTTTGGCTTAGGATTGCCTTGGCGATGCGGGCTCTTTTTTGGTTCCATATGAACTTTCAAGTAGTTTTTTCCAATTCTGTGAAGAAAGTCATTGGTGGCTTTATGGGGATGGCATTGAATCTGTAAATTACCTTGGGCACTATGGCCATTTTCACGATATTGATTCTTCCTATCCATGAGCAAGGAATGTTCTTCCATTTGTTTGTATCCTCTTTTATTTCCTTGAGCAGTGGTTTGTAGTTCTCCTTGAAGAGGTCCTTCACATCCCTTGTAAGTTGGATTCCTAGGTATTTTATTCTCTTTGAAGCAATTGTGAATGGGAGTTCACCCATGATTTGGCTCTCTGTTTGTCTGTTGTTGGTGTATAAGAATGCCTGTGATTTTTGTACATTGATTTTGTATCCTGAGACTTTGCTGAAGTTGCTTATCAGCTTAAGGAGATTTTGGGCTGAGACAATGGGGTTTTCTAGATATACAATCATGTCATCTGCAAACAGGGACAATTTGACTTCCTCTTTTCCTAATTGAATACCCTTTATTTCCTTCTCCTGCCTAATTGCCCTGGCCAGAACTTCCAACACTATGTTGAATAGGAGTGGTGAGAGAGGGCATCCCGGTCTTGTGCCAGTTTTCAAAGGGAACGCTTCCAGTTTTTGCCCATTCAGTATGATATTGGCTGTGGGTTTGTCATAGACAGCTCTTATTATTTTGAAATACGTCCCATCAATACCTAATTTATTGAGAGTTTTTAGCATGAAGCATTGTTGAATTTTGTCAAAGGCTTTTTCTGCATCTATTGAGATAATCATGTGGTTTTTGTCTTTGGCTCTGTTTATATGCTGGATTACATTTATTGATTTGCGTATATTGAACCAGCCTTGCACCCCATGGATGAAGCCCACTTGATCATGGTGGATAAGCTTTTTGATGTGCTGCTGGATTCGTTTTGCCAGTATTTTACTGAGGATTTTTGCATCAATGTTCATCAAGGATATTGGTCTAAAATTCTCTTTTTTGGTTGTGTCTCTGTCAGGCTTTGGTATCAGAATGATGCTGGCCTCATAAAATGAGTTAGGGAGGATTCCCTCTTTTTCTATTGATTGGAATAGTTTCAGAAGGAATGGTACCAGTTCCTCCTTGTACCTCTGGTAGAATTCGGCTGTGAATCCATCTGGTCCTGGACTCTTTTTGGTTGGTAAACTATTAATTATTGCCACAATTTCAGCTCCTGTTATTGGTCTATTCAGAGATTCAACTTCTTTCTGGTTTAGTCTTGGGAGAGTGTATGTGTCGAGGAATTTATCCATTTCTTCTAGATTTTCTAGTTTATTTGCGTAGAGGTGTTTGTAGTATTCTCTGATGGTAGTTTGTATTTCTGTGGGATCGGTGGTGATATCCCCTAAGCCAAAAGAACAAAGCTGGAGGCATCACACTACCTGACTTCAAACTATACTACAAGGCTACAGTAACCAAAACAGCATGGTACTGGTACCAAAACAGAGATATAGATCAATGGAACAGAACAGAGCCCTCAGAAATAATGCCACATATCTACAACTATCTGATCTTTGACAAACCTGAGAAAAACAAGCAATGGGGAAAGGATTCCCTATTTAATAAATGGTGCTGGGAAAACTGGCTAGCCATATGTAGAAAGCTGAAACTGGATCCCTTCCTTACACCTTATACAAAGATCAATTCAAGATGGATTAAAGACTTAAACGTTAGACCTAAAACCATAAAAACCCTAGAAGAAAACCTAGGCATTACCATTCAGGACATAGGCATGGGCAAGGACTTCATGTCCAAAACACCAAAAGCAATGGCAACAAAAGACAAAATTGACAAATGGGATCTAATTAAACTAAAGAGCTTCTGCACAGCAAAAGAAACTACCATCAGAGTGAACAGGCAACCTACAAAATGGGAGAAAATTTTCACAACCTACTCATCTGACAAAGGGCTAATATCCAGAATCTACAATGAACTCAAACAAATTTACAAGAAAAAAACAAACAACCCCATCAAAAAGTGGGCGAAGGACATGAACAGACACTTCTCAAAAGAAGACATTTATGCAGCCAAAAAACACATGAAAAAATGCTCATCATCACTGGCCATCAGAGAAATGCAAATCAAAACCACAATGAGATACCATCTCACACCAGTTAGAATGGCAATCATTAAAAAGTCAGGAAACAACAGGTGCTGGAGAGGATGTGGAGAAATAGGAACACTTTTACACTGTTGGTGGGACTGTAAACTAGTTCAACCATTGTGGAAGTCAGTGTGGCGATTCCTCAGGGATCTAGAACTAGAAATACCATTTGACCCAGCCATCCCATTACTGGGTATATACCCAAAGGACTATAAATCATGCTGCTATAAAGACACATGCACACGTATGTTTATTGCGGCATTATTCACAATAGCAAAGACTTGGAACCAACCCAAATGTCCAACAATGATAGACTGGATTAAGAAAATGTGGCACATATACACCATGGAATACTATGCAGCCATAAAAATGATGAGTTCATGTCCTTTGTAGGGACATGGATGAAATTGGAAATCATCATTCTCAGTAAACTATCGCAAGAACAAAAAACCAAACACCACATATTCTCACTCATAGGTGGGAATTGAACAATGAGATCACATGGACACAGGAAGGGGAATATCACACTCTGGGGACTGTGGTGGGGTGGGGGGAGGGGGGAGGGATAGCATTGGGAGATATACATAATGCTAGATGACGAGTTAGTGGGTGCAGCGCACCAGCATGGCACATGTATACATATGTAACTAACCTGCACAATGTGCACATGTACCCTAAAACTTAAAGTATAATAAAAAAAAAAAAAAGAATTTTCCCAGATTGTGACGCCTTTTTCAAAGCATCCCTTGTTTTCAGAAAAGGTCTATAAAATCATGTATATATATTAATTTTATTTATTTATTTTTTTAGACAGAGTCTCAGTCTGTCACCCAGGCTGGAGTGCAATGGTAGAATCTTGGCTCACTGCAACCTCCGCCTCCTGGGTTCAAGTTATTCTCCTGTCTCAGCCTCCTGAGTAGCTGGGATTACAGGTGCACACCACCACGTACAGCTAATTTTTGTATTTTTAGTAGAGACAGAATTTTGCCATGTTGGTCAGGCTGGTCTCAAACTCCTGTCCTCAAGCAATACACCCATCTTGGCTTCCCAAACAGCTGGGATTACAGGAGTGAGCCAGTACTCCTAGCCTTATTAATTTTAAAAGTAATGTAATAATGTAAAAAATAACCCCTCCTCTAACTATGTACTATTTTCATTTTTGCATATCCTATAAAGGCTTTGTCTGCAAAAATATTATTTACATTTTATTTATTATTATTATTATTATTATTTTGAGACAGAGTCTCGCTCTGCCACCCAGGCTGGAGTGCAGTGGCGCAATTTTGGCTCACTGCAAGCTCTGCCTCCCGGGTTCATGCCATTCTCCTGCCTCACCCTCTCCAAGTAGCTGGGACTACAGGTGCCCGCCACCACGCCTGGATACTTTCTTGTATTTTCAGTAGAGACGGGGTTTCTCCATGTTGGTGGGGCTGGTCTCGAACTCCCAACCTCAGGTGATCCTCCCGCCTCGGCCTCCCAAAGTGCTGGGATTACAGGCATGAGCCACCGCGCCTGGCCTTCTATGCACTGATCTTTACTGCATTATCTTACATATTTCTCAAAAACTCTGTGAAATAGGAAGATGATGATGATGATGATTATTATTATTTTGAGAGCAAGAGGGATCTCGCTATTTTGCCAAAGCTTATCTTGAACTCCTGGGCTCAAGCAGTCTTCCTGCCTCAGCTTCCCGAGTAGCTAGGATTGCAGGCACACGCCACCATGCCCAGCTCAAAGTAGGAAAATTATTATCTTCGTTTTGCGGGTGAGGAAGTGGAAGTTAAGTAACTCATCCAAGGTCACAGTTGACTTAAGTGGTAGATACTGGATTCAAAATCTGGGTTTCTCTAATACTGAAGTCCAGGATTTTAAACACTATAGACCAAAGATTTATTTCCACGCCATTTATTTTTTAGGATACATTCTCAAGAGTAAAATTCCTGGACCGAAGAATAGAGATCTTTTTTTTTTTTTGAGACGGAGTCTTGCTCTGTCACCCAGGCTGGAGTGCAGTGGTACCATCTCGGCTCACTGCAAGCTCCACCTCCTGCGTTCACGCCGTTCTCCTGCCTCAGCCTCCTGAGTAGCTGGGACTTCAGGCGCCCGCCACCATGCCCGGCTAATTTTTTGGATTTTTAGTAGAGATGGAGTTTCACCGTGTTAGCCAGGATGGTCTTGATCTCCTGATCTCTTGATCTGCCTGCTTCGGCTTCCCAAAGTGCTGGGATTACAGGCATGAGCCACTGCGCCCGGCTGAGATCTTTTTGTGTCACAATGTGTTTTGCCACTTTGTTTTTCCAAACAAAGAGAACTGTTGTGGCCTACATCTGAAACATAGCCATAGCAGATTGGAGTCCTGTGTAGTTATTTGTCTCTCTTCTGGGCCTCTCCACGGTTTGAGGACTGCACAGTGCCCTCTGAACATCGTTCTGTTTTCTGTCATAGCACCCATGGATGAAGTCCAGGAGGTGCTGGAGAAAACTGCAGTTCTCTAGACCTGAAGAGGTCAGTGATGACACATGGACAGTCCTTGCCAAGGAACGGCACCTGCATCAGCCCATCTGTGGGCCTGGGCGACCTTCTGCACACTGATGTTCGCTGTGTGCCCTATCCTGCTCTCATGCCCCGCCTCTCCCAATCGTACCTTGGTGTTGGTGATTCCCAACGTGGGTTTCACAATCTCCCAAGGAAGGTGGATGAAAGCAAGAAGCAGGCTAGGACCAAGGAGGGTGGAACTCTGGAACTCTGACTCTAAGAGCCAGTTTCCAGTACAGTCTGGACACAAACAAAGAGTGCTGTTCACCACGTTGAGACTTCTCCATTCAGCATCTTTTCCTTCTCTGGGAATGCATGTCACCCCCAGCAGGCTGCAGTCTTTACCTCCACATCCCCTATCCCCCAGAATTTGCTCCAAGTTAACTTTCACACAGAGGAACAAATGATCTATTTCTTTTTTTCTGTTTCTTAATTTTTTTTTTTAATTTAGAGACAGGGTCTTGCTCCGTGGCCGAGGCTGGAGTGCAGCGGTATGATCATAGCTCACTGCAGCCTCAAACTCTCGGGCTCAAGCCATCCTCCCACCTTGGCCTCCCAAGCAGCCAGGACAATCTGCAGGTGCTAATTTTTAATTTTTTTTGTTTATTTATGTTTTTTTAAAAATTTTTATTTATTTATTTATTTTTTTGAGTCAGCCTCACTCAGGCTGGAGTGCAGTGGCGTGATCTCAGCTCACTGCAACCTCTGCCTCCCGGGTTCAAGTGATTCTCCTGCCTCAGCCTCTGGAGTAGCTGGGATTATAGGCACATGCCACCATATCCAACTTATTTTTGTATTTTTTTTGTAGAGACGAGGTTTCACCATGTTGGCCAGGCTGGAGCAAAAAGTTTTTTGTTTTTTATTTTTTTGAGATGGAATCTTGCTCTGTCGCCCAGGCTGGAGTGCAGTGGCGCGATCTCGGCTCGCTGCAAGCTCCGCCTCCCAGGTTCACGCCATTCCTCTTGCCTCAGCCTCCCGAGTAGCTGGGACTCCAGGCACCCGCCACCACACCCGGCTAATTTTTTTGTATTTTTAGTAGAGACGGGGTTTCACCGTGTTAGCCAGGATGGTCTCGATCTCGTGGCCTCGTGATCCACCCGCCTCGGCCTCCCGAAGTGCTGGGATTACAGGCGTGAGTTACTGCACCCAGCCTGGAGTAAAAAGTTTTAAGCAAGGATGAAGGAGAGAAATGTGACATGATCAGAAAATACTTTGGGATGATATTACTCTGACTGCAATACGGAGAACAGGTTAGGATGAGGGAAGATTACCAAGGAGGCGATTACACATAGTTCTGCCAAGAGGTGATGGTGATGTAGCTAGGGCTAGGAGGAGATGATGAAATAAGGAGAAGGAAATGGATTCCGGAGATATTTAGGAAGTAAATTTTTTTGTTTATTTTGTTTATTTTTTAATTTTCCATAAGTTATTGGGGTTAAGGTGGTATTTGGTTACATGAGTAAGTTCTTTAGTGGTGATTAGTGAGATTTCGTTGCACCTATCACCCATGTGCACACTGTACCATATTTGAAGTTTTTTATTCCTCGTCCCCCTTCCACTCTTCCCCCCGAGTCCCCAAAGTCCATTGTATCATTCTTATGCCTTTGTGTCCTCATAGCTTGGCTCCCACATATCAGTGAGAACATACGATATTTGGTTTTCCATTACTGAGTTACATCACTTAGAATAATAGTCTCCAATCTCATCCAGGTCACAGGCAAATGCTATTAATTAATTCCTTTTTATGGCTATGTACTATTCCATCTCTATATATATACCACAGTTTCTTTATCCACTCATTGACGGGCATTTGGGTTGGTTCCATGATTTTGCAATTGTGAATTGTGCTGCTATAAACATGCGTGTGCAAGTATCTTTTTTGAATAATGACTTCTTTTCCTCTGGGTAGATACCCGATAGTGGGATTGCTGGATCAAATGGTAGTTCTACTTTTAGCTTTTTAAGGCGTCTCCACACTGTTTTCCATAGTGGCTGTATTGGTTTACATTCCCACCAGCAGTGTAGAAGTGTTCCCTGTTCACCACATCCACACCAACACCTACTGTTTTATGATTTTTTGATTATGGCCATTCTTGCGGGAATAAGGTGGTATCGCATTGTGGTTTTGATTTGCATTTCCCCGATTATTAGTGACGTTAAGCATTTTTTCATATGTTTGTTGGCCATGTGTATATCTTCTTTTGAGAATTGCCTATTCTTGTCCTTAGCCCACTTTTTGATAGGATTGTTTGATTTTTTTCTTACTGATTTGTTTGAGTTGGTCGTAGATTCTGGATATTAGTCCTTTGTCAGATGTACAGATTGTGAAGATTTTCTCTCACTCTGTGGGTTGTCTGTTTACTTTGCTGACTGTTCCTTTTGCTATGCACAAGCTCTTTAGTTCAGTTAGGTCCTAGCTATTATCTTTGTTTGTATTGCATTTGCTTTTGGGTTTTTGGTCATGAAATCCTTGCCTAAGCCAATGCATAGAAGGAGTTTTCCAGTGTTACCTTGTAGAATTTTTATAGTTTCAGGTCTTAGGTTTAAGTCCTTAATCCATCTCGAGTTGATTTTTGTATAAGGTGAGAGATGAGGATCCAGTTTTATTCTCCTACATGTGGCTAGCCAATTATCCCAGCACCATTTGTTGAAAAGGGTGCCCTTTCCTCACTTTACGTTTTTGTTTGTTTTGCAAAGATCACTTGGCCATAAGTATTTGGGTTTATTTCTGGGTTCTCTATTCTATTCCATTGGTCTATGTGCCTGTTTTTATACCAGTAGCATGCTGTTTTGGTGACTATGGCCTTATAGTATAGTTTGAAATCGGGTAGTGTGATGCCTCCAGATTTGTTCTTTTTGCTGAGTCTTGCTTTGGCTATGCGGGCTCTTTTTTGGTTCCATATGAATTTCAGAATTTTTTTTTTCTAATTCTGTGAAGAATGATGGTGGTATTCTGATGGGGATTGTGTTGAATCTGTAGATTGCTTTTGGCAGTATGGTCATTTTCACAATATTGATAGACATCCATGAGCATGGGATGTTTCCATTTGTTTGTGTTGTCTATGATTTCTTTCAGCAGTGTTTTGTAGTTTTCCTTGTAGAGGCCTTTCGACTCCTTTGTTAAGTATATTCCTAAGCTTTTTTTTTTTTTTTTTTTTTTTTTTTGCAGCTATTGTAAAAGGGGTTGAGTTCTTGATTTGATTCTCTGTTTGGTCGCTGTTGATATATAGAAGAGTTACTGATTTGTGTACATTAATCTTGTATCCTGAAACTTTGCCGAATTCTTTTATCAGTTCTAGGAGCTTTCTGGAGGAGTCCTTAGGGTTTTCAAGGTAAACAATCATATTATCAGCAAACAGTGACAGTTTGACTTCCTCTTTACCAGTTTGGATGCCCTTTATTTCTTCCTCTTATCTGATTGCTGTGGCTAGGACTTCCAGTACTTTGTTGAAGAGGAGTGGTGAGAGTGGGCATCCTTGTCTTGTTCCAGTTCTCAGAGGGAATGCTTTCAACTTTCCCCATTCAGTATTATGTTGGTTGTGGGTTTGTCATAGATGGCTTTTATTATATTAAGATATGTCCCTTGTATGCTGATTTTGCTGAGCGTTTTAATCATAAAGATATGCTGGATTTTGTAGAATCCTTTTTCTGCATCTATTGAGATAATCATGTGATTTTTGTTTCTTAATTCTGTTTATGTGGTGTATCACATTTATTGACTTGCATATATTAAACCATCCCTGCTTCCCTGGTATGAAACCCACTTGATCATGGTGGATTATCTTTTTGATATGTTGTTGGGATTCAGTTAGCTAGTATTTTGTTAAGGATTTTAGCATCTATATTCATCAAGGATATTGGTCTGCAGTTTTCTTTTTTGGTTATCTCCTTTCCTGGTTTTGGTATTAGGGTGATGCTGGCGTCATAGAATGAATTAGGGAGTGTTCCTTCCTTCTCTATCTTGTGGAATAGTGTCAAAAGGATTGGTACCAATTCTTCTTTGAATATCTGGTAGAATTCTGCTGTGAATCCATCTGGTCCTGGATTTTTTTGTTTGTAATTTTAAAATCACCATTTCAATCTTACTTATTATTATTGATCTGTTCAGGGTATCTAATTCTTCCTGATTTAAGCTAGGAGGGTTGTATTTTTCCCGGAATTTATCCATCTCTTCTAGGTTTTCTAGTTTATGTGTGTAAAGGTGTTCATAGCAGCTGTGAATGATCTTTTGTATTTCAGTGGTGTCAGTTATAATATCTCCTGTTTTGTTTCTTAGTAAGGTTATTTGGATTTTCTCTCTTCTTTTCTTGGTTAATCTTGCTAATGGTCTATCAATTTTATTTACCTTCAAAGAACCAGCTTTTTATTTCATTTATTTTTTGTATTTTTTTTTGTTTGTTTGTTTCAATTTCATTTGGTTCTGCTCTGATCTTCGTTATTTCCTTTCTTCTGCTGGGTTTGGGTTTGGTTTGTTCTTGGTTCTCTAGTTCCTTGAGGTGTGACCTTAGATTGTCTGTGCTCTTTCAGACTTCATTTTTATTTATTTTATTTTTTTTGAGACAGGGTCCCACTCTGTTGCCCAGGCTGGAGTGCAGTGGTGCGATGTCAGCTCAATGCAATCTTCGCCTCTTGGGTTCAAGCAATTCTCGTGCCTCAGCCTCCCAAGTAGCTGGGATTACAGGCGCACGTCGCCACGCCCAGCTAATTTTTGTATTTTTAGTAGAGACGGGGTTTCACCTTGTTGGCCAGGTTGGTCTTGAACTACTGACCTTAGATGATCCACCCGCCTCGGCCTCCCAATGTGCTGGGGTTACAGGGCATGAGCCACCATGCCCAGCCTCTTTCAGACTTTTTGATGTAGGCATTTAGGGATATGAACTTTCCTCTTAGCACTGCCTTTCCTGTATCCCAGAGGTTTTGATAGGTTGTGTCATTATTGTCAGTTTGAAGAATTTTTAAATTTCCATCTTGATTTTGTTTTTGACCAGTGCTCATTCAGGAGCAGGTTATTTAATTTCCATGTATTTGCATGGTTTTAAAGGTTCCTTTTGGAGTTGATTTCCAGTTTTATTCCACTATGGTCTAAAAGAGTGCTTGATATAATTTCAATTTTCTTAAATTTATTGAGGCTTGTTTTATGGCCTATCATATGGTCTATCTTGGAGAAAGTTCCACGTGCTGTGGAGTAGAAAGTGTATTCTGCAGTTGTTGGATGAAATGTTCTGTATATATCTGTTAAGTTCGTTTGTTCCAAGGTATACTTGAAATCTCTTGTTTCTTTGTTGACTTTCTGTCTTGATGACCTGTCTAGTGTTGACAGTGGAGTTTTTTTTTTTTTTTTTTTTTTTTTGAGATGGAGTTTCACTCTTGTTGCCCAGGCTGGAATGCAATGGCGCAATCTTGGCTCACTGCAACCTCTGCCTCCCAGGTTCAAGTGATTCTCCTGCCTCAGCCTCCTGAGTAGCTGGGATTACAGGCATGCACCACCATGCCTGGCTAATTTTTTGTATTTTTAGTAGGGACGGGGTTTCTCCATGTTGGTCAGGCTGGTCTCGAACTCCCGACCTCAGGTGATCCACCCACCTCGGCCTCCCAAAATGCTGGGATTACAGGCATGAGCCACTGCACCCAGCCTCTAGTAATTGTTTTATAAATTTGGGAGCTCCAGTGTTAGGTGCATATATGTTTAGGATTGTGATATTTTTCTGTTGGACAAGGCCTTTTACCATTATATATGGTTCCTCTTTGTCTCTTTTAACTGCTGTTGCTTTAAAGTTTGTTTTGTAAGAATAGCTACCTCTGCTCGCTTTTGGTGTCTATTTACATGAAATGTCTTTTTCCACTCCTTTACTTTAAGTTTATATGAGTCCTTATGTCTTAGGTGAATCTCTTGAAGGCAGGAGATGGTTGGTGAGTTCTTATCCATTCTATGGTTCTGTATCTTTTGAGTGGGAGCATTTAGGCCATTTATATTCAATTCCATTCAATGTTAGTATTGAAATGTGAGGTATTGTGCTCTTTGTTGCCTGTGTACTTTGGTTTTGTTTTTTGTTTTTGCTTTTTTTTTTCTTTTTGAGACAGAGTCTCACTCTGTCACCCACGCTGGAGTGCACTGTTGGGATCTCAGCTCACTGCAACCTCCACCTCCCGGGTTCAAGTGATTCTCCTGCTTCAGCCTCCTGAGTAGCTGGGATTACAGGTACATGCCATTATGCCTGGCTAATTTTTGTATTTTTAGTAGAGACGGGGTTTCACCATGTTTGCCAGGCTGGTCTCGAACTCCTGACCTCAGGTGACACACCCGCCTTGGCCTCCCAAGGTGTTGGGATTACAGGCGTGAGCCACCTTGCCCGGCCCTTATTTATCTATTTTTTTTGTTTTGTTTTGTTTTAAGGAAAGGAAACAGGAGTTCCTGGGAGACCCCAGAATAGCCAGCATTCACATTTCTTATAGTTATTGATTGTTGCTCTGACATCAGGCAATATTACATCACCATCTCTGCACATTCTGTGGGCCTTTGTACAAGGAACTTTGCAGGATCAATTATTGGTCACTGTTTGTTGGTTCTTTTGTCGCCCTCTTGCATCCCTGGGTGGCCCCTAGTTCTTCCCCATCTCATTTACTGGGATTTAGCTTTGCTTTGGCCACTTGATTCTCATTTGTGGAGGGAGTGGGGGTGAGGGGGATGAATAGATTCATCCCTGTGGCACACGCAATAAGGTGCAACACTAAACTCATCGAGCTCAACATTTCCCAATATTTGCTCTGGCAGAGGTAGGGAGCTAAAGCTGATCTTTTGTTCCAGGGGACCAAAAACTATTTTGTAAAGAGAAGGGAGCAAATACACCCAGCTTTAGGTCTAGAGGGCAGGAGGTTTGGAGGGCAGTACGTCCAGTGTTCCTTTGTTTGTCCACTTGGCAAACTGTAATTCCTCCTTCAAGTTTCAACTCAAGGTAGATATGGTCCCCTCTCTTCCTCCAGGCTCATCCTGAACCTCCTACAGACCTCCATGGTGATAATCATTTTTTACTGTCCTCTCACCTCTGTGTTGGGAATGCCTGTGTCTTATCTACCTATCCCCAGCAACTAGCACAATGCTTTTCACATCAAGGGCACCCAGCAAATGTCAATAAAACAAAAAGCAACCAGGGCAGGTTGACTTGGTCTTACTTTTGCCTATTGATATTCACCAGCCAGGAAACAAAAAAGCCTAATCAACTGGGGGCTGAAGGGAGGTCACTTTGGTCACAAAAGTTAATAATTTTTGTTGCTTTATTGATTTCTTAAATGCCACTTAAGTACTGTACCAATAGAGAGAGAGAGAGGAAGGGAGGGAGGAAGACACACACACACAACACACACACACACACACACACACACACACACACAGAGAGAGAGAGAGAGAGAGAAAGACAGAGAGACAGAAAAGAAAAAAGATCACCTCCAAAAAACAAGACCAAACAAAACAAACAAAGCAAAAACCTGGCTGAGAAAGGTGCCACTGAATCTCGGTCTCATATTTGACCCTTCAAAGTAATTTTGCAGAAATAGGTGGAATGACCTCAGTTGGAGGGTGTCTTACTGGTCCTTTCAGGTAACTATCCTTTGGGAACAAAATATATTCAGTATCAGGAGGACAGCAGCTTGGTGTGGTTTTGCCGTTAGGAGTCTCCCAATTGAGGAATGTTTGCATTCCAATTTAGGGGACACAAAAATCCCTGTCCTCATCACCATTGCAATGTAAACTCAACTGGATTGCTCGCCCCTGGAGCCCATTCTCCATGTTTCATTGCCAGAAAGATCTTAAACTTCACATTCCTCCTTTAAACCTTCAGAGGGCTTCCCCTTGTACTTGAAGTAAAATCTAAGCTATCCAGAAGGCTCCCCCACCACCATCCTACCACATTCCCCCCAATTCTCCAAGCTTGGCCACACCAGCCTTTTGGGTCCTTGAACAAGCAGAAGTACCCATTTCACAGGGAAGCTGAGGACTGTTACAGCAGAGGAATAATCTCCACTCAGTCTTTGATTTCCAAAAAGGATTATTGAAATCCATTTTAGAGGTAATAGTTATAAAAGTCAGAGCTTTTGATTCTCTTCACTTTGGAAAAGGAAAGGAAAAAGGCTTTTGGCAAATCCAATGAAGCAAAGTTCATAGTTTACATGCAATGGATTGAAAAGACAGCTCAGATGAAAAAGCAGAACAACCCTTCCCTAAGCAGAGGATTACAACTGGGACCTGGGAGGGGGCAAAGTGGCTAGGAGCTCTGTCACTCTCATAGTCCTCCTGCCACCATCCTGCAGATGACTTCCCACTTTAGAGACCAAACTTGGAGACTCATTGAACTGCCCTGTGTAGACAACAAGCTGTCCAACAGCCAGTGACATTCACTAAGATCAGGATACAGAAGGTGGGCCCAGAACATGGGATGGAGAGGAGGGAGGAGAAAGGGAAGCTGTCTAAGCTTGGATGGAAGAAGCCCAGGCCCAGCACTCAGTGCGGTGGGGGGTTGGGGATAGATGAAATCCAATTGGCCCCGGATAATTTCCTCCTAAGTTGTGACAGTCTATGTTTGCCCACTTCACCCTTGTTAAACCTGATTAAGAGAGAAATCCTATCTAGCAGTCAATTGGTCCATAACTAATTTCTAGAACAAGACTGAAACCAGTGAGGTGGCTCAAGCCTGTAATCCCAGCACTTTGGGAGGCTGAAGCGAGAGGACTGCTTGAGGTCAGGAGTTTGAGACTAGCCTGGGAAACATAGTGAGATCCCATCTCAACCATAAATAAATAAATAAATAAGCCAGGCATAATGGGACATGCTGTAGTCCCAGCTACTCAGGAGGTTGAGGTGGGAGGATTGCTTCCTAGCAGTTCGAGGCTACAGTGAGCTATGATTGTGCAACTGTACTCCAGCCTGGGCAAATGAGTGAGGCCCTGTCTCTAGCGGGGGGGGGGGGGGGGGGGAAAGAGTGGGATATTAAATAATTAACTAATTAACTAATAGCTTTCAAATTCCTCCTATAGAACCCAACAGGGACTGAAATCATTGTTCCTTGAAACCATCTGTCCATAGGACTCTCAGAGAAGGGCCAAGAAAATGACTGGATTTGAAGGTCCTTCGGTGAGATGGGTGTGTGTGAAATCCCTGTGCTGGGAGGAGTGCAGAGCCCTGGTTCTGTGCAGATGCGAGCAGAAGGACAGCCCTCATCTGCATCTCTTGTTTGATCCCACAAGTCTGAGCCCAACTCCCACAGAGTAGGGTGACCCTGCTGACCCACTCTGTTAGCAGCACATGCCTACTGTGGATTTTATTAATATTTTAATTTCTGAGTGGGGCAGACACACTCTCCCATCCCTTCATATCCAGAGGCATTCATAGGTGACTAGTTGACATCTATACAACCGGGTACACGAGAACAAATTTATCTGTGTTGAACCAGTAGCCCTTGTTCATCCTCTTGGAAGCAAGACAAAGCACTTTCACTCTGACATCCCTGCACGTTCTGCTTTGCTCACCCCAGCCCCCTTGGCTGGTTGTGCCTTGAGCACACCAAGCGCAGTCCCACCCCAAGGCATTTGCCCCTGCCATTCCCTCTGCCTGGGGCATTGTTCACCCAGTCATCCACAGGAATCATTCCCATCTCCCATTAACCATCACTACCTTAGGGGACAATTCTAGTGATTATACACAAAATACTGCCCTTTCTAACCCTACATCTTGCTTTATTTTTCTTTATGGCATTGGTGGCTTCTAACATCTGTTTCTCTATTTATTACTTCTCTCTCCCAACAAGAATGTCAGCTTCATGAAAGTAGGGCTTGGTTTGGTTCTTTCATTGCAGTATCCCCTGCATTCAGAACAGAGCCTGGCTCATAAACACTTACTGAATGAGTGTATTAATGAAACATGATTGCAGGACTCTTGCTATGGAAGAGCTTTAAGTGACAAGTAGGCACAATGTCCCACCTCTCCTGTCCCACCTCTCCAGGTTTGACTTGGTTCAAACCTGAATCCTCTTATTTGACTTGGTTCACTCTTATCCCATCTCATTCTTTTTCACTCTGTCCCTACCAGTCCTCCCACGAAACATATGTACTCATCTTCTCCAATCCTGGAGACCGCATTGTGTCTCATCTTTGTTTTGCCCATGGTGCTGCGGGAACTTGATGTTCCCAGACTTGGGTAATTCAACTGTCATTTGGCCCCATCGATGGTACTGTCCCTTCTGCAGATTCTGGAAGTGAATCTGGATAAAGTTTGCTGAGTTGCATCACCTCTGGCACTTGTTTCCAGGCAGAATAGGGAAGGAGTGGTCTTGAGGCCTCCCTGGGGGATGGCCATGACAAACCCTTTTACCTTTGGAGCATTCTATGATTCTTGGCTGACAGAATTCTTCAGAACTACAGACCATGGGGATCTACTCAGGCCTCTCTACAGCATAGACGCTAAGCTCAGTTCCTGTCTCGTATGGAAAGCAGACCTTGTATTACCCACCAAAGCACAGAATAGGGGATGCTTCAATATACTGTGCTACCCCAAGATAATCTTCCTCATGAAAAGCCCTGTCTTGTGCTCAGAGCTCTCACTGCAGTGGAAATGTAGGCCTGAGTAAAAGGTCAAAGGATGGAACTCCCAAGGCCAGGGATCCCAAATAGGTCAGCAAGAGAGAGAAAGGTTTTGTATATCATGTCATTATTTATTTTTATTTTTTATTTTTATTTTTATTTTATTATTATTATTTTTTAATTGATCATTCCTGGGTGTTTCTTGCAGAGGGGGATTTGGCAGGGTTATAGGACAATAGTGGAGGGAAGGTCAGCAGATAAACAAGTGAACAAAGGTCTCTGGTTTTCCTAGGCAGAGGACCCTGCGGCCTTCCGCAGTGTTTGTGTCCCTGGGTACTTGAGATTAGGGAGTGGTGATGACTCTTAAGGAGCATGCTGCCTTCAAGCATCTGTTTAACAAAGCACATCTTGCACCGCCCTTAATCCATTTAACCCTGAGTGGACACAGCACATGTTTCAGAGAGCACAGGGTTGGGGGTAAGGTCATAGATCAACAGGATCCCAAGGCAGAAGAATTTTTCTTAGTACAGAACAAAATGAAAAGTCTCCCATGTCTACTTCTTTCTACACAGACACAGCAACCATCCGATTTCTCAATCTTTTCCCCACCTTTCCCCCTTTTCTATTCCACAAAACTGCCATTGTCATCATGGCCCGTTCTCAATGAGCTGTTGGGTACACCTCCCAGACGGGGTGGTGGCCGGGCAGAGGGGCTCCTCACTTCCAGTAGGGGCGGCCGGGCAGAGGCGTCCCTCACCTCCCGGACGGGGCGGCTGGCCTGGTGGGGGCTGACCCCCACCTCCCTCCCGGACGGGGTGGCTGCCGGGCGGAGACGCTCCTCACTTTCCCAGACGGGGCGGCTGCCGGGCAGAGGGTCTCCTCACTTCTCAGACGGGGCGGCCGGGCAGAGACGCTCCTCACCTCCCAGATGGGGTCGTGGCCGGGCAGAGGCACTCCTCACATCCCAGACGGGGTGGCGGGGCAGAGGCGCTCCCCACATCTCAGACGATGGGTGGCCGGGAAGAGGCGCTCCTCACTTCCTAGATGGGATGGCGGGCGGGCAGAGACGCTCCTCACTTTCCAGACTGGGCAGCCAGGCAGAGGGGCTCCTCACATCCCAGATGATGGGCGGCCAGGCAGAGACGCTCCTCACTTGCCAGACGGGATGGTGGCCGGGCAGAGGCTGCAATCTCGGCACTTTGGGAGGCCAAGGCAGGCGGCTGGGAGGTGGAGGTTGTAGCGAGCCGAGAGCACGCCACTGCACTCCAGCCTGGGCACCATTGAGCACTGAGTGAACAAGACTCCGTCTGCAATCCCGGCACCTCGGGAGGCTGAGGCTGGCAGATCACTCGCGGTTAGGAGCTGGAGACCAGCCAGGCCAACACAGCGAAACCCCGTCTCCACCAAAAAAATACGAAAACCAGTCAGGCGTGGCGGCACGCGCCTGCCATCGCAGGCACTCGGCAGGCTGAGGCAGGAGAATCAGGCAGGGAGGTTGCAGTGAGCTGAGATGGCAGCAGTACAGTCCAGCTTCGGCTGGGCATCAGAGGGAGACCGTGGAAAGAGAGGGAGAGGGAGACCGTGGGGAGAGGCAGAGGCGGAGGCGGAGGCGGAGGCGGAGGCAGAGGCAGAGGCATGTCATTATTTAAACCATATTTTTGGTTGATTGCTCAGAAATCAGGCTTGATGGGAAAATAATCTCTTTCTTTCCCTTTGTACACATATTATAGCTGCATCTATATATGTTCCTCTTATTTACAGAACTAGTTAGATGTTTACAAGAGGAAATGGGCTCCATTTTGGGTACCAACATTCATGAAAGTTTTCCGGGAAGGACAAGGAATAATATGCAAGGGCTGACCAATTATGGGATCTTGGAGGAAGCTACAAAAAATTGATTTGTTTAGCCTGGAAAAGAAAAAAACAAACGACGCTTTCTTGAGAGTATAAGTAATTCAATATGTAGCAGGATGCTATCTCTCCTCTTGAAAGTGGCTTGTGAAAAGTCCTGAGATTTAAACACTGAGGTTCTGTGTTTAAAATAGGGTGAATAGAGACCCATGTATGCAGGATGACCTAAAGCTGATGGCTTTTCAGGATTATCCCAACCTTTATTACTCATAGGATCCTGTGATCCAGGTGAAAAGTTAGGGTTTTGGTTTCCAGGCATTTTTGGTTGTGGTTTGGGGTTGTGGTCATGGAGTCCCAGAAGGAAACAAATGTTGTGCACAAACTTGGCAATTTGAAAAGAATTTAATAAAGGAAACATATGCAAAGATGTTCTGGCATAAAATAATTTACTTTTGATGTCTTGTACTTCAGAATATTGACTGGGAATATTTGAGTGAATCTCACCTGGGATTTCTCATGCAGTTGCAGCCATCTTGGTCTGGTGTCATCTGAAGGCTCAGATGGGCTGGACATCCAAGGTAGCTTCCTCACTTACCTGTCTAGTACCTAAGTGCTTCTCTCTGCGTCCTCTCTCACCAGCAGAGTAAACTGGATTTCTTACATGGATGCTCAGGGTGCCAAGAGCAGGAAGCAGAAGTCGGCACAGTAACAAGCCTATCTCTGGAACTGTCACAGCGCCACTTCCCCCAACTTCCATTGATCAAAGAAGCCACAGGGCATGGCCAGAGGCAAGAGGGTAGAGAAATAAACTCTACGTCTCACTGGGGACCTGGCAAGGTTACATTGCTGAAGAGCATGTGGGATAGGGGTATTGCTGCAGTTATTTTTGGAGACTAAAGTCTACCATAAAAGGTGTGAAGAGGGATTACAGCAAACAACAGGGGAGCTGGCCCCAATGAAGCCTCAAGGGACAAGGGGAGGAAGTGATTCAAAGGACCCAGAAAGAATGGCTGTATGAAAACAGCCTCCTGATACTAGCAGTGGCCTCTGGAAGATGCAACCCAACAAGAAGGGAGCCGAGGATGAATTGCTCAACTTTGCACATCTCCCTTTCAAATCTCCTGCCAGTGACCCCCAATGGTCAAGAGACCCCTTTGACTGGGTTCCTGCAGGGCAGCTCCATGGAGCAATGAGAAGGATGGAGAAGGGCAAAGAGTAGATCTAAGGAGGCAAACAGAAGACATCCAACATATCAGTGGATAACAAAAACATCGAGGATATGTTATCCATGGGCAAGAATAAGGTTTAGGACCAAAATTACTCCTTTTGGGACTGGAAGGAAAACTGCCTACTTTTGAGCAGCTCGTAGGATTTCTAAATGCCCTGGTGTGTTGAGAGACAGTTCAAGCCTTGTTTTTTGGGGAAAAGTAGCTGCTACAGCTACTGATCACTTTACCCATAAGCACAGTCCAGCCAGCTCCCTCTGCGTCTCTCTAGCCTCATTGTCCATGACTCCCCTGTTACTCACCCTGCACCACCACTTTCTCTCAGGCCTCTAGCCCATCAAGGCTTCAGCATGCTATTTTCACAGTTTGGAATCTCTGTCCCCCCTTCTGCCCAAAACCTCATCTTTCCAACTCAAATTAAATGCCACTTCTCCAGTGAAGACTCCTTTAACCCGTATCCTCACTCCAAGCTATTCTCCATGCACTTTTCCTTTATGGAACTTACTCTAATAGCAATTGAAATATTAATTTCTATAATAATTTGCTTCACGTCTATCTGTGACACTAAACTCTAAGCTCCATGACAGTGGAGTCTGTATCTATCTTCTTGACCCCTACATCTGTAGGACATAGAACGTTTAACCTGTAGTAGATACTCAGTAAATATGTGTGAATCCATTACTGTATGCATCTGATAGAAAAACCAGCAATGGTTTCTGTAAAGGTCATCTTTTTTATTGAGATGGAGTCTTGCTCTGTCGCCCAGGCTGGAGTGCAGTGGCGTGATTTCAGCTCACTGCAAGCTCCAACTCCCAGGTTCAGGCCATTCTCTTGCCTTAGCCTCCCGAGTAGCTGGGACAACAGGCACCCACCACCATGCCCAGCTAATTTTTTTGTATTTTTAGTAGAGATGGGGTTTCACCATGTTAGCTAGGATGGTCTCTATCTCCTGACCTCGTGATCCACCCGCCTCGGCCTCCCAAAGTGCTGGGATTACAGGTGTGAGCCACCGCGCCTGGCTGTAGGTGATCTTTTGGTGTTCCTGTGTTTGTTTTTAGCTATAGCCACTGTTTGGCTATATTTTGTTTGTGGGCTAGACATGGGATTAACAAGGAAAACAAGGTGTGACACCAGGAACTGAGTCAATTAGTAAACACTGAGCAGCTACCAAAACATAGTCAACTAGGACATGAACCAAATTTCCATTAGCTGGTGAATAGATATGCAAAATGTGGCATAGTCCATGTGAATAATGGAATATTATTCATCCACAAAAAGGAATGAAGTGCTGGTACATGCTATAACATGGCTGAACCTTGACGACATTATGCTAAGTGAAAGAAGTCAGATACAAAAGACCACATATTATGTGATTCCACTTTTATGAAGTGTCTGGTATAGACAGATCCATAGAGGTGAAAGGTAGATTAGTGATTGCCAAGGGCTGGAACAGAGAGAAATGGGAGTAACTGCTAATGGGATAGGGCATAAGGTTTCCTTCTGGGATGATAACAAGGTTCTGAAATTGGATAGTGGTGATGGTTGTATCATTTGTGAATATAATAAAAGCCACTGAATTGTACTCTTGAAAAGGATGCATTTTATGGTATGTGAATTATATTTCAATTAAGAAAAACACAATCAACAATGTGTTACTATAAAAATAATAGGACATTGTGGTCCAGAGGTCGGCTGATAGATTGGACCATGGTTTGGACTCTAGATTATTCTGAATGTCAGAATGGCAAGAATGCAGAATGATTTCCCAGGAACCTAGGTGTATTTGCTTGGTGGCTTCCTCTGTGAGTACAAATGACAGCCTTTCTTGATGAATGCTAAGAACTAGAGTGGGGTTCAGGTTTTAACCATTCACAAGTGAAGGAACACTAAGTTCCAACGAAATGAAAATGACTGAGTTAATGGCCATGGTTTAAACGGTTATGCAAAGCTCAAAACAAACAGGATGATGTTATTTGCTAAGCTTCATGAGGAAGTGGCCCGCAAGCATTTCAATCAGCAAACAGATGAAGATTCTATTTCTTTTTTAACCTTTAGAGCTCTGATGTGGAATGAGTGGCTGTAACTCTGAAAGCTCAACTGGTCTTTCCAGAACCCATGAGAAAAATATCAGACAAACCCAAATTCAAGAATATTCTACACCAAAGCTGCCAAGGTCATGAAAAACAAAGTCTAAGAAACTGTCACAGACCAGAGGGGACTAAGGAGACATGACCACCAAATATAATGTGATATCCCAGATGGGATCTTGGAACAGAGAAAGGTTGTTAGTAGGAGAAACTAGTGAGATCTGAATAAAGTGTGGAGTTTAGTTAATATTAACGGGCCAATGTTTGTTTCTTAGTTGTGACTAAGAATTTACCATGGTAAATATAATATGTTTGAAAAGGGAGAAACTGGGTGAGAGGTATGTGGGAACTCTACTATCTGCAGCTTTTCTGAAAATCTCTTTTTTTTTTCATTTGAGATAGAGTTTCACTCCATTGCCCAGGCTGAAGTGCAGTGGCATGATCTCAACTCACTGCAACCTCTGCCTCCCAGGTTCAAGTGGTTCTCCTGCCTCAACCTCCAGTGTAGCTGGGATTACATGCATGTGCTACCATGCTCAGCTAATTTTTGCATTCTTAGTAGAGACAGGGTTGTTGCTCAGGCTGGTCTCGAACTCCTGACCTCAGGTGATCCGCCCATCTTGGCTTCCCAAAGTGCTGGGATTACAGGTGTGAGCCACCACCCTGGCTGTGAAAATCTTTAAATAAATAAATAGTTTCATTAAAAAAAAGAAAGCTCAACCAGGCTTACCTCTCCATTCTGACAGCCTTCTCCCTGTCTAGCTTATGGGGTGAGAGAGAGAGAGAGAGAGAGAGAGAGAGAGAGAGAGAGAGAGAGATAGAGAGAGAAAGAGAGAGAGAGAGAAAGAGAGAATGACATAAGATAATTGAGATAATGAGTGGGAGATCAAACCACAAAGCCCTCTATAAATGTAAGGCATTATACATTATCAAAGTCCAACCTGGTCTCTTAATCCCTCCTAAATTCTTCACCCCACCATCTACAAATACAATAAATATGAAGAGACTTTGGTTTCCCTTCAATTACCACTTCTTCCACCATTTTTCCCCCTCTGTATCATGTACTGTAATTTATTGCCAACTGGCTAATGAGTATTGAACACGGCTTCTATAAAGTGCTGGGCCAGATACAAAGGAGGATGTTGAAAGTATTAGGAATGTCCCCGCTGTGCACTTCCTCACGTAACATACAGTCGGCTAGGAGAAGTAGAACATGTACATTCTCTGTACCCAACAAGGATGAGTGATAACTAATGATGATTCAGGGTGCAAAGATACAAAATAATTAATAAAGATGAGCAATAAAAGTTCAGAGAGTAGTCCATACTTAATCCACATAGTTAATTCACTATTTTCTTAAGGCTTTCCCAGTTGGCTCTGTCTTCATGTTTTCTCTTTTTATATTCCTTAGAGAAGAAAAGACTGTGCTTCTCAACTTACTTTGTCCGCTGAAGAGAGGCAGACTTGTGTAGTGAGCTCTGGAGCCAGATTATGAAGCTTGAACTCCAACTCGCCACCAATTACCAGTGTGACTTAGCTTTCGTTTGTAAAGTGGGAATGAAACAGCCTCTACTTCTAGGACTGATGTGAAGATTACATGACTCGATTCAGGTTCAAGATGCCAGACAGTGCTTGGTGTGGGATAGATGCCCAATCTGCATAGGTGGAGAAAAGAAAGGGTGTGGGAAACAGGTCTGTAAAAATGAGGGCCCTGGGGTTTTAGGCGACTATTGATAAGCAAGTTTACAAAAATTTTTATAGTCTTAGGAAAATGTTCACAATATATTGTAAAATGAAAACCACGGAATACAAAACTCTGTATATCTAGAAAAAAGTAGAAATTTCAAGATGTTAATTGTGGGCAAAATGGTTCACAGTGGTTATCTCTAGGTGATGGCGCTATTTCACAAATACTTTTCTATCAGAAAGTGGAAAGGTAGTT
The DNA here is from genome assembly GCF_000001405.40 of Homo sapiens. Lineage (NCBI taxonomy): Eukaryota > Metazoa > Chordata > Mammalia > Primates > Hominidae > Homo > Homo sapiens. The sequence goes on along the minus strand of NC_000016.10, from coordinate 71,583,319 downwards.
GTGAAGGGCTAAGGGGAAATTGAAGGGGGAATTCGTGCTTAATGGGTGTAGAGCTTCAGTTTTACAAGATGAAACAGTTCTGGAGATCTGTTGTACAACAACGTGAATAAACTAAACTGTACATTTAAAAATGTTTAAGTTGGCTGGGCATGCTGGCTTATGCCTGTAATCCCAGTACTTTGGGAGGCTGACGTGGGAGGATCACTTGAGGCCAGGAGCTCAAGACCAGCCTGGACAACATAGCGAGATCCCGTCTCTACGATAAAATAAAAAATTGGCAGGGCGTGGTGGTGTGTATCTGTAGTTCTAGCTGCTCTGAAGGCTGGGGTATGAGGATCACTTGAGCCCAGGAGTTTGAGGCTGCAGTGAGCTATGATCACACCACTGCACTCCAGCCTGGGCAACAGAGCCAGGCCCTGCCTCTTAAAAAAAGTTAAGATGGTAAATTTAATGTTAAGTATTTTTTTTTACCACAATTAAAAAATTTTAAATACAAAATGGCAAACAACAATTTTATACTTAAGAAAAAAAAAGGCCAGGTGTGGTGGCTCACACCAGTAATCCTAGCACTTTGAGAGGCTGAGGCGGGTGGATCACCTGAGGACAGGAGTTCGAGACCAACCTGGCCAACATGGTGAACCCCTGTCTCTACTAAAAATACAAAAAATTAGCCGAGAGTGGTGGTGGACACCTGTAATCCCAGCTACTTGGGAGGCTGAGGCAAGAGAAACGCTTGAACATGGGAGGCGGAGGTTGCAGTGAGCTGAGATAGTGCCATTGCACTTCAGTCTGGGCAACAAGAACGAAACTTTGTCTTAAAACAAACGAACAAACAAAAAACGAGTGTTTCTACACTTTACTGGGTCCTGACTTCCCTGTAAAGTTTATCTGGCATCAGGAAAGCTTCCTAAGTAGACTTGGGTCCTCTCACGTTCTCTCTGTCTGCATTTTTTTTTTTTTTTTGAGACGGAGTCTCGCTCTGTCGGAGCACTTTCGGCTCACTGCAAGCTCCGCCTCCTGGGTTCACACCATTCTCCTGCCTCGGCCTCCAGGTGGGACTACAGGCGCCCGCCACCATGCCAGGCTAATTTTTTTTTTTTTTTTTGTATTTTTAGTAGAGACGGGGTTTCACCGTGTTAGCCAGGATGGTCTCGATCTCCTGACCTTGTGATCCACCCGCCTCGGCCTCCCAACGTGCTGGGATTACAGGCGTGAGCCACCGCGCCTGGCCCTCTCTGTCTGCTTTCTACCGAGGGAAAACATTAGCTACAGAAGAGCGCATGACCAAAACTTGTTTGCCTTGTCTGTTTTTCCTTCTGATTTAGGTTTCGTTGTCAACTGCCAAAGCCGAGGCGAGGGTGTGTCCATGGTGATGACCTTCTGGTACAGCAGCTCTTGTCCCCATCACACACCCCTTGGCCTGCAGATTCTGCGTCAGCGGCACTATTTGCAGGACAACCCGCCAAAATTTTGTGCTGCTTGCTGTTTTTTGATCTGTAAACCTGAGTCTCAGCCAGTCAGGTTGACACAGAGGAGACTGGGCCAGTGATCTCAAAGCAGCTGTCTTGTTGCTTTGCAGTGGCTTCCTAGGCCAAAGTCCTACCTACGAGAAAGATGAGTCCCCTTGTAGACAGACGGGTGAGGGACATGAACAGACAATTCACAAAATGGGAAGAGCAAAGAAACATGAAACATGACCACCCTCGCTAAAATAGAGGGGACAGAGTTAACAGAAATAACAGCAGCACTTGGATACCATTTTTCCTCCATCAATCAGTTTGGCAAAGATTTTTTTAAGAAAATAATTCCCAGGGTTTGCAGACAATTACTGATAGAAAGGTAAATGGCCTTTTTTAAAGCAATGTGGCTGTGTGTATAAAAAACTGTAAGAATGTTCATTCTGGAATAGCATATGCCAGAAAGAGAGTCAAGAAGATACAGGAATTTAGTACAAAGTGACATTTTAAGTAAGGAAGAAGACAGATTTCCTTTTCTGGCTGTATTGAGGACAGGATAACCTAGAAAATCTTCCATTACAAAAATATTTAGACATACTTGATAAAATATAACAAAATGCCTGAGCTCCCAAGATAAAAAGGGAAGACCCCAGGGGTCACAACCTATAAGGGAATAATCTAAGTCTCCTGGTTTAATGTCCAGTTGGAGACAGGACACCAATCTTACAGGCTGTGTAAATGTGGGAGGGGGAGTTGGATCCGTGTCTCCTTGAAAATCTGAACCTTGAGGCCAGGTGCAGTGGCTCACGCCTGTAATCCCAGCACTTTGGGAGGCCGAGGCGGGAGGATCACTTGATGTCAGGAGTTCAAGACCAGCCTGGCCAATATGGTGAAACCCCGTCTCTACTAAAAATACAAAAATTAGCCGGATGTGGTAGTGTGTGCCTGTAGTCCCAGCTACTCGGGAGGCTGAGGCAGGAGAATGGCATGAACCCGGGAGGCGGAGGTTGCCGTGAACTGAGATAGCGTCGTTGCACTCCAGCTTGGGTGAGGAGGGTGAGACTCCGTCTCAAAAAAAAGAAAAGAAAATCTGAACCTTGAGTGACAGAAATCAGTCATAGTAGCCTTCTCACATTGAGAAAAATCTGATTCTTACTTGATCTCTTTTAAAGACCAGTGGTCTCAACCTCTGACAAAGATTCTCTGATTGACCAGACTTTTGTCAGGCTTCTGGATCTTCTTCTAAGCCCATCTGCACTTCCTTGCAAGATCCAGTTTTAGCAAAGAACCCTGAGTCATTTTGGCAAGATTTCCCACCCTGCATATCTGACCAGGTTCCTCATTCTTTGCCGTCCCCCAGGGAATGTTTGGTCACCATGGCCTGTCTTCAGCAGGATGACACTGACACTGGCCTTCTAGGTCAGTTTAGCAGAATCCCCCTTACTCCTGATGATTCCTCTTACTTTTTCCATCCTTGGCTATAAATCCACACTTGCCATCACCATATTTGGAGTTGAATCCAATTTCTCTTCCCCACTGGAAAATCCATTGCAGTGGGCCGTCTAGCTATTGGAATGGTCCTGAATAAAGTCTGCCTTACCATGCTTTAACAAGTGTTATTGAATAATTTTTTTTAACACCTCTGAGTCTCTGTCCACCTGGAGAACCACTACAGTAACACTCAGTGAGGTACCTGTGTCATCTCTCAAGCACAGTATATTGTCATGACAGGTAGTCTGAACTCCAAGAGGTTGTTCAAATTAAACATATTTGCATTGCTTTCGTCTTTGTATAGTCCGTAATTGAAACTATCCCTCAAATAACAGGATATGCATAAAAGTTCTCTATCAATCATGAATGTACAAGGACATTCGATATGCTTTATTTTTTATTTTATTTATTTATTTATTGAGACAGAGTCTGGCTCTGTCGCCCAGGCTGGAGTGCAGTGGCGCGACCTCAGTTCACTGCAAGCTCCACCTCCCGGATTCATGCCATTCTCCTCCCTCAGCCTCCCGAGTAGCTGGGACTACAGGCACCCGCCACCAGGCTGGGCTAACTTTTGTATTTTTAGCGGAGATGGGGTTTCACGGTGTTAGCCAGGATGGTCTCCATCTCCTGACCTCGTGATCCGCCTGCCTCAGCAACCCCAAAGTGCTGGGATTATAGGCGTGAGCCACCACACCAGGCTATTTATTTTTATTTTTTATTTTTTGAGACGGAGTCTCACTCTGTCGCCCAGACTGGAGTGCAGTGGCACGATCTCGGCTCACCACAACCTCCACCTCCTGGGTTCAAGCGATTCTCCTGCCTCAGCCTCCTGAGTTGCTGGGATTACAGGTGTGCACCACTGTGCCTGGCTAATTGTTGTATTTTTAGTAGAGATGGGGTTTTGCCATGTTGGCCAGGTTGGTCTTGAACTCCTGATCTCAGATGATCTGCCTGCCTTGGCCTCCAAAGTGCTGGGGTTACAGGCATGAGCTGCCACGCCCAGCCCACACATTATTAAGATTTTAAAAAAAGCAAGCTACAGAACAGCCCTGTCCAATAGACAGAATGCAAGCCACATAGTGACTTCAAATTTCCTAATAGAAATATTTTAAGATATAAAAACAAATAGGTGAAATTAATTTTAAGAATGTATTTTATTTTACTCAGCACACCATGTATTTTATTATCATATATTTTATTATATATTTTATTATATATATACGGTGTACTGAGTAAAATAAAATACATTTTATATATATATATACATATATATATATATATATATATTTTTTTTTTTTTTTTTTTCTGAGGCAAGGTCTCATTCTGTCACCCAGGCTGGAGTGCAATGGCATGATCACAGCTCTCTGCAGCCTTGACCTCCTGGGTTCAGGTGATCTTCCTACCTCAGCCTCCCAAGTAGCTGGGACTATAGGCTCATGCCACCATGCCTGGCTAGTTTTTGTATCTTTTTGTATAGACGGGGTTTCACTATGTTGCCCAAGCTGGTCTTGAATTCCTTAGCTCAAGTGATCCATCCACCTTGGCCTCCCGAAAGGCTGGGATTACCAAAGGTGTGAGCCACCATGCCCAGCCCCAAAATATTCTTTAAACATGTAATCATACAAAATTATATGAGATATTAACATTCTTTTTTTATACTAAGTCTTCAAAACCTGATGTGTATTTTACAACACATCTTAATTCAGACCAGTCACATTTCAAGTATTCAACGGCCACTTATGACTAGTAGCTACAATATTAGACAGTGCAACTATAGACCACGTTTACTCTCCATTTTTTTAGCAACTCCCAAACCAGCTTTATACGTATTGTAATAAACATAGAAAACATTTGGAAGGGTACACAAGAAATGACTAAAAATGATTTTTTTATATAAAATGAGAATGCAGGGAGGGAAGGTGATCAGGGTTTAATTCACGTACATCTCTATTTGAATTTATTATATAAGGATATATCATATTTACTAAAAATGTAAAAGAGAAATGCTTATTCTTTGCAACACAGTCCTTGTATAGAAATCTGTCTTAAGGAAATAATCAAATATGTAAACTAACATTTATGACAAGGATGCCCTTGGCCCAAGACGTGAATAATTTTTTCTAGTGTATCCATGCTATAGACGTTACCTGCCATTACTGTATAAGAAAAAACATAGTGTACCTAGGGCTCAGTACTACCCATGGTTTCAGACATCCATAATTTCAGGCATCCACTGGAGGTCTTGGAGTGTGCTCCCTGTGGATAAGGGGGGACTACTGTATTCAACCCCACTGGAGGCTTGACTCCCTGAAAAGTGAATGGAGAAGAACAAACTGATGTGAAAAATCTTTGTCTTCCAACAAATAAACAGACAGGATCTGAGCCCTGGGGAGATCACTGAGGCTTCTCTTAACCCTTCAGTGGGTGGTATTTTCCATCTGCTCACAGGAATGTTGAGATTTTGGCTGTGGACCTTGTGTTTTGCTTAGCAAAGTTGTTTTGTGTGGATCGCACCTGACATTTTAAATTCTTCCAACAACCATAGGAGGTAAATGAAGAATTCATGCACAGTGCAAGGATAAAACTGCACAGGTTTCAGCTGCCTTGGACACCCTGTGCTTTTCAGCTATTTGTTGAATGGAACTTAAGTGCCCAATTTGTTCTGATTGGAGCAAAACTTTGTGGACTGACAAGGATGGGCGTCCAAGATGTAGGAAGTTAAAAAAAAAATGTTGCCAAACAAGGTGTAGAGCACGATCCTATCTGTGTTTTGAAATCTATGAAATTATGTATCTATGCACCTATATGTAATGTATCTATCTCTGAATGGAGGGAAAGAGCCTGACCATTACCACCCTCTACCCCTGGGAGTGAGAATGAAGTGTACAGGGAGCAGGTGCAAGGAAGAATGCTCACTTCTTACTTTATATATTTCTGTACTGTTAAAATTTTAACAGGCTGTTTTGTAAAAAAAATTTAATAAAAGCTATCAACTGTAACCAGAAGTACTTTCTGACAGTAGATGTTCTCAAACCATCTCACCAAGTGCCCAGAAAGAGTTAACACAGGAGAATTCCAGATGTTTGAAGTGAGGACAAATTCCTGCTTTGAGGGTGGGAGGTGGGCTTAGGGATGAGAGGCAATGACGGGGGAGAGGAGGAAAGAAGCTGAGGGGAGAGCTGGCTGCTGAGTTGTCATTCCAACCAATGGCATGAAAGTTTCAAGCCCAACGCCCATTTGTGGAGACTATTTCAGGAGTTAGGATTTGCATCTGAGTTCATTGCCCCTGTAACCTGTCAAAGAAGAGCTAAGGGAGCTTTCGGGGTTGGCTTCTTGGAGGCTGCTTTCTCCTTTACTTGGAAGGTAAAAATCTCAAGCCCAAGCTGATCAGGCAGTGGTGACTGATTGAGCTGTTAATTTTTTTCTTTTTGGTGTATTGATTTCTTTTTCCAGCTAGGGCTGTAACATGCTTATGGGATAAGGTTTTACTTTTACTAACAATGATATTTACATGGAACTTCTAACAAGATGGAGTGGTTCTTCCTGGTCCTCTGCAGATGACAAGAAGCATTAGGTAGATTTTCTTGGATAGGCTCGCATGGAAAGGAAGGAGAACCTATGCTTTGACTGATGAACAATTTTCATCTTATTCCTTCTTGGTTTCACATAGAGCATGGTTAAGCTTTGACAGGAATTGCAGATGCGTGTAGCAAATCCTACTTAAGTAGAATGGGTTCTTGCTTTATTTTCCATCTCAGTAAAAACTCTTAAAACTCCCCCATTCATAGTAAAGCTACTTTACAACAGAAAGTAGAAAAAAAAATAAAGAGAGAGTTTGGAAAGACACTTTTAGTGAAGTCACCCAATGTTTAGGTCCAAATGTAGCTCCTCTGTCCCCCAGCGCTATGTTATCAACATCACAGGGAACTTCTTTCCCCTCGCAGGCTTCGCTAGTGATGGACCCATACATGATTCAGATGAGCAGCAAAGGCAACCTCCCCTCAATTCTGGACGTGCATGTCAACGTTGGTGGGAGAAGCTCTGTGCCGGGAAAAATGAAAGGCAGAAAGGCCAGGTGGTCTGTGAGGCCCTCAGACATGGCCAAGAAAACTTTCAACCCCATCCGAGCCATTGTGGACAACATGAAGGTGAAACCAAATCCAAACAAAACCATGATTTCCCTGTCCATTGGTGAGTTGGGGACACTACTGAGGGGCTGTCATTGTCCTCCTCTACTCTCATGTTCACAGGCTGGTTGGAGAAGATGGCAGTTGGGGGTGAGTCTGAGTACTGAACATGGGAGAATAACCTCTTGGCTCCTTTTGTGTTTTCCTCCCATAAAAAGGGGACCCTACTGTGTTTGGAAACCTGCCTACAGACCCTGAAGTTACCCAGGCAATGAAAGATGCCCTGGACTCGGGCAAATATAATGGCTATGCCCCATCCATCGGTAAGCTCCTCCTGAGACTCCATACCTGGTGACTGCCAAATCTTTAGTGCTCTTATAACAGGACTAAATGTCTAGCAATCCTCTTCACTTTCCTGATGCACAATTCCTAAGGAGAGGCTAAGATTACATGGTCCTTTGGATTTGGGAACCGGGTCTCGGGATGCTTAAATACAAGGCATCAAGGTCCAACTTCTTTCCTGGCTTTCTTTGACATATGGGCACTTCCCCTCTAGGCTCCCAAACATACTTATTTGTCAAGTAAAGCTCCTATCCTATCATTACTAATTCTAATCTGAAGGCCTTGAGTCTGGCAGGAGCTTTGTGTTTGCTGAGCCTCTAGGTCCTAAATGGATTTACTTATTGCTCTGTGTATATAGCTCCTTTGCTTCATTTCTGCTTCTCTATGTATTGAAGGCCTATTTTCATTATGGTCCTGAGCACATTGAAATGCAATTGTTACCGTTTATGACTAACGGGTTTAAACAAACAAATAAACAAACACCCAAGAACAACAAAAAATGGGCTGTCAAACTGAAGGATAGAAGGTTGTTTCTGATAGATTGAAATTACTCCTTTTTAGGTTTCTCTCCATCTATTAAAAATTTCTACCCTGAATATTTTGGTAAAGTACATGATTCCTTGACTTTCAGTATTGAACATTTTTTTTCCTTATGTGTACATAGAAACACATTCTTAATGCAGAATAAAACCCCAGTTTCATGATAAAATCAAATTTTAAAAACACTTTAAAGAGTTATATCGGGGACTTCGTGGTTTTTCGGTTGATTACTTACATTTTATAAAGTTTCATACAACAAAAATAAAAGCAAAATCAAGACCAAAAGTTGTTATAAAAAAAGTTTCTAATGACTTTAACATCCAAATATTAGGAAACTGATTTAACCTGAAAAACCAAAACCAAGTCTCCATTTGACAAATGTTCAAAGGTTCTGAACATTTCATTTCAAAGGAGATACAGGTGTTAATATATGTCTAAAAAAGTGTTCTTCCTCATTAGTAATTAAGGAAGTGCTGATTTGTATAACTTTGAGACACCCATCTATACCTATTAAATTAGTAAACATTATGAAATAGTGCCTCTAGCCTTGCTAAGTTGTCTTTTTGAACATAAATTTTGCAAAATATTATGATGGGCATGAAACTGCTGATACTTCAAGCTTGTAAGCCAACATTTGGAAATATTGTACAAAAATAATTTGAAATAAAAATTTGTACAAAAATACTGATAAGAATATTACATAACATAAAAAACTTAAAATGGACCACATGAATTGAATGCACTGATTACAACTTCTTTTTTTTTTTTTTTTTTTTTTTTTGAGACGAAGTTTTCGCTCTTGTTGCCCAGGCGGAGTGCAGTGGCATGATCTTGGCTCACCGCAACCTCCGCCTCCCGGGTTCAAGTGATTCTCCTGTCTCAGCCTCCTGAGTAGCTCGGATTACAGGCACGCGCCACAATGCCCAGCTAATTTTTGTATTTTTAGTAGAGATGAGATTTCTCCATGTTGGTCAGACTGGTCTCAATCTCCCGACCTCAGGTGATCCACCCACCTTGGCCTCCCAAAGTGCTGGGATTACAGGCGTGAGCCACCGCGCCTGGCGATTACAACTTCTTAAAAAATACAGTCCCTAAAAAAGATTTGGGAATAATAGAAATCCTTGTATTACACAGAATAAAATATAATCACAGAAATCAAGATGGTGCAGAGTATTTGGGGAGCTCTTCCTTGTTATCATTTATACATTCGTGCTTATACTAAAATTGTAAAACATAAAATGTGAAGTGAATCTCCTTTATCCACAATGGCTGAGAGCTGAACTAAATAGAATGCCCTCTGAGCAGGGGCAGAGGCAGCCTGAAGCCCATGCTGGGCCTCCAGGGCATAGCTGTCAGTTGAGGGATGAAAACTTCATCTTCTTGCCAGGCACAGTGGCTCACCCCTGTAATCCCAGCACTTTCAGGAGGCTGAGGTGGGAGGAGCCCCTGAGCCCAGGAGTGTGAAATCAGCCTGGGCAACAGAGGGAGATTCTGTCTCTACAAAAAAAACAAACAAAAACAAAACAAAACAAACAAACAAAAAACAAAACAAAAAAATTCAAAAATTAGCTGAATGTGGGGGAGCACGACTATAGTCCCAGCTACTCAGGAGGCTAAGGTGGGAGGATCCCTTGAGCCCAGGAATTTGAGGCCGCAGTGAGCTATGGCTGTGTCACTGCACTCCAAGTCCGGGTGACAGAGTGAGACACAGTCTCTAAAAACCAAAAAAGCTCCACTTTCCACTCTTTTCTTTCAGGCTTCCTATCCAGTCGGGAGGAGATTGCTTCTTATTACCACTGTCCTGAGGCACCCCTAGAAGCTAAGGTGAGCCTTATACAAGACACCAGCTCTGAAGCAATTTAGGGCAAACTATCCCTTTTTACTTGTTTCTGTTCCACAAGAAGTACGGGTGTCAGAGGGGGAAAAGCTGAGAACAATTTCCCTTTAGCAATTAGAAGACTTCTCATATAGTTGGGGTCACTAATCAGTGATTATAGTTAATGTCATTACAGTGTGATAATGACCATCCCATACAACTTAATGTGGTGTCTGTCTCAAGGAGGCCGAAAGGATCCAGAGAGCACCTATATTTGATTGTCTGTAAAAGATCATTTGAGAACAACTCATAAACACTAAAAAATTATTTTAAAAAATTTTACCAATAGGATCTTTCTTTTTTAAAAAAAATTGTAGCTTTTCTCATTTACTGTAAGGTCATTTAGAGAGAAAGATAGAAGTACCAGGACATACTGAATTGATGGCAGTGCCAAGTTTAAATGATGTCCTTCCCTCTATAGTCTACTGTGTGGGGTCAGCATTTTCTAACATAATGTGTGTCTGTCACCTGTATGTCAGCGAAGAGCCAGGCTTCAAATCTCTGGCCAAAAGTAAATAAATAACCAAGCGAAAAAGGTCCAAGGCCAGCATGCTCTCTCATGGAAGTCTGCTGAGTCACAGCCAACCTATCCTTTTTAAAGTGATTTAAGTGGCCAACATTTCAACAATAGTTATCAACATATATAAATTTCTTTTGGTTTTGGCTTAGTACATTTCCTACTACTTACAACTTGTTAAAGGAAGTTCACAATTGCTCCCAACTCACCCACCTGACAACTTCTTTTCTCCTGTTGCTGTTGGAACCCCTAATGAAATTAACCTTTTATTTCCTTCACAGGACGTCATTCTGACAAGTGGCTGCAGCCAAGCTATTGACCTTTGTTTAGCTGTGTTGGCCAACCCAGGGCAAAACATCCTGGTTCCAAGACCTGGTTTCTCTCTCTACAAGACTCTGGCTGAGTCTATGGGAATTGAGGTCAAACTCTACAATTTGTTGGTAAATGACTTTTTAATCTTAGACTCAAATGCTCAGTTACTAACCTGTAAAAAATATATGAACATTACTTCAGCAGAGGAAGGTCTCAAAGTGGTGGTTGAAGCCAGAGACAGACTTTATTGCTTACATTGGACCCTTGAGATAAGTGAGGATTCCCCCTAAATGTTTCAGAATCATCTTAGTCTCATCCTTTCTTTCTCTCCAGCCAGAGAAATCTTGGGAAATTGACCTGAAACAACTGGAATATCTAATTGATGAAAAGACAGCTTGTCTCATTGTCAATAATCCATCAAACCCCTGTGGGTCAGTGTTCAGCAAACGTCATCTTCAGAAGATTCTGGCAGGTACGTCCAGCAGACTTCACAGAGGACGAGGTGGGGACAGAATCCTTCAGCTGTTGTGTGAAATGACAAAAACCAGTCATTCCCTAAGTTCCAAGCCTGGGGTGGAGGTGGGGAGCTCCACTGATGTCTCTCATCAATACTGTGCCATAGGAGTGGTAGGCCTGGCCTAAAAGAAGAAAAAGAAGAAATACTTGTCTCTTCATCACTCCCAGGAGAAAAAGAAATAGTACTTGCCTCTTCATCACTCCCATCACGTTGAAGATAGGGTCTGAAATATCTAGTTACTTAAATGGTGAATTCAGGCTCTGCACTCTGGAAGAGTATGTTAAGAATTTACAGTTCTTAAATAGGAAGACAAAACACACAAACATGAAATGCAAATCACACTTTGCTTGTGCTTTTTGTCTTTCTCTTTAAGAATTGTAACTTCTTAATATTACGGGATAGGGAAATTACATGATATTATGTGACTATTACATGATAAAGCAATTCACATTAAAACTGATTTCAGCATGTTTTATTTTCAGTGGCTGCACGGCAGTGTGTCCCCATCTTAGCTGATGAGATCTATGGAGACATGGTGAGTCTTGATCAGGATATATCACTACAGTAATCTCAAATTATTTTATGGGAACTTTAGAAGTGGAATAATCAGAAACAACTCCTAATCGTTTCATTACAGCAAATCAGCATCCCTGCACTTTTTACAAATATATAGACCCACAACTCCTTAGCCAGTTTTCTGAAACCCAAAGAACTTTGGAAATCCAAAGATTCCTGGAATTCATTTGGTTACAAAACCTGATTTGACCTGATATTTGTAGATTTTTATTTTTCCCACTTGTGGATCTATATATTTGTTAAGAGTGTGGGGAAAATGGCAGAAATGTTAATATTCTTGATTAGGGGTACTATCCTAGACAGCTCTGGGAGTGTTACATAACGTATGGTAAGTGTGCTACATGGCCTTTCTGAAGCCCAAACCATTTTGCATTATGAAAATACCTGGCCCCAGGAATTTCAGATAAGGGATTGTGGACTTATATTTTAAATCTGTAACTCCTATAGACAGTAATTTCATAGAGCCAGCTTCATGGAGTTGTAAATATTACTGGGCTAGGGTCAGTTTCCTCATTTTAGGCTTCCTTTAATCCAGTCCAGACACCAAATTAAATGTCTTTGTGTAGTCCCCTTCAAAGCCTCTTGCAATCCCAGTCATGCTTCAGGGTAGGGATGATCCCATTAATCCAAGGACCTGTCCCTAGTGATAGAAGGAAATGGGTGGGAGCCACGGGATCTGGGATTGCAGTGAGAAGTAGACAAGAAAACAACCATAACAAGTGCCTCTTCTCAGGTGTTTTCGGATTGCAAATATGAACCACTGGCCACCCTCAGCACCGATGTCCCCATCCTGTCCTGTGGAGGGCTGGCCAAGCGCTGGCTGGTTCCTGGCTGGAGGTTGGGCTGGATCCTCATTCATGACCGAAGAGACATTTTTGGCAATGAGGTGATAATATGGTGAAAGAGTATGTGTAATTTAGGGTATATATTTATTTCATGAGCACAGTGGGGACAAGGGAGGCTTTTTTCTTTTCTTTCTCCTTGTCAGTCAAGCAGCATGTGTGTGGCAGAGCTGGGCTACGAACCCAGAGGGTCTGATCTAAGAATGCCACTAGACACCATCACTTTCCAAGATTAAAAACCTGATAGAAAGGTCAGAACAAGAAACTCTAAGACAGAGATGCTTAAGAAAAGCTAAACAACATGTTTCTTGTGGGTGTCTTTTAGATCCGAGATGGGCTGGTGAAGCTGAGTCAGCGCATTTTGGGACCCTGTACCATTGTCCAGGGAGCTCTGAAAAGCATCCTATGTCGCACCCCGGGAGAGTTTTACCACAACACTCTGAGCTTCCTCAAGGTAAGGGCAGCTCCTGCCCTCCACTTTGGGAGTTTGGGAGTCAGAGAATGCCGCCCGTGGAATTAGGAATAATTGGTTCTCCTTTCTGGAGCCATGTTCCAATATTAGGAGACGGCATCGGTGTAAGCATCCACACACACGTTTCTCACTTCCGGCCATTCTCTCTGCCCCTGGTGAAAAGCTTCAAGTAATAGAGCTTTTTCTTTTTCACTCCTTATGCCAGAACATCACACCTACGTTCCCACTCTTCAATGAGGGGGCTATTTTTAATGACTTGGCTTTTCTTTTACTTAAATTTTGATCCTTGATTTCTCCTTGCCTCTTCTTGTAGTCCAATGCTGATCTCTGTTATGGGGCGTTGGCTGCCATCCCTGGACTCCGGCCAGTCCGCCCTTCTGGGGCTATGTACCTCATGGTGAGTATGTGGGTGGCAGGCACTAGGTCAATGCATGTTGTAAGGCAAAGGGCAGTCATTCAGCAGAATTGCCACAGGCAGTCACGCAGGGTACAAAGACAACCAGCTGGCCTCCTAAGCCAAGCAGTTTAGGAGTTGTCTTATTCTGAATTGTCCCACTGAGGTAATTTAGCCTCTATCAGTTCTCATAAAACTCTTTAAATGACTTAATTAGGCAGGGCATGGTGGCTCACGCCTGCAATGCCAGCACTTTGGGAGGCCAAGGTGGACGGATCACTTGAGCGCAGGAGTTAGAGACCAGCCTGGGCAACATGGTGAAACTCTATTGTCTCTACAAGAAATAAAAAAAATGAGCTGGGCGTGGTGGCACACTCCTGTAGTCCTAGCTCCTTGGGAGGCTGAGATGGAAGAATGACTTGAGCCTTGGAGGTTGAGGCTGTAGTGAGCCATAATCGTGCCACTGTACTCCCGTCTGGGAGACAGAGTGAGACCCCATCCGAAAAGAAAAAAAAAAAAGATTTAATTTTTCAGTACAGAGAATCATTTTATATATGTAGATACAGGGAAGATTTAAAACACAAATAAGAGGCTTTTCATACCATTGTAATTCTCAACTGGGAGTGATACTGGTTCCCTAAGGGTATCTGGGAATGTATGGGAATTTTGTTTGTTTTCAGAATGACTAGGGGCTGCCATTTTGTGGGTCAGGGATGTTAAATATCCTGCAAGGGGTGGGCTAGTCTCATGCCATAAAGAGTTGCCTGGCCCTAATGCCAGTAGTGTCTCTTTTGAGACATACTAGCATTCTATTTCCAGCTTTTATTTATCAGCATCAGGGAAGGAACTCTTTAATATTTATTAATAAAAATATATCCTGTCTTCCCTGAGAAAAATTCCATAAATATTAGCCCTCTTATTTATCAGTGATCAGTAGCACAGTTCCAAGATATCTTTTAAAGTAGCCCCTACCTTAATTTCTGGCACAGGAAATTGGCCTGTTCTCCCTCCTTCTGATAAGTTGGCCTCTCCCTCCTGTTGGTATAGGTTGGAATTGAGATGGAACATTTCCCAGAATTTGAGAACGATGTGGAGTTCACGGAGCGGTTAGTTGCTGAGCAGTCTGTCCACTGCCTCCCAGCAACGGTGGGTGCCTGTGTCCCTCAGGACATTCTCAACAGTTTCTAGAGCCCCAGAAGCAAGTTCTGAGCTGGTTTTTAGCCTGATCTTTTCTCCTCCAACAAAATGTCTTCTCATTTGATAAGATTCAAACTGATGTGTCTCATGGATCCTATTTAAAATTTGCTTCTCCCCCCCATCATAATCCCATCCATACTGGGAAGAAAAGTTGTAAACAAACGTTCTAGGTGAGAGGAAATTGATCCTGTCCCACAAGTCATTTTAAGATGAATGAACTCAGTTGCTGACTTAGCATCCCAGTCATGGGAGCTGAATGAACTGATGGCCCTGATGAAATGGTACCACTTCTTGTGGATCAGGGTCCTGACCATTTTAGGGTGGTCCAGTACCAGACTCAATTGCTCTGAAAGTAACAGACTCTTCTTTTTGCAGTGCTTTGAGTACCCGAATTTCATCCGAGTGGTCATCACAGTCCCCGAGGTGATGATGCTGGAGGCGTGCAGCCGGATCCAGGAGTTCTGTGAGCAGCACTACCATTGTGCTGAAGGCAGCCAGGAGGAGTGTGATAAATAGGCCTGCATCCATTCTCCTGAGGATGTGTCCCATCTAGGGAAGGCTGGACTAGGCCTTGCGGCTCCTCAGGGACTCAGGTGGCCCTACTGGGAGAGGGGCCTCAAATGCACCATGTCAAGGGTTCAAGATTGTTCCTGCTTTTCCCCAAGTACAACCACACCCACACTCAGATCCTCCTCATTCACATCGCAGATTCTCCCTTGCTCTGCGCTGCTAGAGTGACTCACTAATTCATTAATCTGCCTCCCTCTCGTAAGATTTCCTTCTTTTTTTCTTGAAAGTACCAGGTGAACAAAGTTTACCAGAAAGCAGTTGAGACAAGAAAATAAGAGCTCAGGATGAGGGAAAAGAAAAAGATTGAGAGAATTTGTGCCCCCAACCATTTCCTCAGACTCTAAGAAAGAACACGCTCTCTCCAGGCAGGTCTGAAGCTCAACTCTCTTATTGCCTCACTTCAGGTATACCTCACTTTACACAATAGAATTATAACTGGAAAGAAGTTGGGGACACATGTATTTGGTGATTACATTTTAAACACATTAGGAAAAGTTGCTATTTGAACTTTTTATTGATTTTTGGGGGGAGTAAAGAATTATTTTGTGATGCAAATAAATATCCTTTAATTGATCGACTTGCCAAATTTAGATTTGTGTGCATCAGGCTTTCTTTTTTTTCTTTTTTTAGAGAAGTTCAATATAAGCTTTTCTTTTCTTTGTTTCTTTCTTTCTTTATTTTGAGATGGAGTCTTGCTCTGTCGCCCATGCTGGAGTGCAGTGGCGCGATCTCGGCTCACTGCAACCTCCACCTCCTGGGTTCAAGCGATTCTCTTGCCTCAACCTCCCAAGCAGTTGGGACTACAGGCGTGAGCCACCATGCCCGGCTAATTTTTGTATTTTTAGTAGAGACAGGGTTTCACCATGTTAGCCAGGCTGGTCTCAAACTCCTGACCTCAGGCAATCTGCCCGCCTGGGTCTCCTAAAGTACTGGGATTACAGGCGTGAGCCACCTCGCCCAGCGGCATCAGGCTTTCTTAAAGTGAGAGCACGCCTGTACTAGAGCAAGCAGGAATCAGAGACCTTCCAGAAATACTACTGTGTAAGGGCCAGAAATATCTTCACTTGTCATTGTTATATAATCATTATTACTTTTGCTGTAATGTTAATATTGATTTATTAATATATATTATCTTTTCATACATTTTCTAAGAAACATTTATATTGATAAGATCTTTTATTTTGCCAAGGGCATAAATTATTGTTTTTCTTTTTTTTTTTTTAATAAATTTCACCAAGTATGGCTCTTCTGTGATGTGTTTTTTTCTCCGTTTGGGAATTTCTAATCCCAGGCACTCCTCAGTCTCATTGTTTCATTACCTATGAGGTTTCATTTACTTCTTTGTAAATGTACTGACTTTTGGAGTTACTTAAGAACCACAGTTCCTAAAACATTTTATTTGGGAGCTCAACTTCTGGCTTCCTACTTACCAAGAGGCAGTAAGTTATAACCTCTGGCCTTTGTCTTTACATTTTCAACTTTCTGGATCCCTAACCTCTGGTCCCAAGTTACTACGCTTGCCTATATCCACTAACCACTCACTAGGTCACAAAGTTGATGGCTCTGGCTTGACCCAGTGAATGAGAAGTGTCCTAGATGTTTTTTTTTTTTTTTTTTTTTCGCAAATCTTCATAGGCACAGTTGCCTGTTTAATTTTTTCTTCAGCCCTTCCCTTAGAGGAGGGAGCCTTAAGTTACCTTTCAAGGTTGGGGGTTAGGAATCTATCATAACTAGTCTAGAGATTTCTCACCAAGGGAAATTTTCCTTATCTAAAAGAGGAACTTCAGGTCTCAACCCTGCCAGTCACACCCAATTAATGTCCTTCACAAAAATAAACAGCATATGTTCCCTTTCAATTTGAGTTCAGTGAGCTCACAGCAAAATTTACCTTTTAATTTTCTTCAGCAAATCCAAGACGAATATACAAAGGATGAGATTAGATAAAGATTTCAGTTTCCCGTATGCCACCGCTGCCGCCAATTTTCCAAAAAAGCCTGGCTCCTCTTTTCCTGTTCCTCCATCCAAGCCCCCAAAGATCTCTAACCAGAAATAAACAGGAAGACTCAGTGATTTACAAAAGACATTTTAGTTTTACACGTACAGAAAATTCTACCCAGCATTACAGAATTCTTAGACTTCTTAAATTCCTGATTTTCCTTGGTATTTACATTTTGATAAGGGAGCCAATGGTTCTTCAAACATTTGAAAAGAACACATACACACTGGACAATTTCAAACGATACAAACAAACGCAACTGTCCTTCTTTCTCATTCCTGTCCTTCAGCCACCCAGTTTCTTCTCCCCTGAGGGAATCAGTTATCATTTGCTGGTCATACTTCCAGATTATACTGTGCCTATGTAAGTGTGTGTGTGTGTGTGTGTGTGTGCACTTTTCATTTTTTCAAATAAAGTATTACTCAACTTTGTAATTCTGCGCGCTCTGGAGGTCAAAGGAGGGATGGCATTGCTGGGGTGTCCCCCACATCCTGAGTGTCTCTAGATAAAAAGGAGCTACCGGGCGGCGGCTGCTTTCCACACAAGCTTAAAATTGCCAAGAGTCAACTGCCAGTTGCTTTGGGTGGTGGCGTCAGAGTGTCTTCAGATAACACGAAGAATGCGTGTAAAGATCGGAGACGGCCGGGCGCGGTGGCTCACGCCTGTAATCCCGGCACTTTGGGAGGCCGAGGCGGGCGGATCACGAGGTCAGAAGTTTGAGACCATCTTGACCAACTTGGTGAAACCTCGGCTCTACTAAAAATACAAAAATTAGCCAAGCGTGGTGACGCGCGCCTGTAATCCTAGCTACTTAGAAGGCTGAGGCAGGAGAATCGCTTGAACACCGGAGGCAGAGCTTGCAGTGAGCCGAGATGGCGCCACTGCACTCCAGCCTGGGTGACAGAGCGAGACTCCATCTCAAAAAAAAAAAAAAAAGGACCGGAAACAAGGGCTCTCAGCTGCGAATTCACCTTTTCTTTGTGTCCGAGCCCCGCCTACCGGGTAACTGGAGAGTATCAGGACTGGGTGCTACCAAGCGCCTCACAGCAGCCCCCAGCCGACACCAACATCCCAACCCTGGGCGACCCGCGGCTGCGCAGGCGCGGATGCATGTTTAGGGGGCTGCGCTAGTCAGTGCGCATGCGCCGTCGCTAGGCAACAGGACACAGCTCCGGGCGCCGGCGTAGAATCTGAGCTGCAGGTGAGGGTTAGTTCCTTTATTCGGCCTCTGCGTTCTCTTAGGATGTTACATTTTGTTTCCTTTTTCAGCCTGTCTACCCTGGTCACACCCTGCTTCGAGTTTCTCTTCCTCCTTTGCCCCCGGTTTGGGCTCTGACTGGTGGAATTGTTCCAGGAAGTTGACAAAACATCCTAGGCTTTTGTAATCACCTGTTAACCTTTCCCAGCTCTGGATCAGAAGCAGCAACTTCCATGAGTTGTGACGCAGAGCAGACAATTCTATTAGCTGGTGTTAGTTTCCAATGGTATAGCCCCTTGGAACTTTTCTCCAAAGAATCGTGGCCCTCACCGTCCGCAGTGCCTGACATTAGGATCTCTACTCAGCCAGAAAAATAAATCCACCCCCGTGCCTTTGTCAAAGACAAAGCAGGACAGTAAAGCGGTTGAGACAGGTTTTAACCAGTAATATACTAATGGAATAAGGAGGAGTCCAGCACGAACTGAACTCAACTTTGATTTGTACAAATGTTACTCAGACTTTAAAGGAAAAATGGGGAAATAGGGAAGGGGAGAGGAATGAGGGGGCGCTCAGAAGAGTGAGGGAAGTGAAAGATTACAAAAAGTGCGAAGTAGGGGTTAGTCCATGTGAAACCCATCTGGGTTTGTTAAAGGGTGTTTCTGGAAGTTAGGCTTTTATCCTCCTACAGATGCTGGGAGATAGGAGCCATATCTTAAGGTGTTGGCTGGAACAGTAAATTCCTTTGGCAGCCTGAGTTTTTTTAGGCAGGCCCTTTAAAGCGGGGCTGGAGTCATCCTAGAGATGCTACCTTGAACTGTTAGAGACTGTGTTAGAGTTTTGTTCAAGTCTGTTGAGGCCTAGTCCACAAATGGCTCAGAGGAACCTGGCTAGAGTTTGGTCAAGGAGAGAATTTTTGTTACTCCGCATATTCTGCACATTATTCTGTGTGAGGTGTTGTATTTTACGTACCCTGAAGTTTGAATTATTGCATATATGTTGGAAAAGAACTGAATTCTCAGTACATATTATTTATATCCTTATTTATTTTAAACAATTTAGGTTTATTTACAAACAAGTTTCATATAATGTTATAGAACCTGCAAATACAGATGCTCTCTATAGGCCAAATTGTTTCACAGCACCTTCCAAAGAGGCAGTCAGTCATTTGCTAAGGTTAAGGTTGAAGCTGTATAGGAGGTGATGCCCAATTCCTCAAAGAAAACAATAAACAGAAGAACTAGCACATGTGTGTCTTAATTTTTGTGTGTTTCAAATGTAGAAAAGAATTATTGGTCTTTAACTCATTTGATAGCCTAAATTTAATGTATTTTTACGTTATACCATATTTAAAAAGTAAAGCTGTGGGAGTGTTCCCTTTGGCAGTGCATATTCTAAAATTGGAACAATACAGAGAAGATTAGCATGGTACTAGCAAACCAAATTCAACAGTATGTTACAAGGATTATACACCATGATCAAGTGGGATTTATTACTGAGATGCAACATATAAAAATCAATCAATATAATATGCCACATTAACAGAATGAAGGACAAAAACCACATGATCATCTCAACTGATGTAGAAAAGTTAGTTGACAAGATTTGACACCTTTTCACGATAGAAACACTCAACAAACTAGAAACAGAAGGAACCTACCTCAAGATAATAATAAGGACCATCTATGAATAGCTTGTATCGGCCAGGCAAGGTGGCTCACGCCTGTAATCCTAACACTTTGGGAGGCCGAGGTGGGTGGATCACCTGAGGTCAGGAGTTTGAGACCAGCCTGGACAACATGGCGAAACCTCATCTCTACTAAAAATACAAAAATTAGCCAGGCGTGGTGGCACATGCCTGTAGTTCCAGCTACTCAGGAGGCTGAGGCAGGAGAATTGCTTGAACCCAGGAGGCAGAGGCTGTAGTGAGCCAAGATCGTGCCACTGCACTCCAGCCTGGGTGACAGAGCAAGACTCCATCTCCAAATAAAGAAAGAAACAAAGAAAGAAAAGAAAAGCTTATATTTAACTTCATACTCAATGGTGAAAGACTAAAATCTCTTTTTCTAAGATCAGGAAAAAAGCATGGATGCCCACTTTCACCACTTTGATTCAACATAGTATTGGAAGTAGTGGCCAGAGCAATAAGACAAGAAAAAGAAATAAAAGGCATTGTGTTGCAGGAAGTCAGGGACCCCAAATGGAGGGACCAGCTGGAGCTGAGGCAGAAGAACATAAATTATGAGGATTTCATGGACATTTATCAATTCCCAAAATTAATACTTTTAAAGTTTCTTACGCCTGTCTTTACTGCAATCTTTGAACATAAATTGTGAAGATTTCATGGACATTTATCACTTCCCTAATAATACTCTTATAATTTCTTATGTCTGTCTTTACTTTAATCTCTTAATCCTGTTATCTTTGTAAGCTGAGAATGTACGTCACCTCAGGACCACTATTGTACAAATTGATTGTAGAACATGTGTGTTTGAACAATATGAAATCTGATTGTAAAACAGGTGTGTTTGAACAATATGAAATCAGTGCACCCTGAAAAAGAACAGAATAACAGTGATTTTCAGGGAACAAGGGAAGATAACCATAGGGTCTCACTGCCTGCGGGGTCAGGCAGAATACAGCCATATTTTTCTTCTCACAGAAAGCCTATAGACGGATGTGTGAGTAGGAGAAATACTGCTGAATTCTTTTCCCAGCAAGGAGTAACCCTGGGGAAGGAATTCATTCCTGGGGGTAGGTCTATAGACGGCCGCTCTGGGAGTGTCTGTCTTACGCCGTTAAGATAAGGACTGAAATACGCCCTGGTCTCCTGCAGTACCCTCAGGCTTTGGGAAATTCCAGCCTGGTAAATTCTAGTCAGACCAGTTCTCTGCTCTTGAACCGTGTTTCCTGTTAAGATGTTTATCAAGACAATGTGTGCACAGTGGGACATAGACCCTCATCAGTAATTCTAATTTTGCCTTGCCTTGTGATCTTTATTGCCCTTTGAAGCATGTGATCCTTGTGACCTACTCCCTGTTTGTACACCCCCTCCCCTTTTAAAATCCCTAATAAAAACTTGCTGGTTTTGCGGCTCGGGGTCATCATCACGGTCCTACCAATATGTGATGTCACCCCCAGAGGCCCAGCTGTAAAATTCCTCTCTTTGTACTATTTCTCTTTATTTCTCAGACCAGCCGACACTTAGGGAAAATAGAAAGAACCATGTTGAAATATTGGGGGCTGGTTCCCCCAGTAGCATTCAAATTGGAAAGGAAGAAGTAAAATTATCTTTGTTCACAGATGACATGATCTTATATGTAGAAAACCTTAAAAGATTCCACAAAAACTCTGTTAGAACTAATAACCAAATTCAGCAAAATTGTAGAATACAAAATTGATATGCAAAAGTCAGTTGCTTTTCTATACACTAACAATGAACAATCCAAAAAGAAAATTAAGAAAACAGTTCCACTTACAACAGCATCGAAAAGAATAAAATACTTAGGAATAAACCTAAGCAAGGAGGTAAATTATTTGTACAATCAGCTGGGCATGGTGGCTCATGCCTGTAATCCCAGCACTTTGGGAGGACAAGGTGGGTGGATCACGAGGTCAGGCATTCGGGACCAGCCTGATGAACATGGTGAATACCCATCTCTACTAAAAATACAAAAATTAGCTGGGCATGGTGGTGCACACCTGTAATCCTAGCTACTCAAGAGTCTGAGGCAGGAGAATTGCTTGAACCCATGAGGTGGAGGCTGCAGTGAGCTGCAATCATGCCACTGCACTCCAGCCTGGGTGAGAGAGCAAGACTCTGTCTCAGAAAAAAAATAAAAAGATTTGTACAATCAAAACTACAAAACATTGCTGTAAGAAACTAAAGGAGACACAAATAAATGAGAAGGCGTCCCATTCTCATGGATTGCAGTACTTAATGCTGTGAAGATATTCATGCTGCCCCAAGTGATCAATAGATTTCAACACAATCCATATCAAAATCCCAATAGCATTTTTTTTCAAAATAGAAAAAAATCACCCTAAAATTCACACAAAATCTCAAGGGACCCTGAATAACCAAAAAAAATTTTGAAAAGGAAGAATAAAGTTGAAGGAGTCACACTTTCTGATTTCAAAAGATATTACGAAACCACAGTAATCAGAACAGTGTGGTACTGGCATAAAAACAGATAAATGGGCCAATGAAATAGAATAGCCAAGAAATAAACCCTTGTATATATGGTCAAATGATCTTTGACAAGGGTGCCAAGATGACTGAATGGGGAAAGAAAAGTGTCTTCAACAAATGGTTTTGGGAAAACTAGATATCCACATGCAAAGGAAACTGGGCCCTTATATTACACCATATATAAAAATTAACTCAAAATAGACTAAAGACCTAAATGTAATACCCCAAACTATAAAACTCCTAGAAGAAAACATGGGAGGAAAGCTTCATGATACTGGATTTGGCAATGATTTCTTGGATATGACACCAAAAGCATAGGCAACAAAAGGAAAAATGGAACTTAAAAACCTTTGTGCATCAAAGAACATAATCAAAATGAAAAGGCATTTTCTTCTGCCTATGGAATGGGAGAAAATATTTAAAAATTATATATCTGATGAGGCATTAACATTTAGAATATATAAAGCACTCCTGCCACTCAACAACAAAAAAGTCAAATGACCCAACTTAAAAAGGCACTTGAATAGGCATTTCTCCAAAGATACCCTAACTCATTTCTCTCAAGTTCAAAGTTCAACAGGTCCCTGGAGCAGGGGCACAATGCTGCCAGTCTCTTTGCTAAAGCATAGCAAGAGTAACCTTTACTCCAGTTCCCAATAAGTTCTGTGAAAGAAAAATACACTTTGGGGCCCCAAAATTGCTAAGCTAAAGGGAAAAGTCAAGCTGAGAACTGCTTATGGCAAACCTGCCTTTCATTCTATGCAAAGTCATCCTTATGCACAATGAGATAAATGCATATCTGATTGTCTCCTTTGGAAAGACTAATCAGAAACTCAAAAGAATGCAATCATTTGTCTCTCACTTACCTGTGACTTGGAAGCCCCCTCCCTGCTTGAGTTGTCCCACCTTTCCAGACAGAACCAATGTTTATCTTACATATATTGATTGATGTCTCATGTCTCATGTCTCCCTAAAATGTCTAAAACCAAGCTGTGCCCCAGCCACCTTGGGCACATGTTGTCAGGACCTCCTGAGGCTGTGTGATGGGTGTGTGCCCTCAACATTGGCAAAATAAACTTTCTAAATTTACTGAAACCTGTCTCAGATATATTAGTTTCACAGTACCTCATCTTCATCTGAGACCTCCTCAGCCTGGACTTCACTGTCCATATCACCATCAGCATTTTGGTCACAACCATTCAAGAAGTCTGTAGGAAGTTCCAAACTTTCTCCCATCTTCCTATCTTCTGGGCCCTCCAAACTGTTCCAATCTCTGCCTGTTATCCAATTGCAAAGTTGCTTACACATTTTCAGGTATCTTTATAGTAATGCCCCACTTCTATAGTACCAATTTTCTGTATTAGTGCATTCTCACACTGCTATGAAGAACTACCTGAGACTGGTTAATTCATAAGGAAAAGAGGTTTAATTGTGCTCACAGTTTTGCAGGCTGTATAGTTTTCTGCTTCTGGGGAGGCCTCAGGAAACTTACCACATGGCAGAAGGTGAAGGGGAAGCAGGGACATCTTCACATGGCCAGTGGGAGTAGGAGGAGGTTCTACACACTTTTAAACAAGCAGATCTTGGGAGAACTCTATCACAAGAACAGCAAGGGGGAAGTCCACCTCCATGATTTAATCACCTCTCACCAGGCCTGTCCTTCAACACTGGGAATTACAATTCGACATGAGATTTGGGTGAGGACACAGAGCCAAATCATATTACTCATAGAGACAGAAAATAGATTAGTTACTTCTAGAGCTAGAGGTGAGGCCATATGTGGGAGATGGAGAGAGATGGCTAATGGGTACAGAGTTTCTTTTTGGAGTGATGAATATATTCTAAAATTGATAATGGTGATGGTTACACAACTTTAAAGAAAGTAAAAACCATTGAATTGTACAATTTAAGTGGGTTGAGTTGTGTGGTATGTAGATCATGTCTCAGTAATACTGTTTTTTTTGTGTGAGTGGAAAAAAAGATATAAAGGAGTCAGACTTTAGGGAGATCAACTCAAATATCTGTGTGGCATTTAAAGGATTTTTAGGTTTTTAAAGAAAAGAAAAAGCATGTAAGATTGCCAGTTTGTAGCTATCTGTTCATGGTGGAAAACAGTAACTTTTTCTCATGTTCATCCTAGTCACAAACATTGTGATGTTACTTCAGACATAATCATTCTAAAAGGCAGAGATAACTTCAGTTTTTTAAAGATAAGGAGTGCACACTTGCAGGAATTAGTTTGGGGACTAGAACTAGATGGGGTGACCTCATCATTGTTGTTTCATTTAAGGGTACAAAGTGCTTATTTTTCCTGACTCTGGTATTTCATAATGGAAGCAGGGCAAAGTGTCAGTTGGGCTTCCACACTGGGAGCAATAAGAAATTTCTAGAAAAACATCTGAGATGTTTCTGTAAATAGCAGAATTAGCATGTGTGATAAACTAGTGGTTTTTACACTTTTTCGTTCATGTGTTCCCTAAAATAATTTAGAATTCTTGACTGAAAATTCAAACATATATAAAAGTAGAAGCAGTAGTATAATTAGCACCAATATACCCATCACTCAGATTTAATGACTCTCAAGATATTGCCATTTTTGTTCCTTCCTTCTTTTTCTTGTTTTCTTTGCCAAAAGATTGTAAAGCAAATCCTGGACATCGTTAGTTCTCCCCATACGCCTCAGTACACATCTCTAAACACATAATTTCTTAACCACAGTGCCACATCACATCAAATAGTAAGATATTTTTGGTTGCCTCCAAAATGTCTTCTTATAGTTGGTTTATTTGGATCAGGATTCAAACAAAGTTTAAACATTACTTTTTAGTTTTATGTCTTAAGCTTAAATATCTCTTACTCTAGAGAAGGCTCCTGTTTTTTTTTTTTTCTTTTCATACCATTGACTTGTTGCAGGAATGGCTGTCTTACAAAATGTTCTACATTCTGGATATGTTTGTTGGCTTCCTTGTGGTGTCATTTAACTTGTTCATTTAACTAGAGCATGCATTTTTCAACAGAGATGATATTGGATATTTACTAGAAATTTACCTTCTTTTTTTTGTTGTTGAAACAGGATCTTGCTCTGTTGCCCAGACTGGAGTGCAATGACATGATTACAATCATAGCTCGCTGCAGCCTTGACCTCCTAGACTCAAGTAATCTTTCCACCTCAGCCTTCTGAGTGGCTCGGACCATAGTTACATGCCAACATGCCTGCCTAATTTGTGTATTTTTTGCAGAGATGGGGTCTCACTATGCTGCCCAGGCTGGTCTCCTGGGCTCAAATGATCCTTCTGCTTTGGCCTCCCAAAGTGCCAGGATGATTTTCTTTCTTCATCTTGTATTTCTGTTTTATGTTTTACCCCAGTTTTATGTTAACGTTATCCTTATCTTTGAAAGTATTTTATTGATCATACTTCTTTGCCACAAAAATACTGACTGATATGGCAGGTTGCTAGAGGTTCCCCAATGACTTTCTCTCCTTGTAGTATTAAAACTGCTGATGGGGCTGGGCGTGGTGGCTCACGCCTGTAATCCCAGCACTTTGGGAGGCCAGGGGGGCAGATCACCTGAGGTCAGGAGTTCAAGACCAGCCTGGCCAACATGGTGAAATCCCATCTCTACTAAAAATACAAAAATTAGCCAGGTGTGGTGGCAGGCACCTGTAATCCCAGATACTGGGGAGGCTGAGGCAGGAGAATCGCTTGAACCTTGGAGGCGGAGGTTGCAGTGAGCCGAGATCGCACCATCACACTCCAGCCTGGGGGACGAGAGCAAGACTTTATCTCAAAAAACAAACAAATAAACAAAACAAAACAACGACAACAAACTGCTGATGGAATGGATCAGGATCACTTTTCAGTGAATTTCTCAACTTTGGGGTTTCCAGACCATACAGGTAGGTTACATTTGAACACTAAACCCATGTAAAGGAATGCCTATGCTTACAAACTGTCATGGGAGAGTTTTCTTTTTTCTTCCCAGGGGCCAGAATAAGAAAGATTTCTTTATAATCCATCTTGTTACTCAGCCTTAACATTTGGAAGGGCTTGGCTTTGTGGAGAGGTCTAAATTTTAAATCCCTGCCTTACATGGGTCTAAGTCCTCCTCCACTAGTGTTAAACTCTAAACCCATGATTACTGAGATGTTACCAGCATAAGCATACTCTTATTTTCCAAATTTTCAGGCCCCTCTTTGTTTTTGCTTCTTTGGGGATTCTGTTACTCTCTTGCAAGCTTGGCTCTGAATTTGAAAATACGTTTGTTAGATTTTATCCATCATATCTAGATGTTTTGAAGCCCAAACATTTTCATATGATCTTTCTTGTGATGTTGCTTTGGAAGTCTCCATACTTCTCTTACATCTCTCCATCCTGATGTTTCCTCCTTCCGTTCTCCCCCTGCCCAAAATCTTTGTTCCATAGCAGGTACAATTATCTGCCATCATCAAACTGGTTACTTCTTTGCCTTAACTGTAACTTCGCTCTTCCCCTAAAGTCACTGTTTGTTCTTTTTTTTTTGAGACAGAGTCTCGCTCTCTTGCCAGGCTGGAGTGCAATGGCACCATCTCAGCTCAGGGCAACCTCTGCTTCCCAGGTTCAAGCAATTCTCCTGCGTCAGCCTCCCGAGCAGCTGGGATTACAGGTGCGTGCCACCACACCCAGCTAATTTTTGTATTTTTAGTAGAGACAGGGTTTCACCATGTTGGCCAGGATGGTCTCGATCTCCTGACCTCATGATCTGCCTGCCTTGGCCTCCCAAAGTGCTGGGATTACAGGCGTGAGTCACTGCACCCGGCCAACTCACTGTTTGAAATAGCTTTTTTTCCCACATAGCCCAGACTCTAACTTATTGTCTTTTTTCATATCTATACTCCCCCAGACTCACACAATAACCAGCTTCCTTTAAAACATGTGCTGAATTACTTTATATCCTTTCTGTGCACACTCCCTTATTTATTTAGGGCCTGATACATGGGAAATTTCAACACTTGGGAAATTTCAACATCTCTGTGGATAGCCTCACCCACACTCTAACCTCAAGGCCTCTTGCTTATTCCAAACATGAGGAGCTGTACAATCTACCCCACAATGGCCCCACTCCCAAAGCCACACCTGTGTTCCTTGTCATCACTTGAACTAGACTATTTTAGGATTATTAATCCCTAACATGTAATTTACTAACTGCAAGCTGCTCACCCTCCAACTGGCTCACAATCTGACACCTGGACATTTTACAGCCCTTTAATCTCTTCAAACATTTCCCAAGTCCATTAACTCCCTTGCATTGTTACACTTCTTTTTTGCCTCATGGTGCTGTACTCTGCCCACATTCCTGCCAGCGACCTCAACTTCTTAGCTTCCTTATTCCACAGCATCTACTGTGCACAGCCTCTACCTGGGATTAATCTGATCCTGAACCTTCTCAATTTCTATACTTAAAGTAAAAATAAAGGTAAATGGGTGCCACTGGTACACGGTCTCTGGCCTCGCTAGGGCCTCAGCACTGTTTTGGCAATCCCTTTACAAACACTGGACCAGTGCTTCCTTGAGTTGAAGATGGCAGGCCCATAGAATGAGAGGAGCCGGGTGCTTCAATTACTGCTCCGAGAAGAGCTATTTACTGACCATGTTGGTCTTCATTTGAGCAAGAAAACACTTCAATTGTGTTTGAGCCATCAAGCTTTTGGTATCTGTTTGTTGTAACAATTACCATTACTTTAACAAATACAATGAGATACCATTTTAAAATTTTAATTTTCATCAGCAATAAGAGAAAATGTTATTTTATTTATTTATTTTTTTGAGATGGAGTTTCGCTCTTGTTTCCCAGGCTGGAGTGCAATGGCGCAATCTCGGCTCCCCGCAACCTCCGCCTCCCGGGTTCAAGTGATTCTTCTGCCTCAGCCTCCCGAGTAGCTGGGATTACAGGCATGTGTCACCACGCCTGGCTAATTTCGTATTTTTAGTAGAGAGGGGGTTTCACCATGTTGGTCGGGCTGGTCTCAAACTCTGGACCTCAGGTGATCTGCCCACCTCGGCCTCCTAAAGTGCTGGGATTACAGGTGTGAGCCACCCGCCCGGCTGAGAAAATATTATTTAAAACCAGCAATACAAAATTTAATTTCTTCTTCTTTTTTTTTTTTTTTTCAGACAGGGTGTCACCCTGTCACCCAGGCTGGTCTCGAACTCCTGACCTCAAGTTATCCTCCCGCCTCAGCCTCCCAAAGTGCTGGGATTACAGGTGTGTGCCACCACACCTGGCCTAGGAAATGTCCTTTCATTTTTGCTTCTCATCTCCCTGGTCCTACCTGCCTTATCCCCTATAGGGCTCACTATTTTTAGTTTCTCATGTATTCTTGAGAGTTTCTCTACAAGTATATAAGCAACTTTGAGTATAGTTTTATTTTCCCTTAAAACAAAACATAGTGTGTAATCACAATTTTATACTTTCCTTTTATTTCTTCTTTTCCTTCTCCTTCCTCTTCCTCTTTCTTTTCCTCCTTCTCCTCCTCCTCCTCTTCCTCCTCCTCCTTCTTCTTTGCCTTGCTCTGTTGCCCAGGTTGACGTGCAATGGTGTGATCATAGCTCACTGCAGCCTTGAACTCCTGGGTCAAGTGACTCTCCTGCCTCAGCCTCCCAAGTATCTGAGACTACAGGCATGTGCCACCACGTTTAGCTAATGTTTTTGCATTTTTTTTTTTTTTGATGGAGTCTCGCTCTGTCGCCCGGGCTGGATTGCAGTGGCATGATTTCGGCTCACTGCAAGCTCCCCCTCCTGGGTTCATGCCATCCTCCTGCCTCAGGCTCCCAAGTAGCTGGGACTACAGGTGCCCACCACCACGCCCGGTTAATTTTTTGTATTGTTAGTAGAGACGGGGTTTCACCGTGTCAGCCAGGATGTTCTCAATCTCTTGACCTCGTGATCCACCTGCCTCAGCCTCCCAAAGTGCTGGGATTACAGGCATGAGCCACTGCACCTGGCCTTGTTGTTTTTAAATTTTTTAATAGAAATGGGGTCTTGCTATGTTGCCCCAGCTACTCACAAACTCCTGGCCTCAAGCAATCCTCCTGCCTAGGCTTCCCAAAGAGCTGGGATTACAGGTGTGAGCCACCATGCCCAGCTTGCCTTTTCGTCTTTAACAAAATATATTGGGGAATTGGGGAGTTTTCCGTATTTACACACAGAGAAATTTCTCTGTCTGTCCAGCTGCACAATATTCTATAGTATGGTTATACCATAATTTTTTGCCCATCAGTAAGAGATTGGTTGATAAGATGATTGCTTAATAAAGAAATTAGGGTGTACTTTGTTTTCTAGCCTTGGGGAACATGGGGACAGAAGCCCAAGGGAAGAGCAGCTTGTCCAAGAAGCAGTAGCAACAGACACGTGCCTGGAGGGAGTGTGATAGCATCTGCCACGTGGAGGAGAGCATGAGCCATTCTTCAGCACTAGAGAAGATGGCATTGCAGCCAGCAGGAATGTGGCATCATTCTGAAAGCAATGAGAATGACACTAATGCTGTCCCCAAGCTCACCACTTCCCTCTCAGGCCTTCACTCAACCCCTCTACTTCTTATTTCCAGTGTTTCTGCATTAACTACCACCTTCTTTTTAAGAACCAATGAATCCCAGAGGTTCCCATGGGCCAAATTCTCCCTTTCCAACACCATCTTAACCGTGCTTCAGTAAACATAAGTTGTCAACTCTCAAATGTGTGTCTCTAGTCTAGACTTCCCTTCTGAACTTTAGACTTGCACATCCAACTGCCTTCTCCCATCTGCACTTAGAGGTCGCTAAAGTTCCACCAATTCATCATTTCCACGCTCCCTCCAGGCACCTGTCTGTTGGCCACTGCTTCTTGGGCAACAAGATTCCTTAGGACTTTCTACACATAAGATTATGTCATCGGAAAATAGAGATAATTTTACTTGTTTCTTTCCAATCTGGGTGCCTTTTATTTCTTGCCCAATTTCCCTGGATAGAATCTCCAGTATGATATTGACTACAAAGGTGAGAGTAGACATCCTTGTCTTATTTTTGATCTTGGGGGAAAAACATTCATTCTTTCATCATTAAGTATGATGTTAGCTGTGGGTTTTTAATAGATGCTCTTTATCAGTTTGAGGAAGTTCTATTGTTGATTTTTAAATCATGAAAGGTTGCTAGATTTTGTCAACTGTCTTTCTGCATCTATTGAGATGGGTCAAGTGGTTTTTATCCTTTATTCTATTAACATAGTGTATTGTGTTAATTGATTTTACAATGTAAAACCAACCTTACATTTCTGGACAATTCCCAGTTGAAAATGGTGTATAATTCTTTTTACATGTTACTGGATTCCATTGACTAGTATTTTGTTGCTTTTACATCCATAGTCATAAGATATATTGGTATGTAGTTTTTTGTGTGATATGTTTGTCTGGTTTTTCTATCAGGGTAACATTGGCTTCTAGAATGAATTGGGAAATGTGTACTATTTTTCTGTATTTTGGAAGAGTTTGAGAGGATTCATAGAAATTCTTTAAATGTTTGTTAGAATTCACCAGCAAAGTCGCTTGGGCTATTCTTTATGAGAGCTTTTTTTTTTTATTAGACGGAGTCTCACTCTGTCACCAGGCTAGAGTGCAGTAGCGTGATCTCGGCTCACTGCAACCTCTGTCTCCCGGGTTCAAGCAATTCTCCTGCCTCAGCCTCCCAAGTAGCTGGGACTACAGCCGCGCACCACCACACCGAGCTAATTTTTGTATTTTTAGTAGAGACAGGGCTTCACCATGTTGGCCAGGATGGTCTCGATCTGTTGACCTAGTGATCTGCCCGCCTCGGCCACCCAAAGTGCTGGGATTACAGGCGAGAAATTTTAAATTACTAATTTAATCTCTTTACTTGTTATAGGTGTTTTCGGATTTTCTATTTCTTCTTGAGTTAGTTTTGGTAGTTTGTATCTTTCTAGGAATGTGTCCATTTCATCTAAGTTATCTAACTGGTTGTTTTTAGTATTCCCTGATAATTCTTTTTTATTTTTGTAAGGTCAGTAATAATGTCCCTCTTTCATTTCTGATTTTAGTAATTAGTCTGTTTTCTTTTGTTGGTCAGTCTAGCTAAAACTGTCTATTTTGTTGATCTTTTCAAAGAACCAAATTTGGTTACACTGATTTTTTTCTCTCTCCCACTTCTCACTCTCTATTTCCTTTATTTCTGCTCTAATTTTTATTGTTTCTCTCTCTTGCTCTCTCTCTCTCTTTTTTTTTTTTTTTTTGAGATAGGGTCTTGTTCTGTTGCCCAGGCTGGAGTGCAGTGGTGCAATCATGGCTCACTGCATCCTCGACCTCCCAGGCTCAAGTGATCCTCCCACTTCAGCCTCCTGAGTAGCTGGGACTGCAGGTGCACACCACCATCGCTGCTAATTTAAATTTTTTTTTTTTTTTTTTTTTAGAGATGGGGTCTCACTATGTTGCCCAGGCTGGTCTCAAACTCCTGGGCTCAGGTGATCCTCCTGCTTTAGTCTTCCAAGGTGCTGAGATTATAGGCATGAGCCACCATGCCTGGCCTATTGTTTCTTTCTTTCTTCTTGCTCTGGGTTGAGTTTGATTTTCTTTTCTTCTGTTTTCAAGGTGGAAGTTTAGTTATTGATTTGAGATTTTTCTTCCTTTTTTAACATTGATATTTACAGCTAAATATTTCCCTTTAAGCACTATTTTAGCTCTATCCCATAAGTTTTGGTATGTTATATCTTCATTTTCATTCATTCTTTTAAAAATATTTTCTATCTCTTTATTGATAATATTTGTTGGATGAGACATTGTCAACATACCTTCCTTTAATTCTTTAAGCATGGTGTCGTTTAGTTCTTTGAACATATTTATAACAGGGGCTTTGAAGTCTTTGTTAAGTCCAACATCTGGGCTCCTCAAAGGCATGTTCTATTGCCTGATTTTCCCCCTTTTTGTTTTTGGGTCACACTTTTCTATGTCTTTGCAAATCTCATAATTTTTGTTGAAAATTATGCATTTCAGATAAATTTTATAGATTCTGAATATTAATCACCCTCTCATCTGGGGCCCGTTATTTGCTTTTTTTTTTATTTCTTTAGTGACTTGGCTGGAACAGATTATTGAAATCCATTTCCCTCATAGTGTAATGTTGCTCCTTAGAGAGTGAAGCCTTGGCCATGCACATAGTCCCTCTGATGAGCTGAGATTACTGGAGTTTTAGCAGGGTTCTCTTTAATTATATTTTCTCTGGTCCCCTGTTAAGCTTCTTTCTGGTCTGACTTTCTCGGTAACATATCCAGCTGTTAGCTACCAATAACTGCTAGCTGGTTGCTCTATTTTTTTTTTGTAACAATGTCTGGGGCATAAATTGCTCCATCACCTGATTCAGCTAGTCAGGTCCCTTTGCTGGGGCGGTCTTTGAGGCTTGCTTCGAGCCCAGGAGGGCTCTGCTTAGCTGTCTCTTTCCCTGGTTCTCTGTTAAACTTCTAGCTGGTCTACCATTTTATTTGTTGCTAGTAGTTTAATGGAGCTAAGAGACTCCTCCTAATTGTTTACCACCAAAATCTCCAGTTTTTGACAGCACACTTAGGCATGAACTTCCTCACATTTTCCTCTAAGTACAGTAAGTCCTTTTATTTTATTTTATTTTATTTTATTCTATTTTATTTTATTTTAGACAATGTCTTGCTCTGTTGCTCAGGCTGGAGTGCAGTGGCACGACCTTGGTTCACTGCAACCTCTGTCTCCCGGTTTCAAGCGATTCTCTTGGATCAGCCTCCCGAGTAGCTGGGATTACAGGTGTGTGCCACCATGCCTGGCTAATTTTGTATTTTTAGTGGAGATGGGATTTTGCCATGTTAGCCAGGCTGGTCTCGAACTCCTGACCTCAGGTGATCCACCCCCGCTGGCCTCCCAAAGTGCTGGGATTACAGGCATGAGCCACCGCACCCAGCTCAGTAAGTCCTTTTTGAAAGAGTCTCTGAGCTCTCTATTCTTATGGCCTTCTCTCCCCCTGGACAGAATCTCTGCCACTACATCAGAGTCGGGGGGACAAGGAATGTGGTCCACTTCTTCTGAAATGATACACCTGCCTTGCTCCACAAGTGGAGCCTTGGATTTGGATGGTAGCCCCTAGTCTTTCTAGCCTGCGCCTCCTGGCATAAAACCTATGAGTGAGCTGGTGTGGAGGTAATTGAGACAATTTTCTGAGCCTTCTGTGCCTAGGAATAGCTTCTGCCATACAAGTGGGGACTGGGTTTTGGAAGGAAACCCCAGTTGAGTTCCCTGCCTCAACTTCTGAATAGTAAAAGAGCTTCTGAATAGTAATGGAAGGTGAAGTATGCTGAAAGAAAAGAGATGAGAGACCAGTTAGGGGGCTCTTGTAGAAGTTCAAGAGAGATTTGAGGTTGCTTTGGATTTGAGGTTGGATTAACACTGTAGCGGTAGAAATGGTGAGAAGTGGTCTGATTCAGGGTATATTTTGGAAGTTGAGCTCACAGGATTTGCTGATGGATAGAATGTAGAAGGTGAGAGAAAAGATCAAAGATGACTATTCCCCCAAGCCATTCCTTTAATCATACTTGGCCATTATGAGAGTGGAGAAAGAAAACAAGCCAGAAACTTTCTTCTTGGAGATTTGGCTAAAAACCAGGTTGTAAAGCAATCAGTCAGCAAGTATTTGCCAAGTGCTTGCAGGTGGCAATCGATTAGTTCATAAGCTTCACCCTGTGAACACATGTGTTACCGGAAAGGGGTCCTGATCCAGACCCTAAGATAGTATTCTTGGACCTCACGCAAGAAAGAATTCAGGGTGAGTCCATAGAGCAAAGTGAAAGCTAGTTTATTAAGAAAGTAAAGGAACAAAAGAATGGCTACTCCGTAGGCAGAAGAGCGGCATGGGCTGCTTGACTGAGTATACTTATAGTTATTTCTTGATCATATGCTAAACAAGGGGTGGATTATTCATGAGTGTTTCGGGAAAGGGGCAGGCAATTCCTGGAACTGAGGGTTCCTCTTCCCTTTAGACCATATAGAGCAACTT
Source organism: Homo sapiens (assembly GCF_000001405.40). NCBI lineage: Eukaryota > Metazoa > Chordata > Mammalia > Primates > Hominidae > Homo > Homo sapiens. Next base: position 71,548,671 of record NC_000016.10, on the reverse strand, counting down.
CCAGGTGTTGCCATGGCATTTGTCAGCTGTCATGATGCTGGTTGGAGTGTCTTCTAGCATGCTAATACATTATAATTCATGTATAATGAGCAGTGAGGATGACCAGAGGCCACTTTCATCACCATCTTGGTTTTGGTGGATTTTGGCGTGCTTCTTTACTACATCCTGTTTTATCAGCAGAGTCTTTATGACCTGTATCTTGTGCTGACCTCCTATCACATCCTGTGACTAGGAATGCCTAACCTCCTGGGAATGCAGCCCCATAGGTCTTAGCCTTATTTTGTCCAGCCCCTATTCAAGATGGAGTCACTCTGGTTCAAACACCTCTGACCCATGCAGCTCTTCAGAAAACCAGCCATAATTTTCAGCCTGTCTTGCCACAATATTATTATTAAAAATACAAGTCAACTTCAGTTTTCGAATCTCTGCTTTGCCCACCCCCTCACCTGCTACCTTACTCGACCCAGCACTTCTGAGCTGTTGGCTTTAAGATTCAGCTTCCCTTATTTCTCTCAAAGAGGAAACTTTTAAATGGTGGCTCTGTCTTATCTGGATCTGTAAGGATGTCACTGTGTTTCTCAGAGTAAAAGCTTCTGTTATTGGCTGAATATGCTTTTTTTCCCCCTAAATACTATATAAAGGATGAGCCCTTTACATATAATGCAGATAGAATCAAGGTCTTCATTCATTAAACAGACATTTATTGAGTGCCTACTATGTGCCAGGTACTATGCTAGGCATTGATTATACCGCAGCAAATAAGACAGTCTTTTCCCTCAGAGAGTTCAAAGAACATGCAAATTGAATGGTTTTATAACAGTGTGGTAAATGCTGTGATTATAGAAATCACACAGCAGTGGCTTCCCACAGGGAGTTGGGAGGCAAGGCAGGCAAGACTTTCAGAGATGTTGAAACTTGGAGGATCAAAAATATTAGCCAGAGAAGTTAGGAGTGGGACAAAGTAGGGTACTCCAGGTAGGAGAAATAGCATGATATAAAATCCAGAGGAAGGTGTGTATGTGGTAACTTGATAGATCTACAAATATGAGATGGGTAGAAAGTAGAGTCCAAGAAGGAGGGATAAGAGAGGGAGACAAGGGTCAGATAATGAATGCAGCTTTCTAAATGACATTAAGCAATTTAGACTTTCTGAATTTTTAAGACAGTGTAGATACTGGATTGATGTTGGCAGTTTGGAGGCAGGATGACAGACAGTGGTTCAGGGAAGAGGTGATGGTGGCAGGAACAAGGCAGGGAGGAGGAGGTTGAGGAAAAAGAGAAGCAGATGAACTTAAATGCTGACCAGGTAGAATCAACAGTTCTTGGTGAATGACTGGGGGAAGAAGTCAAGGGCAAAATCCAGGTTTTGGATTTGGCAACAAGTTGAAAGGTGGGAAAGAGACCCAGGAAGGATGAGGATGCTTGGCATGGTCTAGTCTGGAGGAGGGGGAAAATCATGAATGCAGTGTTTGGACACTGAATCTGAGGGTCTTCTGAGATGTCAAATCAGTGATAGGATATACAGATCTGGAACTCAGAGAAGCCTGAGCTGGGGATATACATTTGCAAGTCATCCACATACAAGTGGTGTTCAAAATCGTGGGCAGGGGTGAGATTGTCTAAAAGGAAAGCCTACAGTGAAAAAGAAGAGGCTGTTCTATGCCTGAGCCTTGAGGAACTCCAATTTTTAATAGCTATGCAGAAGAGAATCTTCTATAAAACACTGAGAAGTGTCCAGAGAAATGGAAGAAAAATTGGGATACAGTGTTTTAAGGAGAAAATGGTCAATAAGGTTAATTGTTGCCGAGCGTTCAGGTGAAATGAGAATTGGAAAATATCTGTTGGAGTGAGTGGGCACCATGGAATTTAATTTTTATTGTTTTCTGGAGCTGGTTCAGGGGACAGTAGGGAGCAAAATCCAGATTGGAGTGGGTTGAGGAGGAAATGGAAGGTAGAAAATAAGGCCCATGAATGTAGACAACGCTTTAGGGCAGTTTGGTCGTGAAAGTGAAGAGAGAGAGGCTAGTAGCTGTATCAGGATATAGGAACGAGGGGGATTTTTTTCAAGAAGGAAGATCATTAGGTTAAAAAAGCCAAAGAGAAGGATTTAGTGGAAGAGAAGTTCAGCAAAGAAGAAGTGAATATTAAAAATGTACAGTTCTTGAGAAGGTGGGAGAGGATGGAATGCAAAGCCGTGATGGTGGGACTGGCCGCCAACAGCATATGGAACATCTGTACCATGTGATAGAAGAGGAAAGACGGGCTATGAAGGGAATTTATACGTTTGGCATTGGAGAGTTAAGAAGTTGCTGTCTGTTAACTTTTTTTTCCCCACTAGGAAGGAGGAGAAGAAATGTGGTCGGAAGATGAGGAATGAGGTGGTCCATAAAGTGAGGTAGGTGATTATAAATTACATGTGAAGTAAACTTCCCTAGCGTGTGGGTCTCTGTATTTAACCTCTGCCTTCCAGGTTCATGCGATTCCCCTGCCTCAGCCTCCCGAATAGCTGGGACTACAGGTGCGTGCCACCATGCCCAGCTAATTTTTGTATTTTTAGTAGAGACAGGGTTTCACCATGTTGGCCAGGATGGTCTCAATCTCTTGACCTTGTGATCTGCCTGCCTTGGCCTCCCAAAGTGCTGGGATTACAGGCATGAGCCACCACACCCAGCCACTCTACTCCTTTCTTAATATAACTCCAGTTAAATTCAACATAATCAAGTTTTTCAAGTTTATTTGCATCCAGATTGCTTTGTGTGTGTTGCATCTGTAAAGGCCTCATAGCTTGGTTTATGATGCATCATAAAAGAACAGGGGGCCTTTTTTCCTTTTAACATGTTTCCATCTTCAGCACTTAGACATCGAAATCCATACTGATTTAGGGCAGAGCAAGAGCTAACCCTGAAATGTGCCTGTTTTTTTTTTTTTTTTGAAATAGAGTCTTGCTCTCTCCTTCAGGCTAGAGTGCAGTGGCGCGATCTCCACTCACTGCAACCTCCGCCTCCCGGGTTCAAGCGATTCTCCTGCCTCAGTCTCCTGAGTAGCTGGGATTACAGATGCCTGCCACCATGCCCAGCTAATTTTTGTATTTTTAGTAGAGTTGGAGTTTCATCATGTTGGCCAGGCTGGTCTTGAACTCCTGACCTCAAGTGATCCACCCATTTCAGCCTCCCAAAGTGCTGAGATTACAGGTATGAGCCACTGTGCTGGCCTGTACCTCGTTCTTCATGAAGAGCAGCATCATGTGCTTACTGCATGTGTTTTAATGAAATGTACGTTTCTGTCATTAAAACACAAACAATAAACTAGCCTCCTTATTGCCCTTTTAGGTCCATAAGAAGCCCGCTTGAAAACTGGTCATGGGGTGGGCACAGTGGCTCAAGCTTGTAATCCCAGCACTTTGGAGGGCTGAAGCAGGAGGATCACTTGAGCTCAGGAGTTCGAGACCAGCCTGGGCAACATAGGGAGACTCCCCCATCTCTACAAAAAAGTAAAAAAAAAAAAAGAAAACTAGCCAGGAAAGCAGGGCCAATGCCCATCCCACACGGTTAGGTTGAGGGTTGGGGATGGGGAGAGGACACTAGTCGTAGTTACTTGTATTGTTATTATTATTTTTTTTATTATTGAGAGAGAGTCGCCTGCTGTCACCCAGGCTGGAGTGCAGTGGTGCGATCTCAGCTCACTGCAAACTCTGCTTCCCAGTTTCAAGCGATTCTCCTGCCTCAGCCTCCCGAATAGCTGGGATTACAGGTGCCTGCCACCATGCCCGGCTAATTTTTGTATTTTTAGTATAGACGGAATTTCACCATGTTGGCCAGGCTGGTCTCTGATCTTAAGTGTTTCACCCGTCTCAGCCTCCCAAAGTGCTGGGATTACAGGCGTGAGTCACCATACCTGGCCACTTGTATTATTTTTTTACTACTACAACTAACTGACATTGTCATAGGTCTTTACAGTTTGAAAATTGCTCTCCTATGTGTGATTTGCTTAATCACAATTAATTATTGTTGAGCAAGGAACATAGTTGGGGGTTTGACAGATGAAAAGATATGTCGAGAAAAAAAGAGAGGGGCTGGGGAAGGAGCTGAAAAAATTAGGGACAGTGGATTAAATCATACATTCTCAAGGGAAGTGACCATGGAGTGGTAAAAGTTGGTTCTTGGGCAGGGGGCAAGAACCCTTAGATATTACAATGGTTTGTAGTCCTTCAAAGGGCTACAATACATAAACAAATCGACAGTATATTTGTTTTGTTTTGTTTTGTATTGAGACAGGGTCTCACTCTGTTGCCCAGGCTGGAATGCAGTGACACAATCACGGATCACTGCAGCCTCGACCTCCCAGGCTCAAGAGATCCTCCCTCCTCGGTCTCCTGAGTAGCTGGGACTACAGTGTGCACTAACACTGCTAGCTAATTTTTGTATTTTTTTTGTAGAGACAGGGTTTCACCATGTTGCCCAGGCTGGTCTTGAACTCCTGAGCTCAAGCGACCCACCTGCCTCAGCCTTCCAAAGTGCTGGGATTATAGGCGTGAGCCAAAGCTGGGCCCAACAGTATATTTGTGATATTAAAATTTTGTATGGGGGTGGCGATTAGGTGGCGATTAGGAAAACAATGTCTACAAGGCTCGCTGGAGTAGTGGTTGGGGATGATAATGAGGAAAAAAAATAAAAAAAGGTTGAGAAACACTGATCTCAATCTTGCAGTGCCTACAGAGCTTTTTGGCATTCGTGAATGGTGTCTCTGTTTCCAGTCACACATGTTTGTCCAGCACATTTGCTTCAGGCTTCATTCATCCTGCCCGTTTTACCCGAGGCCCTAAATGATCATGTTTTGCCTCTTTAAACCCTTTCCTCTTCTGGCCACAGGTGCCTGAATTAGGGTGGACATGAGCCATGACTAGTTAAGGCACAGCGAGTGACTGGTCCCAGGAAGGCTGGCTGCACCTCACTTCCTCTCCTGAGTCTTTTCTTGGTTCACCTCGTGTGACGCAGCTCTGTAGTTTTGTAACAGCTACTCTACCAACTATCCTTTTGAGATGGTTACTAATGGAGTGGGTATCAAAAAGCCCTGGTTATATCTCCCCAGTCAGGACATTTGGGCTGGTGGCACATGCGTTTGAATGAGGTTGGATGAGATGAAAGGGAAATCCATTTGAGTCATCAGCTCTTTATCCTTATCCCTGGTTGGTGTAGAGTGGGGGTTTTCAACAGCTGCACGATTGACATTTTGGACCAAATAATTCTTTGTTATAGGAAACTGTCCTGTGCTTTGTAGGATGTTATTTAACAGCATCCCAGGCCCCTACATGGTAGATGCCAGTAACACTGAATCCCCCGCTCTCCAGTTGTGACAATCAAAAATGTCTACAGATAAATAGATAAAATTATTGTCAATTAAAAATAAAATATAGTTGGGCATGGTGGCTCACACCTGTAATCCCAGCACTTTGGGAGAGTGAGGAGGGTGGATCGCTTGAGGACAGGAGTTCGAGACCAGCCTGGCCAATATGGTGAGACCCCGTCTCTACTAAAAATACAAAAACTAGCCAGGCATGGTGGTGCGCACCTGTAGTCCCAGCAACTCAGGAGGCTGAGGCAGGGGAATTGCTTGAACCTGAGAGGCGGAGGTTGCAGTGAGGTGAGATCACATCACTGCATTCCAGCCTGGGTGACAGAGTGAGACTCCATCTCAAAAATAAATAATAATAATAATAATAATAATAATAATAATAATAATAATAATACTAAAATAAAAAAAGTCTCCAGACATTGTCAAGTGTTCCCTGTGGGACAAAATTGCCTCCAGTTGAGAACCACTCATGTAGAGAACCTAGAAGATCAGGAAGTATAAATCTCATCATTTCAGCATGATCAGAAATGCCATAGAAGGGTTCAGATCAGAAATGGGAGAAAAGCATTGTAATCATGATATTCACAGCTAATGCTGAGTGAGTGCTCGCTAAGGACGTTCCACACACTGACTCATTAGCCCTTCCAGTAACTCCAAGGAGTCGTCCTGCTGTTTCCACCCACTCTATACTTGAGGGATTTAAGACATGGGGATGTTGAGGAACTTGCCTGAGGTCACGTAGCTGGTAATAGTGGAGTCACCCAGGCAGCCCGGTTCCAGTGCCCCAGCGCTCGGGAGTGCATAACCTCTCTGTCTTACCGTCACGGTTCTACTTCCTTATCCTCCAGGGGGCGCACGCAGCACAGTACCAAGCACACAATAGGTTCTCATTAGACTCATTGATTCTGTCCATACTGACATTGGCATCTACTGGGGCACTCTGCCCCTAGATCTCTGCATGGCAACCTCCTTTACTTGGAGGTGGTCTCTGCTGCAATCCCACGTTCTCTGCGAAGAAGTCTCCTATTGCCTCTGTAGAATAGCACCCTCCTTCACTGCCAAGCCCCTTCCCCTTATTTTTCTTTATAGTACTTAGCATCTGACATATATTTTTTGTTCTCTTGCCCCCAACAGACTAAAATGTCTGTTGTATGAAAGGAGAGGCTTTGCCTGTTGTGTTTGCTGCTGTATCCACAGCACCTAGAACATTCCTAGGCATATAGTAGATGCCCATTAAGTGTGTGGAAAAAATGAATACATCCCTTAGCCAAGTGCTATATTCAAATTTCCTTACTCTGGTTATTGGTTACTACTTTTCCTCATCACTGCATTGAAAAAAACAAAACAAAACAAAAAACACAAAAAAACCTTTCTCTGAATGACCAGGCACCTTTATCCAGAAGTGGGGCATAACCCTTGACACAAGGGGCAATGGATTGGGGATCCTCGACTAATGCCTGTCAGAGGTTTATTGTTAACTGGACTAGGTCACTTACAGAGTTTATTTTTAATTTTGCTTTGTCAGTCTGTGAAAGTAATTCAACAGTGTCATGATAATGTACATAGTTAATGAAGTTAATTTATATTTAGCTTGGGTCTAAATCACATAATAAATTATAAATGATATTTTGAGAAACATATTATGGACAATTCAATGGCAGATTTTTGCATAAAAATTAACAGAAGTTGATTCTATCTTTCTCCATAACCACTATTCATAAGTTGAAAAAATGTAGTTTTAATGAAAATGTATTAAAAACTTAGCAACTGCTCTCATTCTATAGAAAATGAAGCCACGGCTGGGCACAGTGGCTCATGCCTGTAATCCCAGCATTTTGGGAGGACAAGGCAGGCAGATCACCTGAGGTCAGGAGTTCAAGACCAGTCTGACCAACATGGCGAAAGCCCGTCTGTACTAAAACATACAAAAATTAGCCGGGCGTAGTGGCAGACGCGTGTAATCTCAGCTACTCGAGAGGCTGAGGCAGGGGGAATTGCTTGAGCCCAGGAGGCAGAAGTTGCAGTGAGCAGAGATCGTGCCACAGGACTCTAGTCTGGGTGACAGAGTGAGAACGCATCTCAACAAACAAACAAACAAACAAACAAAAAAACAAATAAAATGGAGCCACATAGTAACTATAGATAGAAAAGTAGTTAAGTTACTGTTGGCACCCTTTTGCCTCAAACACATTCCCTTCTCACCATCCAGATAATTATTTATAAAGTTTGAGACCTCCACCCCCCGACTCCCAGTTGCAAACATAGGACTTGGAGCAGTTGCCTAGTTTGGCATTTTGTAAAGAAATCTATTGCTGTATTGCAATTAGGCAATTCAGGCTGTTATGGTTACATTAGACTTGAGAGAAGCTCATTCCCTAAACCCTAAAAATCAGCTTTGAGAAATATGATCAATTCACCCCTAATCTAGGTTTAAACTCATGCACAGACCCTATGCAGCTAGACAGGCTAAGGTGGAAAGAAACACCTTTCTGTTGCTGGGGGTTGGGGATGGAACAGATGCCTCTGAATTAGGAAGGATGTCTTGCAGAACACCATCCTCTATGCTTGTCACCAGTTCTCATGTCCCCAAATGCCTCATATCTCAATTGAGTGTTGCCATTCTCACCACTGAATCCCAGCTCCAGCCTCCTGAACACTTCAACAAGAGACTGTGCCATTGTTCACTGCAGCCTTGTTCAACACTGGGTCAGGCTTTTAAGATTATATAGCATTTTTTTTTTTTTTAAGACAGAGTCTTGCTCTGTCACCCAGGCTGGAGTGCAGAGGCACTGTCTCGGCTCACTGCAACCTCTGCCTCCCGGGTTGAAGCAATTCTCCTGCCTCTGCCTTCCGAGTAGCTGGGATTACAGGTGTGCACCACCACACCCGGCTAATTTTTGTATTTTTAGTAGAGACATGGCTTGTCCATGTTGGCCAGGCTGGTCTCAGATTCCTGACTTCAAGTGATCTGCCCACCTTGGCCTCCCAAAGTGCTGGGATTACAGGCATGAGCCACCACACCCAGCCTATATAGCATGATTTTATATTATGCACTCTATGCTATATAAAAATGCCATGATATTATATATTCTTTAAACTTTTTGGCCTAGGAGGATGGGGCTGAATTAGGGATTAGATGATACACATATAAAAATGAATTTAGACCAGAATTGTCCAATCAAACTTTTGCAATGGTGGACATTATATCTATGCTGTCCAATACAGTAGCCACTAGCCTCACGCAGCTATTGGGTCCTTGAAATGTGGCTAGTGTGACTGAGGAGCTAAAAATTTATTAAATTTTAATTAACTTAAATCTAAACAACTACTGGTGGCTAGTGGCTACTCTATCAGAGAGCACAGATATTTTCTTCAAGGGTGTGGCTCTTAGATTCTGGACCTCATTGGATATCTCAGACTTGGAATGCAGGAAATTTAAAGCTGTTCTAAAGTGGATCTTGAATAAGACTCTGAGACTTCTGTGTGGCTAGTCTCTTTTCTTGTATCAGGATGGGGTGATTTTTTTGGAGAAGGACAAGCAGGCATCACACAGGGATGGCTCATAAAGAGGTTGCTAACTTTAAAACAATCCAGACAGACACTGGACTTTCAGAAGGGAAATCAGAGGTGGTTGAGTCTACCACTGTCTGTTCCCTCAATGGCCCTCTTCACTCTGTTCACACTGTCATCTGCTGTTCTGGTCTTATTTTCAATGCTGGGAAATTTTACTCTGACACTGTTTAGGAGGTAAACATTTGCCTTGTAGAGGCAAGCATTTGCCTGGGAGATCCTAGGCTCTTAGGAGTTTTTAAAGATTTGGACATTAGAATAAATTAGCTTCTTTGAAGCCAAATATAAATTAACTTCAACAGACCGAGCTAGGAAAAGTAGCTACTCAAGTATCTCAGGCAGTGGAGAAGCTCAATCACTACTCGGCCGAATGGAGTGCGAGAGTTCTGACCTGACATCCAGGAAGCTTTATGAAGCTCGTCAAAAGGTGGAAACAAAAAGAAAGAGAAAATGACACAATCTCTCAGACTTGGACAAAGTGAAACATTTAAAAGTCAGGACTCAGAGGTCCATGGAATTCCAGACATATAGGGAGCTTCTTTCTATTCTTTCCAACCCAAGGACAGCACCAGTGGCAAGAGCAAGTGGCATACATACTCTGCATTTGTGGAAGAATCACCTTTCTTAGAGCAAGAAGGCGAACAGTGTTGCTGCCTGGTGCAAGGTGCGCTAGTGCCAGGCTAGCCATGGAAGAGTCACCAGAACTCCAGCCCCCATACTGGGGGATTCTGATTCTAGCAGATTTGTGGTAGTGCCTGGCAATCTGCATTTTTTAACAGGTGAAATTCTATTGTAAAACTAGATCTGGGGGCTCCTGCCGAGATCGGGAGTAACAACTTTTCTTATTAGGAGAAGTGGCCAGGAGGAGCTAAATAGCACCAGTCATACTAGAACTGAGGTCCTCTGGCTGAGGGATCAGAGTAAAAGAACTCTCTTCCCAGACCCTAGGGTGACACATATGGCGTTATCACAACTTATACCTCACACAAGAAAGAAAGGGCTTAGCTGCTAATTGTCTATTTTCCACCAATTCTTAAGAGGGTATAGACTTAGTTCATCATCTGAAACCAAATATTATCTTAGCAATTTTCTGTATAAATGGGTGATAGATAATAGCAAAGGTGTTTTAAAAAACCAATAAAGATGATTACATCTATTCTTAGCTTAGGATCCCATAAAAATGAACATTTACTGCTAATAATTAAGAAGCATAAAAAGGGACATTCTAAACAGAACCTTATTTGGGAATTTTAGTATTAACAGATGGCAGCTTCACAGGTCAAAGTCTTCTATGTGATGGGAAAATGCAGAGGGGAAGTGATATTCAAATGCAGCCCAGGCACCCTGTGAACTTAAGAGCTTGCTCTTTTGTGCAGAGATTTTGTTTCATATTTCTGATTACCGATAGCTGTGATGGTCAAGCTCATAAGTAGGCATCCAACCTTGTTCCCACTTCCTTCCTTGAATCCACTGGGAACTCCAAGGGCTCAGAATTTGCATCTCTGTGGAAAATGCTGGTGAGCTCTTTGGTGAAAGATCCATTCCCCATTGGGCAAGATGTGGACAGGGAGGTTTATGGATCAATTCCACTGATACTGTGTCGTGCTTAATAGGCCTCCAGGCCACAAAGTCTCTGAAGTCTGCCCAGACAGGAAGATCAAGAAAAGAAGAAGAGCAATACCCTGTTTCACTGGTGGGATGTGCTGCTCACATAAGGTTCCCCAGTCTGTTTTCTAGACACAAGCATGGACACAAAAGTCCTTCTGCTTGAGCACGTGTGGACACAACTCACACTCAGTGTGATACCCACAGACATGTAGTTAAGGCTCAGAGATGTAGGCAAGGCTCAGAAGCATTCAGAGAAAGTGACTGAGGCTGACACCAGGTGGCAGCAAAGCCTTCTCAACCCTCTTAGTGGATTTGCTCAGGGACAGTCCAGGTAGACAGAAGATCCAGCAACAGGTTTCTCTGTTCTTGTTCAGATCTGACGTGGCGGTAGCCCAGCAAATTCATGGCATCGCCACAGGCTTTCTGAAGTCGAGAAACCTTTTCATAGGGCAAAGACCAGCGCCAAGCCTGGGAGACATTAAGGGCATCCCTGGCATTTGTGTGGAAAGCGTGGTCACCCATGCCCTTGCCTCGGGTGATGTTATGCACCCAGGTCTGAAGATGGGGCAAGAATTCCAATCCCACGAATTCATACATTCGGGAAGTCTGGGCCACAGGGGCTCGAGCCAGGTCCTCATAGCGCACAAGCAGGTAGCGTTCCTGCAGGGCCTTGGGCAAGGACTGGATGGTCTTGTAGATCTCCAGCTGGCTTTGGCAGATGACCTGCATCACATAGTAGGGTTGGTCCTCCTTCTTGAGTTTTTGCTCATGCTGCCCCATCACAATGCGACTGTCAATCATGAGATCTCCCTTTGTGCGTTCTCGGGAACGGAACACGGCCCGGGGGTCCCGGACCAGGTGCACGATATGCAGGTTGAGGGAGGGGTCTTTCAGCAGCGGGTAGAGGGACTGCAGGTTGAAGAAGCGCACCTCCTTGAGCACCACGTGGCTGTAGGAGCGGCAGGCCTTCTCCACCACCTCAAAGGGCTGTTGACTGCACAGGAGCCTGCAGTGAGCCCGGGGGATGATTTCATCTTGTGGGATGATGTCACAGGCAGGTGCAGAACACAGGGCCCGGCTGTTCTCCCACTGAAAGAGGCTGGACTGTCTCCGGGGACCAGGTTCCATGTAGGCATCAAAGACGCTCATGTCGCACAAGAAGACGGCCCGTATCAGATCCCGCACAGCCATGTGCAGCATCCAGGCGGTGCTCTGCTTGAAGGTCATCCACACGTGCCAGGCGGGCTCCATCAGGTAGAAAACATCTGGGTGCTGCCCAAAAAGCTGCCCCACAAAAGAAGAGCCAGAGCGCCAGGAAGACAGAACCAGCACGTGCATGCGCTCGGGCTGTGCCTTCATAGACAGGGAGCTGATGTTGTGGCTGTACATGTGGAAGAATAGAGCCAAGATGGCCATCTGGGAAACCAGAAACAGCAGGAGCTTCATTTTTTTAGGCAGTAGCATTGTGCTGAAGTGGAAGACCTTTAAGGAACAAACAGAAAGGGTGGAGTTGGGCTGCTGTTTTATTGTTTGCCTTCTATTCCCCTTCTGGCCAAAGCCACCTGCTCTCTGACCCCCTACCAAGGAGCAACATGGAAAGCCAGAGGATTCGTGCCAACAATGGCACCAGTCCTTCTCCAAATCATTTCCTGTCCCTTACACTTAGTGTGTTGATATGTTCTCCTTCAGGGTCTTTAATTCCTCCTTCCTGGTCTTTCTAAACCAAGCCACGTTGCCCATTGGTTTACCAAAAATATCTGAACTCAACCATATTTAATCAACATAAGGAAATGTCTCCATCATGGTGCCCTGATGACAAGGATGTCTTCAGACAGGCCACCCAGGGGAGGCGTCACCTCAGTCTGACTCAAGTCTTGGAGGAATGGCTTGTGATTCCTGCAGAGACAGAGGGAGATAAGCTACCTAGTGAAGAACTGCCTCGAAGCCACTGCTTAGCCATCCCTCCATCATAAGGGAGACTGCAACCAAGACTGTGTCTCATCTCCCTCCCTCACTGCAGTTAAGCACAGGACTTTCCACTCCAGTCCCTCAAAAGATAGGGCTGCAGGCTGTGCAACTGCTTGGCTTTAGTTGGAATTGTCTCCTCAAAGGCAGAGCCAGGTGCTCATGGTGCCTGTCATCTATTTATCTGCTAGCTGGTGTTTTGCCATCAGTGTAGAGTGAAAAGTCTACGTCTAGCACCTGACCTCACCTGCCCATTTCTCACCTTGCCCTAGATAGCAAATCCTTCTGATTTGGTGTCATCCCATGGGACCAAGGCCATGGGGAGTTGATCCAATGTCGACCTTGTATCTGTGTAGGTAATAAACTATCTGAATCTATTTGAGCTGAATTAGAGTTATTTGAGCTATTAGTGTCTCCTTACCTGCCAACTCTAAGAAAGTGTGGCAAGCCAACCTAAGTGCTACAGATCTCAGAACTGTATCACTCTCACTGGGGACACTTGTGGCCCATGACTCCCACACTGCTGCTTGAGGCATACTTGATTACGTGGGACAACCTACTCAAGGCAGCTCAGTGCAGTTGGGCAAGTGTGTATCACACAACCCTAGGGAGTGCCATCCCATCAAGAATTTAGATATTTATTTTCAAAATGTTTTTTGTAGGTGATAGTAAAGTATCTTGGTCCAACAAAATAAGTATATTAAGGCCAGGTGCAGTGGCTCATGCCTGTAATCCCAGCACTTTGGGAGACTGAGCTGGGCAGATCACTTGAGGTCAGGAATTTGAGACCAGCCTGGCCAACATGGCAAAACCCTGTCTCTACTAAAAATGCAAAAATTAGCTGAGTGTGTTGGCACACGCCTATAGTCCCAGCTACTTGGGAGGCTGAGGCAGGGGAATCGTCTGAACCTGGGAGACAGAGGTTGTAGTAAGCCGAGATCGCGCCACTGCACTCCAGCCTGGGTGAAAGGCTGAGACTCCATCTCCAAAAAAACCCACAAATATAACAAAATAAAACAAAAAATAAGTATATTAAGATGGTTTTCCAGTTGATAGACAGTAAATATCTAGAGAAAGGGTCTCACTTTGTGATTCGTACTGTCTCATACTGACTGATGGCAACATTTTGCAATCAGGGCTTGCTTCGTGTGAAAGGACCACGGTTCCCAGTGGTATGCTAGAATGTTATTCCAAAGGATATTTTAACCTCCTTCCCACATGACTTTGTCATTCTGGGTGACCTTCTGACATAAATAACTATTGGGAGAGAGAATAGCTATTGCACATTGTAAAATATTCATAGTAGTAGTAAGGTGTTCATTTGTATATCACCATGTACACAAGAAATTCTCCCTTCCAGCTTTAGTAAAAAATAGAGGCTAGATTTCCAGATGGTAAGTGGGGCTGGATTTGGGGGTCAGCTGTTTTTGTGGTGGCAGGTCTTATACCAATTATTTAAAAAGTTTTTATTATTTATTTATTTATTTTTGCAGAGACAAGGTCTTGAAATGTTGCTCATGGCTGAGCACAGTGGCTCATGCCTGTAGTCCCAACACTTTTGGAGGCCGAGGCGGGTGGATCATATGAGGTCAGGAGTTTGAGACCAGCCTGGCCAACATGGTGAATGCCTGCCTCTGCTAAAAATACAAAAATTAGCTGGACGTGTTGGCTGGTGCCTGTAATCCCAGCTACGTGGGAGGCTGAGGTAGGAGAATCACTTGAATCAGAAAGGCAGAGATTGCAGTGAGCCGAGATTGTGCCATTGCACTCTAGCCTGGGCAACAAGAGCAAAACTCCATCTCAAAAAAGAAAAAAAAAAAAAAAAAAAGAAAGAAATGTTGCCCAGTCAGATCTTGAACTCTTGGCCTCAAACAATCTTCCTGCCTCAGCCTCCCAAAGTGCTAGGATTACAGGCATGAGCCACCGTGCTCAGCCTAAAAAGTTTTTAATAGGTAATAGTCACATGATTCAAATTATTTTGAAAAGTTTCTACAGACTCAGAATTTAAAACAAGCGTTTTCTCAGATTCTGTATGCAGGAGGGAAAGGAGTGCCTGCCAGCCTGCAGCCAGCCTGACACACCCCAGGCTTTTAACATATGTCACTGGGGAGGGGAAATCTTTTTTTTTTTTTTTTTGAGATGGGGTCTTGCTCTGTCACCAGGCTGAAGTGCAGTGGCCTGATCTCAGCTCACTGCAACCTCCTCCTCCCAGGTTCAAGTGATTCCCCTGCCTCAGCCTCCTGAGTAGCTGGGACTATAGGCACGTGCCACCAGGCTCAGCTAATTTTTTGTATTTTAGTAGAGATGGGGCTTCACCATGTTGACTGGGATGGTCTTGATCTCCTGACCTTGTGATCCGCCTGCCTCAGCCTCCCAAAAATGCAGGGATTACAAGTGTGAGCCCCCATGCCCAGCCTGGAGGGGAAATCTTATGACAAGCGCTTGTGCCTGTGAGGGAGGCCTGTAGTCAGAAATTAGGAAACTTCTAGAGCTATTTGTAAACATGGGTAATGACATATCTTTAAAGGGGTCATAGTATTTTTCCAGAGGAAAGAAAACCTAAGAATTTTACTAGCTGACAAATCAGTCCCCTCTTTTTTACGTACTGACAGCTGCTATTTATCTGCTAGCTGGTGTTTTGTCATCAATGTACAGTGAAAAGTCTACTTCCAGCACCTGACCTCACCTGCCCATTTCTCAACTTGCCGCACATAGCAACTACGTTTTTTTTTTTGTTTTTTTTTTTTTTTGAGACAGAGTCTTGCTCTGTTGCCCAGGCTGCAGTACACACTGGCGCGATCTCGGTTGACTGAAACCTCTGCCTCCCGGGTTCAAGTGATTCTCCTGCCTCAGCCCCCTGAGTAGGTGAGACTACAGGCGCACACCACCACGCCCGGCTAATTTTTGTATTTTTAGTAGAAACGAGGTTTCACCATGTTAGCCAGGCTGGTCTCGAACTCCTGACCTCAAGTTGTCTGCCCGCCTCAGCCTCCCAAAGTGCTGGGATTATATAGGCATGAGCCACTGTGCCTGGCCTGAGTTCATTTTTAATGTGTCTTTTCAGTTGCTTTATGTGTACACAAGAACATTCAAATGTGTATGTGTTCTTAATTTTTTTCCTCTTTAAAATGCAAAAAAAAATCAAAAAAAAATTTCAAGTTATCTGTTCTGTGCTGCCCTTTATTTTTAGTTGTCAATATGTCTTAGGGAGCATTCCAGGGCAGTTCGTAAAGTAGTTCCTCATTCATTGTTGCTTCGAAGAAGTATTATATGGATTAACCACAGTTTATTTAATCAGTTTCCTCATTGATGGATGGGCTTATGAGTTGTTTCCAATCTTTTGCCATTTCAAGTGCTTCAGTGATGACCTTTATGTTCACACACCGTCACACATGTATGTAAGATCACACATGTATGAAGGTAGCCTTCATACTGATCAGAAACTATTCTCTACGTCCAGGGCTCCAGAGACCTGTGAGAGTAGATTTTAGGAGAGAAATTGGGTAGCCACAAAGGAGACTCTTGGCATTTATAGCTTTCTTCCTGAAGGGAAAGCATGCTTTGCCAGCTCGTGGGTTTTCCTTGGAAGTCCCCTGAACCTTCTGGGAAGTATGTAATGACTCAAGCCAAACCTTGGGTGGCAATAGCAGAAAAACCCCTTATCTTCCATTCATAATAACAGTGCTTTTCCTCTGGATGTGCCAAAAAGATCCAATGAGGATCATCTCATCATCATGGCTGAAAATCACTTGCTGTACGGCAGAA
Source organism: Homo sapiens (assembly GCF_000001405.40). NCBI lineage: Eukaryota > Metazoa > Chordata > Mammalia > Primates > Hominidae > Homo > Homo sapiens. The sequence continues at coordinate 71,532,411 of NC_000016.10, read as the reverse complement.
AATGTCAATGACTGGTAATTCCTGCCCTGTAGTCTTAGCCCTGCAGATTAGAACAGGACCAGCTAGGCCGGGCATGGTGGCTCACGTCTGTAATCCCAGCACTTTGGGAGGCCAAGGTGGGTGGATCACGAGGTCAGGAGATCGAGACCATCCTGGCTAACACGGTGAAACCCCGTCTCTACTAAAAATACAAAAAATTAGCCAGGCGTGGTGG